>NW_025791765.1:0-600000 GCF_000001405.40 Homo sapiens | reverse complement strand
CACACGGACTGCCCTCACCGGGATGATCTTGACCACTCAGTTTTATGACCCATTATTGTACAGAGGAACCAAGCCCACCCTCCTAAAGATCATAATGCTCCTGGAGACTGGCCTAGAGTAGAAGACTTCAGATCATTCACACAAGCTTTCACCCAGCCTTATCTCTGCACAGAAACAGTATGAGGTGCTGGGGGTTCAGAGAGGAAGGTGACCTGGTGTGTGGTGTGCCTCCCCGAGCCATCTAGATAGCGGGAGAGGCAGAAGTATATACAGATACAACCAGACATGACACAGCCACACAGAGCTACAAAGCAAGGGCCAGGGAAGACAGGAGGGGAAGAGCTCGGCCTGCTGGGGAAGAAGTGGGCCCTGCTGGTAAGGGTGGGTTCTGGATTCAGTTGACCACAGTATTTATTGAGACCCAAGGTCACTCCTGTTCACCGACATTCGATGTCTCTGTCAACTTCCTTCACCAACAATCTGGCGCTCATGATCTCACTCCAGCCCTGGTAGGCCAGTGTGTGACATGCAAGACACCTGGAAACAGCATCTAGGAAACACTAGCTCATGAGCTACAAGCATCATGAAAAGCCCTTGAAGCAGTCATTGAAGGGGTGCTGCAGACCAGCCATAGCCCACACCAAGATCACACATGACTCACACACTCCACCCCACGCTTCGTGCCACTGAAGAAGGATGTGGAGCAAGGAGCCCAACCCCAGCACTTCCTGGGATGTGACTGCCTGGGACCCGACAGACACAAAGGGGAAAGCTGTCCTCAGAGAGTTTTGAAGCTTGTGTAAAAATGTTCTATATGAAAATTGTACCCACAAAAACAGGGGTAGGAGCCATGGGGGCAGAAACAAAGCAGAATAGATTCTATAAGCTCGGAAATCTCTTTGTTTATAAAGCTGTTGCTAATTCACAAGGGTTACATTTTTGAAATATATTAAGTTCTCCTTCCCTTTTAAGTTCTCAGGTTTCTGGCTTCCCTGGGAAGAAGCAGTTTTACTTTCCCTTCCAGGCTTTCCTTGCTAAGTCACAGAAAACAGTCCTCACAAAGCCCACTCATCCTGCATTCTCAGTGCATTTCCAGGGCTGTTGGTCCTCGGTGGTTTCCACTCGCTTGATGTAACAGGAGCTCACCACAGAGACACCAGAAAATGAACCATCGGGGTCACCAGGACAATGAGGAGCTGCTCTCACCACCTGTCCTTGATGACCATGCTGACCTACGAGTCCCTGGAAATGCTGCCCAGAGGGAACTGCAGAGTTGAGCCGTGGCCTCCAGTGCCAAGGCCCACCTGGTGTGAGCTGGGCTGGTCAGTGGACTCTTGAGGGGTGATGGGAGCTTCCCAAACCCCCAACCAGACTCCCATCTTCAGATGCAATCACTCCCCTCCTACACATATGGGGCCGAATTCAGAGACACTGGGGTCACCTGCAAGGCCGAGAACAAGGCTTCTGCCTCCTAGACAGCAGGTGCTGAGGGCACAGCTAGGGGGACTGCGAGTGCTACCTGCATCTGCTCATGCATCCCCTCCTGGTCACCTGCCAGGCAGTTGTCTATGCAGACTGCCCGAGGCCTCTGTGATGGCTCCCGTGGGGAGGAGCAAGCCCAGCGCTCCTGACACGGACAGCTGCCGGAACGGAATAGAGGCCCATCGGGTGTCGAGAGATCTGCTCCCTTGCAAGCAGGAATGAACAGGCATCGCTCTGTGATCCAAATGCCTCCTAACCCGGGGGGAAGCATCAGCGCCACTCTCCCAGTTGCTCCTTCTCACACCTAAGGTGACCCTCAACCTTCACTCCTGATGCACAGCCCAGGCACCCTCAGGAGAGACTTCACTGGCCTTTGGACAGCTTCCTTCAGCAGACAGCTGTGGTTCAGAACCCTTTTCTCCGTCTCAGCTCTCTGCTAAAGACTTCCCTGGGCCTTAGTTTTTCTCACATGTTCAGTGGAAGGTTCAGAGTGGAGACCAATGAGTCTCAGCCTAGTGTCCCCTGGAGGGTTAGAAAACTACAAATGTGAAGGTCTATCCCCACACCCCAAAATCTGATGTGGGGTGTGTGTGGAATGTCTCAATTGTTAAAAAGAGGATTGCCCCAGGGGTTTTCATGCTCAGTTAGGGCTGAGAACCCCTGGAGGAGGTTCAGCTCGGCTTTGGGGCCTCAGAGCAGAAACTGGCGAGGCAGGTGTGTCACAGCTAGTGTGAGGTGGCATCTGACGCCGCAGTCCCACATGGCCCTGCTCTGCTCCACTGATGCTCAGTAGGGTCCTTTTGAGGTGTTTATCATCTGTTTTGCTTAATTTCCTGAGACTGTGACACGTAGACAGATTCTAGCCTCAAGGAAGAGCACCTGCCTTCCCTTCACAGCAGCGGGAACAGGTTACCTGGGAGACAATGAGGACCATGCACGCAACTCTTCAAATCCAGCCTGAGGTTCCACAGGGAGTGGGGTAACTCACCAAAGATTTTAGCCAAACCTTCATCAGGATTTTTTGAATTTGAGGAAAATTCAGGCCAGGTGCCGTGGCTCACGTCTTTAATCCCAGCACTCGGGGAGGCTGAGGTGGGAGGATCACTTGAGGTCAGGAGTTCGAGGCCAGCCTGGGAAACATAGGGAGACCCCCGACTCTACAAAAAATAAAAATTAATTACCTGGGCGTGGTGGTGTGCACCTGTGGTCCCAGCTACTCAGGAAGCTGAGGCAGGAGGATCCATTGAGGTCAGGAGTTCATGACCAGCCTGGCCAACATGATGAAATCCCATCTCTACTAAAAATTATATTTTAGTAATTACTAATTTACTAGTAACTTACTAATTTAGTAATTTATTAGTTTAGTAAATTAGCCAGGCGTGGTGGCACACGCCTGTAATCCCAGCAACTTGGGAGGCTGAGGCAGGATAATCACTTGAACCTGGGAAGCAGATGTTGCAGTGAGCCAAGATAGCGCCACTGCACTCCAGCCTGGGTGAGAGAGCGACACTCCATCTCAAAAAATTAAAAAATTAAAAATTAAATAAAATTAGATAGTGATGCTTCACAACTCTATGAGTATACTAAAAACCACTGAATTATATACTTTGTAAAGGGTAAATTTGGCCAGACATAGTGGTTCATGCCTGTAATTCCAGCACTTTGGGAGGCCAAGGTAGGAGGATCACTTGAGCCCAGGAGTTTGAGACCAGCCTGGGCAACATAGTGAGATCCCTATTTCTACAGAAATTTAAAAAATTAGCTGGGTGTGGTGGTACATGCCTGTGGTCCCAGCTACCTGGAAGGCTGAAGGGAGGATCCTTGGGCCTGGAATGTTGAGGCTGCAATTAGCTGTGATTATGCCACCGCACTCCAGCTCTGGGTGACAGAGGGAGAACCTATCTCAAAAATAATAACAATAAATAGAAAAATAAAATAAAGGGTGAATTTTATTATATATTATATCCTATAAAGTTATTACTAATTTTTTTTTTTTGAGACAGGATCCCACTCTGTTGCCCAAGCTTGAGTGCAGTGGTGTGATCACGGCTTACTGCAGCCTCGACTTTTTGGGCTCAAGTGATCATCCCACCTCAGCCTCCCTAGTAGCTGGGACCACACGCACGCATCACCATGCATGGCTAATTTTAAAATTTTTTATACAGACAGGCTCTCATGATGTTGCCTAGGCCTGTCACAAACTCCTGAGCTCAAGGAATCCTCCTGCCTTGGCCTCCTAAAGTGCTGGAGTTACAAGAGTGAGCCACTGTACCCGGCCTAACCCTGTTATTTTTTAAATAGTGCATATATATAGATAAAATCAGGAGGGTTAGTTAGCATATGGTGGTTCTTTATACTAATCTTTCTACTTTTGCATATGTTTGGAAATGCTTACAGTGAAAAGTTAAAATACGCATGTATGCCACCCTCCTATAGAGCTCTGAATTTTGAGAAAGCTTCAAAGTTAGGAAAATGTTTTCAGTTACTCCCTTCCCCCAAGTAATAAACCCTGAATGGCAGATTTGGGGAGGTATAGAAGGTAGAGTAGGTAAAGCATCTGTGTTCCCCACACTGTGGGAGGGAACGCCCTCCTCTGCCCCACTTAGGCTTGAAGTGAGGCCCATGTTTCTCTCCAGCTGCCACAGCAATATACCTTGGATCCAGCAGAGAACAAAGAAGAGGGCCATGGCTCTGCTCATCTTTGCCTTAGTCCATAAACCATCATGGAGAAGCCAGTCTTCTGATGGCCCTTCAGATTCAGCAGCTGTGGACTCCAGGGTACCACGGAACCTAACGGTCTATGAAGTCATACACGGAAGTGAGGTGGAGCCTGCTCAACCATGAGAAGGGGAAGGGCCTGTGTCTGTGGACAGTGACGGGGGCTATGCTGGTGGCCCTGAAGTGACTGCCTCTCTGCTCACTTCCCTCGGCTCCCTGGTGCCTTCCTCCATCCTGCATGTCCTGAGGGCAACAGGATATTAACCAGGACTCTGAAGTCACAAGTGATAAAACTTCAACTAAATTGGCTGAAGCGAATTGGAAGTAGCTAGAATAGCCAGAAAAATCCTATGATCAATCAAGACATCACAGCCGGGCGCAGAGGCTCACACCTGTAATCCCAGCACTTTGGAAGGCTGAGGCAGGCGGATCACCTGAGGTCAGGAGTTCCAGACCAGCCTGGCCAACATGGTGAAAGCCCGTCTCACTAACAAAGTGTTGCTGCTTATTATATTAGGTAAAATTATAACACCAAAAATAGCATAGACCAATTGATACGCCCATTTTGTTACTCACGTGTCACTATTTCCCTCTATTACATTTTATAAGTATTAAACTGTTTTCAAAGGAAAAATCTATTATAGTACCTTGTACTACACTTTTTTCTAGTTTTTTCTCCATGTTCATTTTGTAATGGGTCCCACAAATTATGTAGCCAGCCCTGCCCTTGAGCCTTCATGTTCTTACAGTGTCTGTTCCATGGCTGAGATGGCAGATATCTTTTAGGGGTAAAAACTTGCACAAAGAGTTATATAGGGCCGGGCACGGTGGCTCACACCTGTAATCCCAGCAATCTGGGAGGCCAAGGCAGGCAGATCACTTGGGGTCAGGAGTTCAAGACCAGCCTGACCAACATGGTGAAACCCCATCTCTACTAAAAATACAAAAATTAGCCAGGTGTGGTGGCGAGTACCCATAGTCCCAGCTACTTGGGAAGCTGAGGCAGGAGAATCACTTGCACCTGGGAGGTGGAAGCTGCAGTAAGCCAAGATCACACCACTACACTTCAGCCTGAGCAACCGGGCGAGACTCTGTCTCAAAAAAGAAAAAAGAAAATAATCTGCATAGAAGTGGACCCGCACAGTTCAACCCTGTGTTGTGTAGATGCTGACTGAATCGTCTCCCAGTTCTGGAGGCTGGAGGTCTGAGATCAAGACGTCAGCAGGGCTGGTTCTTTCTGAGGCTGTGAGGGAAGTCTCTGTTCCAGGACGTGGGCTCAGATGGCCATCTTCTCCTTGGGCTTGCAAGACATCTTCCCTCCATACACACCTGAGTCCACATTTCCTCTTCTAAGAACACAGGATCATATCGGATTAGGGCCTGCCCTAATGACTTCATTTTAACTTGATTTCCTCTGTAAAGACCCTATCTCCAAATACAGTCACATTCTGAGGTTCGGCGGGGTGGCTAGGACTTCAACATATGAAGAGAGGGTACCATGTAATCTGTAACAGCAGGTCATGGTAACCACAGAAATCTTATTTCTCTAAAATACCTTCCAAAACAAAAACAAAAACTAGAATAAAAAATAACAAAGAATATATAAAACAACACAAAACCCACACCCTCACCACAACCACAGGACAGAAAATGTCCAAATTCCAAATGACTGGTAAATAGAAAAATAAATGCTAACCCGGGCTCCATCTCTTTTGCTTCTGCTGCTGGCCTTTGCAAAGAGGAAACCTGGAGGTTGAAGAGGGTCTAAAATCTCCATCCTGAGTTTGCAAATGCTGAAAGCGTAACCTGGTTGATCAGTACAAATACCCAGGGGTGGAAGTGCCCTGGGGACAGGAGATTGGTGAGACTCTCTCACCAATGGACTCTCTCTCCCTCTCTAAAAAAACAATGATGTTTATTCAGGAACGGGCATTACAATGGGAATAAGTATGGATGTGTTCCAGGAGGTAAAGGAAGACATTTTTTAAAGAAAAAATGAAAAGGGTTACATAGGCTTTTATAAGACAATCATCTTTGGGGCCAGGCACGGTGGCTCACACCTGTAATCCCAGCATTTTGGGAGGCCGAGGCAGGCAGATCACAAGGTCAGGAGATCGAGATCATCCTGGCTAACACGGTGAAACCCCATCTCTACTAAAAATACAAAAAATTAGCCAGGCGTGGTGGTGGGCGCCTGTAGTCCCAGCTACTCGGGAGGCTGAGGCAGGAGAATGGCATGAACCCGGGAGGCGGAGCTTGCAGTGAGCCGAGACCGCACCACTGCACTCCAGCCTGGGTGACAGAGTGAGACTCCATCTCAAAAAAAAAAAAAAAAAAAACTTAGCTGGGCATGGTGGCGGGAACCTGTGATCCCAGCTACTAGGGAGGCTGAGCCAGGAGAATTGCCTGAACCCGACAGGTGGAGGTTGCAGTGAGCCCAGATTGCGCCACTGCACTCCAGCCTGGGCAACAGAGAAAGATTGTCTCAAAAAAAAAAAAAATAAAAAAGAGACCTGAAGGTGCCTCATATACTGTTCAGAGACATTCATGCATATAACAGTCTACACTCGGTGTCTGCTTTCTCTTTGCTTTTACTTAGCAATGTGTCCTGATATGTTTCATATGAAATTATATAGCACTCTCTCATTATTTTTAATGGCTACACAGTGATCTATTTTATGAATGTATAAACACTAGATGCAAATGAATACATACCAATGACTTCATCTGCACAAAGTCCAGAAACAGGCAATACTAATATGTTTTCAAAATTCAGGATAGAGGTCACCTCGGAGGAGGAACAGGTCAGAGACCAAGGGGTAGGAGCTGACGGGGGGGCTGTTCATGCTATTAGGAAAACAGGAGCCTAGGAGAGACAGGGTGACACCATTTTAAAATCAACTGCTTTTTTTTTTTTTTTTTTTTTTGAGACAGAGTCTGGCTCTGTCACCCAGGCTGGAGTGCAATGGTGCGATCTGGGCTCACCGCAACCTCCATCTCCCGGGCTCAAGCCAACCTCCCACCTCAGCCTCTGGAGTAGCTGGCACTACAGGCGCACAACATCATGCCCGGCTAATTTTTGTATTTTTTGTAGAGACAGGGTTTTGCCATGTTGTCCAGGCTGGTCTCAAATTCCTGGGCTCAAGCAATCCACCCACTTCAGCCTCCACAAGTACTGGGATTACACGCATGAGCTACCGTGCCCATCTCAACCCCATCTTTTTTTTTTTTTTTTTTTTTGAGACGGAGTCTCACTCTGTCGCCCAGGCTGGTGGCGCGATCTCGGCTCACTGCAACCTCCGCCTCCTGGGTTCAAGCGATTCTCCTACCCCAGCCTCCTGAGTAGCTGGGACAACAGACGCATGCCACCACGCCCAGCTACTTTTTTGTATTTTTAGTAAAGACAGGGTTTCACCGTGTTAGCCAGGATGGTCTCAATCTCCTGACCTCGTGATCTGCCCGCCTCGGCCTTCCAAAGTGCTGGGATTACAGGCATAAGCCACCGCGCCCGGCCCCAACTCCATCTTAAAACTAGCAAGGCACATTCCTTGCTAGTCCCAACCCATGGTCATAAGATGCTATGGCTAAAAGAGCAGTTTAGTAATGCCTGCAAGGACAAAATCCTACAACAACAAAATGTCCAGATGCTCCAATATTGCCTAACAATATATGATTTAAGATAGTTATAGTTACAGGACTCGATGGCTCACACCTGTAATCCCAGCACTTTGGGAGTCCAAAGTGGGTGGACTGCTTGAGCTCAGGAGTTCGAGACCAGCCTGGGCAACATAGCAAAACCCGGTCTCTACTAAAAATACAAAAAAATTACCTGGGCGTGATGGTGCACACCTGTGGTCCCAGCTACTTGGAAGGCTGAGGCAGGAGGATAGCTTGAGCCTGGGAGGTGGAGGTTGCAGTGAGCTGATATCAGGCAACTGCACTCCAGCTTGGGCAACAAGGTGAGACCCTGTCTCAAAAAAACAAAACAAAACAAAATATATATATATATATATATATATATATATATATATAGAGAGAGAGAGAGAGAGAGAGAGAGAGAGAGAGAGAGAGAGAGAGTCATGCTTTGATGTATTTATGCATTAAAATGCCAAGGATAACTTTCTTTAAATCAAAAAGCACTAAATTTTGTTATGCTGTCAGCCCACCCTCATGTAGACATAGCTTAGTTTTTACATAGATAAGACCCCTCTATAAGAAGAGTTTAATATAAAGAGGGTGTGTTCCCCCTCTTGCTTTCTGAGGATGGCCTACTCTGTAACTGAGTAGCTTTCAATAAACAATCGCTTCTCACTGCACTCTGCAACTTGCCTTGAATTTCTTCTGGGCAAGATCCAATAACCCTCCCTTGGGGTCTGGATCGGGACCCCTTTTCCAGCAACAATATTGTTTCTTGAACTCGGTGGTTATGCAAGTGTGTCCACATTTTAATCATTCATTGAAATGTACATGTACACTTGTGATTTCTGCACACCCGCTTCAATTTTACAAATTTTATGCTCACAACCCATTGGGAGAGGTATATATACAGGGAAATAACTATGGATCCGTTTGGTAAACAAATGTAGAACTCAACTATCCTGCACTCTTGAAGCAGCTGACTCCAGTGCCGCAGGGGGCTACCTGCATGCCAATTCCACACCCAATAATCTTGGGCAGGTTACCAAAGTGTGAAGACCCTGACTGAAAAATGGGAGTAATAATACAACTACCTGATATTGTTGCAAGGATTTAATATAACTTATGTAAAGTGGGCAGAAGTGCTCCGCAGGCACAGAGCAGGTGCTCAATAAATGCCAGGACCAAAATACCACGAAACTGTAATTTTTATAAGGAAAAGGATCTTTTCTTCAGTGCTCAACGAGGAAATATTATGGGGCCGTGCGCAATAGCTGACGCCTGTAATCCCAACGCTTTGGAAAGACTAAGCGGGAGGATCGCTTAAGCTCAGGAGTTCGAGGCTAGCCCGGGGAACATAGCGAGATCCCTTCTCTACAAAAAAAATTTTTTTTAATTAGCTAGCGTTGCGCGGTGGCCGTATGGTGGCCAATGAGGTTTATCCGAAGCGCGATTATTGCTAATTGAAAACTTTTCGCAATACCCCACCGTGACGACTTGCAATATAGTCGACATCGGCAATTTTTAACAGTCTCTACGGAGACTATTTCAGTAAAAATAAATAAATATGGTGCGCGCCTGTAGTCCCCCCTACTGGCTGGCGCGGGAGGATCGCTTGAGCCCAAGATTTCCAGCCTGAGCGACAGAGCAAGACACCTTACCTAGAAAAAAAGAAAAAATAAATATTTTGGGTGAAATATCCAGGGCCGGCCTCCTTGGAGAGGGCGCTCTCACGAAGGAGCGTGGCCCGAGGTGCTGGGACGCGGGAAAGACGTCTTTCTGGACCGGTGCTGGGACGCGGGAAAGACGTCTTCCTGGACCGGTGAATTTCCAGCTCCACAGACTCCGGCCGCGCGCACACCAGCCCAGCTCCACTTTCTGCCGCCCGCGTCCCCTTTAAGACGGAGCCATGACATCATCCCAGACACTGCGCAGCCTACCTTGGCAACGCCGCGACCACTTTTTTCCGGACGACCTCAATTGGCTGGCCAGCCTCCGGAGGCCCCGCCCCCTTCGCGCAGCCAGCCCCGGGCACCTGCTGTCAATCGGGCCAGGTGGGAGCGATGATTGGCCGCCGGGCCCGCCCTCCAGAAAGCCCCGCGGGGCTCGCGTAGGCTGCAGGCTCGGGGAGGGAGGGCAGCGGCGCCGCGTCGGGAGCCGCCGCCGTCCCGGTCCTCCCGCCCGCCCGCCCATCCGGTGCCTCCTGCAGCCCGCCTGCTGGGCAGGGCCGGCGCGGCCCGGCCATGGAGTCCTACGACATCATCGCCAACCAGCCTGTGGTCATCGACAACGTGAGGCCCGGCAGCCAGGGGGAGGGCGGGCGCCCCGCCCCCGGGGGCGCACGCGGCGGCGCAGGGAGAGACCCCCGCCCGCCTCGGCGCGTCCTCCGCTCACTGCGTGGCCGTCGCCCCCGCCGGGCCGCTGGCTTCGCCCCGGGGGCGCGCGCCCTCTTGGCCTTGTAAGGCCGGCCATGGGGCGAGCCCCCTCGCCCGCGTCGCAGAGCCTCTTCCCCGACCCCTCCCCGAGTCGGGCGGGGAAGTTCAGGAGAGCTTGAGTGACAGCCGGGCGGCCGGGCGGGGACGCGCCCCGGACTCTTCTCAGTTGAGAGTGCGGTTCCTGGGCAGGTTTCCACACCAGTTCCTTTCCGCGTCCTTCGGCCCTGGCTCTGGCTGCCTGGCGGAGGTGGGGTAGCATTTGTCATTTGCACACTGCTGGCTTTATCTTTGGGGCTGCACCCCGAGGCAACAAATGCAGGATGCTCTGTCACCCACATGTCCACCACCATCTGGTTTGCCTTTTGGCTACTTTGACTTTCTCCTTAAATGCTTCCTGTGCTGAGCAAACATTCCACAGCCAGCAGAGCAATGGAGAGTTCATGGCCACTCTTCCCAGTATCAGCAAGCAATTTGGGGTGATCGTTTGGAAGCCTCAGAGGAAAGATGTCATCAGGCTTCCTGTGGCTTTGTCCTTCAGCAGTGGGGCTCGGCTTGCTTTCACCTGCCTTAGGAAGATTTCTGGCTTCCGAGCTCTGATATGGGGAGAAGATAAGGGCTGGGATCTTTGAGTCTGCCCCTAGCTGGGTATGTGCGTCCGGTGTGCGGGCCTTGGAGTTTTTGGTAATGACTCACTTGTGCTCTTTCTGGGATCTGTCTCCCTCCCACATGACCCCGTGGGGTCCCTGAATGACTGTTTTAGAGTACCCATGTGGGTTCCCTGAGTCACAGCAGGGGATGTTTAATAAGGAGGTTAGCACTGAGCTTGGGGACGTGCTGTCACACCAGCAGGACGCTGCAGGAAGGAGCAGGCTACTTCCTTTCTTGACGTGCAAATAACTCGTATAGGCTAATCAACAGGCTTATAAGTTAAAAGGGCTACCGCTCGGCCCCTTGGGGATTCCATCCCCTCCTCTGTAACTTGGAGATGTTTGTTTCTGCTGCAGACTCAGAGGGTTGCGATGAAGAGTGGTGGGACTGAGTTGAGAAGCTTATCCCTTCGCTGGGTGGGAGGTTTCTAATTGCCCCGTTCTTTGGGGGATCCTTAAGTCCAGCTTCCAGGTGGGGGCAGCGATAGGACCAAGTTCTCCTAGTAGTCTCTGGGAAGCCACTTGAGGGAAGCTGCCGGTCATCCCATGCACCCATTGGTCTTCTCCAGCAGGCCCTGTAGGTCGTCCATGTTCCATGCCTTCTGGGTTCTTGGGGGAGAAGGAAGCTGTTGAAAAAAAAAAAAAAAGACCCACACAGAGGGGTTTCTTCTAGCTTTTGGGAGTAGCATGTGCTATGGAATCCTGCTGGAGCCAACCATTAGTTGTGCAGAGGAAGGTGCCCTTCGTGGTTTCTCTATCTCTATATTATTGACATTCTGGGCTAGCTCCTTGTTGGTAGTGCAGGCTCGCCTGTGCATCGTAGGATGTTGAGCAGCATCCTTGGCCTCTGCCCACTAGATGCCAATAGCATCCCCCACTGCATGTCCCCTCTCCCCAGCTGCCAGACATTGCCAAATGTTGCCAGAGCAGGGGGATACAAAATTGCCCCCAATCTTGAACCATAGGTGTACTTGTAAATGATCCTGGCAGGGTCCCTGGCTTCCTCCTTGGCCTGCCTTGACGGGGCAGCCAGCTCTCTCCATTGCGGGGGACTGGCTTCATCTGGTGGTGCATGTGGGCAGCTCAACTTTGTTTTTCCTTGCAGGGTTCGGGGGTGATTAAAGCTGGCTTTGCAGGAGACCAGATTCCCAAATACTGTTTCCCAAACTAGTAAGTGTGGCTCAGGCAGCAGCCTTAGTCCTTTTGTTTACCTTCTGTAAGAACATTGGCCTTCTGTCACAGGGCTCTTTGAAGACAATTTGTGCCCTGACCTGTATGGAAAACACCAAATTTGTGAGGTTGACACTCTTGAGAGAGCACTGAAAGAACAAGACAAGCGTTCTAGGGTTCCCCTTTGTCTTGGGAGTCTCTCGTTTTGGTCTTGTTGAGCCAGCAAGGAGGAAAAGCAACCAGCATTTCCCTGGGGATGGGGTGTGGTAGCAGCAGCAAGAATAAAGGGAGACATCTCCGAGGGGAGCCCTAAACTCGGAGCAGGAAGAGTGAGGAATTAGATGCACAGCCACCCTTTCCTCCCTGGAAGTGTTTTCTGCCGGGCTTGTTTTCAGACTCTAGAAAATGTCTTGTTTCAGTTAAGAGGGGATCCTTTGCCCTGTATGGTACTGGTGGGGGCGGGAATAAGAATTGCAAACCCAGAGAGCCTGGGGTGCCCCTTGCACCCACCACGAGCCCATTGGGAAAGTTGCCCTTAGGGGCACCTCTTCACAAATCCTGGAGGCTTTGGAATGAGTGGCCTAAAGGCAGCGGGCAGCAGGGGATCCTAGGCCCCGAGTGGCAGGCTAGCCCGAGCCCGGCCTGGTCTGGGACAGAGCTAGCATGGTGCGCCCTGTCGAGCTTCAGCATTCCTTTCTGACTGCATGGGTATAATTAGAGGTTCCTTTGCCTTTAGTGGTAGCTCATCAGATCCTATAGTTTCCAAGAACTGAATCTCTGATCCAGAAGCGCTGGCAGTGGGGTAGGGCGCTTGACTGAGTGAGAGCAGGGTGCACAAGGGAGCCCCGACCCAGCTTCCTGGGGTTGTCCTCCCTCAGTCTGTGGATGGTGACGGCAGCCCTGCCCCACCGAAGTCAGGAGCGTGGGCTGAGTCACTGTGGCTGCAGGAAGCCGACCCTCTGCAAGGGCTGGGCCATGGAGGGCTGGGTTCTGGCGCTCAGACATGCAGCTGTCTCTGCTGACCGTGCCTTCTGACCCTGAGCTTCTCGTCCTGCCTAGGCCCCCTCTCTAGCCCCGAACCCCATAGGCCCCAGTTCCAACCTGTGCCCCCCAGCCACATCCTGGTGTTTGGAGGCCAGGTACCCTCTGGGCGACTATGGTTGGATTTCGGTTTTTCTGGACACAAGCTCTGCCATGCTCCCTGCCCACCTTGCTGACGTTATCCGTCCTAACAGTGTCGGGCGGCCGAAGCACATGCGGGTGATGGCTGGAGCCCTGGAGGGGGACCTCTTCATCGGACCAAAAGCAGAGGTAACACCGAGGAGCCTGCCTTTCCCTGGGGGTGGGGTCCTCAGTTGCAGGAACATGGCATGTGTTCTTGGGCCTCTGCTGGTGACCTCCCGGGTACCTCCTCCAGGCTCCAGCTGGGAAGTGCTGTGCAGGGGCACCTCCCCCTGAGATGGGGCAGCAGTTCCTCTTCTAGGGAGCATGGGTAGAGCTCATCGTGTCCTGTCTTTTAGAAGCTATTTGGAAGCTACAGAACCAAGAACTGATCAAAAAGTGATATAAGAGTCAGAATCACACACACTTCACGTCTGCTCTAATGAGGGCCATGGGGCCGCCTCTCACAGTGAAGCCGGAGTGTCCCACCAAGGGGCTGCATGGCCTGATCAGACCCTCAGGAGAGCATGTGTGGGTGTGGGGAGAGCAGCAAGCTGAGCTTGGCCAAGGGCAGTTTAGGCGCCTGAGGAGCATTGTGTCGGGTGCCGGGGCGTGGGGCATGCGTGGTTCTGGGCCCAGAAAGGGGAGGCCTGAGCTGGAGGTGCAGAGGGTGGGGGTCTCGCAGATGGGGTCCGTAGGAGCCGAGGTGGTGAGAGGAGCTAAGTGGTGCTAGGTGAGAAGGGGCATGGCTGGGGGGACATCGAAGGGCAGGTGGAGGCAGCATGTCAGTGCAAACAGGGGACTGGTGAGGACCGGCCAAAGGGCTGGGGGGAGAGGCGTAGGTCAGGGGGCACAGGTGGCCCAGGAGGGGCCGTGTTGGGCGGCTGCAAGGTGCCGGCGCTGGCCAGAGGGGAGCTGGCAGAGTGTGAGGAGAATGTGGGGGATGTGCCGGCAGTGAGAATGGGGAAGAAGAGAGCCTGCAGATTGCGGGGCACACTGCCACCCTCTCTGATCCCCCCAGCTGAAGCTAGCTGGGCTCTAAGAGCCTAAGAAGCTGGTGGGCAGGTGAGCCCATGCTGAGTTCAGGACCCGCCACAGACCCTGGGACACCCAGTGAGCAGGGGTGGTTCTGGTCAGGGCAGGTGAGGTTCTGGTCAGGGCAGGTGAGGGTCAGCTTCCAGGAGGGCGGAAAGCAGCCGCTGAGCAAGGGCCGGGTGCCACACCTCCCTTCCCACCCCACCAGGAGCACCGGGGGCTGCTGACCATCCGCTACCCCATGGAGCACGGCGTGGTGCGAGACTGGAACGACATGGAACGCATCTGGCAGTACGTCTACTCCAAGGATCAGCTGCAGACCTTCTCGGAGGAGGTGTGGCGGCTGCCCCTCCTGCATGCTCTGCATTCTCCTGGCCATGCCCCTCTCCTCTGCGTCCCTCCTCGCCGGGCTCCCACATTTCCCTTCTACATTTCTAGAGGGCCTGCTGCCTTTCCGTGTGTGTCTGGGTGCGCATACGTACCCAGTGGCTGCTAGGCAGAATCTTCCAAAGAGAGCCGGATCTCCGGAAGAGTAACTGCCAGCAGATAAAGGGATGGGGCCCTCAGGAGGGGTAGGAGGCTGAGCTGCCTGTGCGCCAGCGGGTGTGGTTCTCTGGAAAGAGCCTTTTAGGGCCTTGCAAGTTGCCTCCTCTGATGCCTACAACTGTCCCGTCCCTCGCAGCATCCTGTGCTCCTCACGGAGGCCCCGCTCAACCCGAGTAAGAACCGGGAGAAGGCGGCAGAGGTGTTCTTTGAGACCTTCAACGTGCCGGCCCTGTTCATCTCCATGCAGGCTGTGCTCAGTCTGTGAGTGCTCCCTAAGCCTGGCCTCCCTGAGTCCTGTCCTCCCTGTGCCGTCCTGCTTGCCATGACCAGGGTCTGACTTCCCTGGAAAAACAGCCCCTTGATGACTGTTCCTCTAGGGAGTCCCTCGTGTCCTCTCTTCAGACTAGATAATGCAGATGTGCCAGGGTTCCTCCCCTGGGTGAGGAGGTCCCCGTGCCTCAGTGGCTGAGGTGAGGGGATGCTGACCTGGTGACAGGTACGCAACAGGACGCACGACAGGAGTGGTTCTAGACTCAGGGGACGGGGTCACTCATGCTGTGCCCATCTATGAGGGCTTTGCCATGCCTCACTCCATCATGCGGGTGGACATTGCCGGCCGCGACGTCTCCCGCTACCTCCGACTCCTGCTGCGCAAGGAAGGGGTTGACTTCCATACCTCGGCTGAGTTTGAGGTTGTCCGGACAATCAAAGAGGTGACAAGGGGCGAGAGGGTGTGGACACGACCTGGGGTGAGGAAAGGGTGGCACCAAGGCACAGGTGTCCCAGGTGCAGCCTTCTGAGGGCTGTGTCCCTGTCCCCGCAGCGAGCGTGCTACCTGTCCATCAACCCACAGAAGGATGAGGCTCTGGAGACGGAGAAGGTGCAGTACACGTTGCCAGACGGCAGCACGCTTGATGTAAGTGGCCGGGCCTGGCACTGGAGTGGCAGCCGATGCCCAGCCTGGGGGAAGGGGTAGCCCGCTTCTCCAGGAAGCCTGTCTGCCTCAATCTTGTACACTAAAGGTGGGGCCTGCACGATTCCGGGCCCCCGAGCTGCTGTTCCAGCCGGACCTTGTCGGGGATGAGAGTGAGGGGCTCCATGAGGTGGTGGCCTTCGCCATACACAAGTCCGACATGGACCTGCGCCGGACGCTGTTCGCCAACATCGTGCTCTCAGGTGGCTCAACGCTTTTCAAAGGTACTGTGGCTTGAGAGTTGGTGGTGGTGAGACGAGGCCCAGGGCAGCTGGACCCTCAGAGAGTATACCCCTACCCAGAGCCATATTCTGTTGGCTTTTTGGTGGTGCTCAATGAACATTTTTTTTAACAGACCAAAATTTAAAATTAAATTTTGTTTACTCTGTGAATAGAGGAGAAGTTTACACAAGCTCTAAAGTGTATTGTGAGAGTCGAGCAAGGAGCATGTGCGGCTTCATCTCACGCTGCCTCTGTGAGGACGCAGGGCCCGCAGGCAGCCATGGGGCTGGATCATTTCTCAGCCTTGCCCTTCATCCTGGGAAGAGCTGCTGATAGAGGACCAGCAGTAGCTGGGGGCCCTGAAGGCTGGGTGCGGGAGCTAGCAGCGAGGAGGCCGGGTGCAGACCCCAGGCTCAGCCAGCTTTGTGTTCACAGGCTTCGGAGACCGATTACTCAGTGAAGTGAAGAAGCTTGCCCCAAAGGATATCAAAATCAAGGTGAGGTTACAGAAACTCCCCCTGGGGCACTAGGGCGCTGGCAGCCTTGGCATGGGGAGGAAGGTTGAATGCTGCCCCCAGACCCGCTCACCAGCTCACGTCCACCTAGTCCTGTTCTTCCCAAGGCTGCTGCTGCCACTCCCCAGCTTATGCCTTTGCTGTCAGGCTTCAGGACCTGGGGAAGGTGACCCCAAGGCTGGGAGGATGGCTTCTGGGTGGGGATCCACAGTTAACGTGGCCACTTCCTCCTTCTAGATCTCAGCCCCGCAGGAACGGCTGTACTCCACATGGATTGGGTGAGGCGGGGCTCAAGGGAGGGCTCTGGGAGGAGACCACTTTACCCTGGATGCTCCTCCCATTGTTGGCCTAGGCCACGTGGAGGTGGGTGGATTTCCCTCCCAAATTAGGGAAATGCAACTCTGAGCACCCAGGAAGGTGGTTGGCTCCCTGACAGGTCCACAGCAATACTATCCCTCCATCCCCACAGCGGCTCCATCCTGGCCTCGCTGGACACTTTTAAGAAGATGTGGGTGTCCAAAAAGGAGTATGAAGAGGATGGCTCCCGTGCTATTCATCGCAAAACTTTCTAGTGCCCAAGGAGGGCGGGGCATGTTGGGAGAGGGGGAGGGAGGGGAGACAGAGCCTTTAACCCTTTTTGGTCTTGGCTCGTATACTAGGCTTAGGGTCCCCTGCATGCCCTGAACCCCTGGGTGGGTGGCACAGCAGTGCCCCCCTGCAGCCTTCCCCTCTACACAGGACATGCACACACAAGTAACATTGAGCTGCATGGACAGGAGCCTTGAGCTGGCGTGTGGGAATTGAGCGCCATGTCAGGCTGTTGTGGGTATCCCCCTGGCAGGGCCAGCTAGGCCTGTGGTTCCCTGCTCCGACTCTCAGGGCTGCCTCCCTGAGCTCCAGGGCCAGAATGCCTGGATGCCTGGGTAGCCAGTTTGGGGAGTGGGCTGCAAGGGGCAGCCAGCAGCTCCCACTGGTGTGTCACTGCATCCATTGCCACCTCCTGTTCGTGACCTGACAGGGTGACACAGCCCCTTTCACACTCTGTCCTCCTATCTTCCTGGGTAGATGCCCTGGTGTAGGGCTGAGTACTGAATGGTCTTCCATCCCCAGCAAGGGGGTGCAGCCCAGGGTCAGGCCCTTCAGAGCCAGGGCAGAGGATGCACGGTGGCTAGAGCCGCTGCACTATCCTTTTCAGAGCACTTCATCCACTTGCTCCTCCCTCTACCCTCGGCACCCTGGGTGGGAAAGGGTTGATGCTCATCATTTATTGAGGGGAAGCCACTTAATAAGGAGTCAGACCTAAAAGGGGGTGGGGGACATTTTCTTACCTCACCCAAGAAAGAGGTCGTCACTTTTGCTGTGGCCAGGGCCCCACCTCCCTCTCTCAGATATGTACAATAATTTAACACGGTTGCCTGAAAAAAACTTTTGTAAATCATTATAGTAATAATTATGGACAAGGCCCAGTGTGTGGCTCTGTTTTCTTGTGGCTCTCTGTGCTATCGTTTGTTCTTCCATCCCTGGGGACTTTCAGAGAAAGGACCAGAGAGAATGCAGCAAGGCACTGGCTCTAGCTTAGCGGCATGAAGGTTTCAGTGGTTGGCCCGCCAACGTGGCACAAAAAGCCTCAGGAGGCTGGGCTCTCACCCTGTAGCATAATTCCCTCGCCTGTTACCTCCCCTGCTGCAGTCCACCAGGGGAAGTAGAACCAGGCTACCTTCTTTGCCCCCGGACCCTGGACAGGCCTATTTGAGCACCTCTGCTCACCCCATTCAGCCAGGGCTAAGGCTGGTGGACACCAGCAATGATGCAAGCTCACGCCTTCAGACAAGTCAGGATGGGGAAGGCAGGGAGAGGCAGAGAGGCTGTGAGCTTAGCCAGGCCCTAGAGGAATAGGCAGAAGAGCAGTGAGGAATTAGGGTTTGGAGAATGTCTGCTCTTTACTTTCTTAAGTGTTTGAGAACCTACAGTGTTTCCAGGATGGTGCCGTGTGTTTGGGGCCAATGGTCAACAAGTTATATCCTTGCCCTAACAAATACACACGTCAAGGGAGAAAGACAGATGAGCCATTTTAGTACAGAGTTGTGGGGGCCGAGGCGTTAGTCATCTGGCCCGACAGGTGGGGCAGGCCGACTTGCAAGGATCCAGAGGTTATCCAGGGATGGGGAAGGCATTCTATGCAGATGTGAGAGCCCAAAGAAGCACCTGGGACCAGTGGGTCTGGAGAGGAAGGCAGGGACCCAATGCCCAGTCAGCAGGGAAAGGTCAGTGGTCTGTGGTCATTGTGTGAGATGAACAAAAAAGGTGGGTTGAGCTGGCACATGGAGGATTGTTAGCTGTGTCCTGGGAGATGGGTGGCCAGCCATAGAAAGATGGTGACCAGAGCAGTGTGTTGTAGGCAGTTGGGGTTTGTGGGGGGTGAGGGCAGCCCCAGGACTGAGGAGATGAGGTAGGAGTGAGGAGAGTACTGAGGCCTGTCTGCCAAGGCGTTTTGTGAGGCTTTGTGGTCACAAGGCAGTTATGCTTGCACTGGCCCTCAAAGGGAAAGCAGAATTTGCACGGAGAACTCCATATTAGGGCACCCTCCAGACCAGTTCTTCCCACAGTGCTCTGTTCATGGCACCACTGGCTCCCTGCCTCCCAGGTTAGAGCCTTATCCATCGACGCTTTCCTCTTCCCTGTCTCTCCCACTCTGTCAGTCACCAGGTTGTGTGGTTCTTCTGTAGTACCTTTCCCACTGGTCCGTTCTTTTCCAGCACAGCCACTGCCACCATAGCTATGACCACAGCTCCATTCCCTGGCCACCCAATCTATTTGCTCGTGGATCTAAAGCCCAGATAAGATTGGTTCTGACACCTCCTACTCCAAAGTGTCAAGTGGTTCTCCACTGCCTCGTGACATGAAACAATTGATGTGATGCTGGTAAAACCACCTACGTGAGCCACATGTTGTGTTTGACTCAGGCCCCTTGAGATCTGTTCCTTCCCTGTTTTAGGTTTACCCCTCACATCCTTTGCCTGCTAGCCTTCAGGCATGCTGTTCTCTCCATGGGAATGACCTTCGCTTGTGCCTGTGAAAATCTTGTCCTTTAAGGCAAAGCACCATCCTCTGTACCCCCTCTTCTGGCAGGTTTAAGTGCTCAGACTCTGCCAGCTTCTTACTGTTGGAAAAAGCTACAGATGAGGAAGGTAGTACAGCTGGAATGAAGCCTGTGTTGGATTGGAGTTGGAGGTAGTATGAAGTCATGGTTTTAATATACATACAGATAGATACCAAAATAAACACATCTGTGTGTGAGAGCCAGCATCAGAACATACACATGCATTTCCTAGCCCTGTCTGTTGGGAAGGTCTGGAAGCAATGACACTACAATAGCAATGAGCACATACAGTGTCCAGATCTTGGTTTCTAAATACCATTCTGGGAAAAAGTTCTTTATTCTGTACTTGTAAATAGTTTAATACCATTAGTGTGAGGCCTGTGTTCTCCCTTGGTGAGGGAAGATGGGCTCCATTTTCTAAACTAAGCTCAGATAGAAGCCACTTCGACCCAAGAGCAAAGGTTTGGTCCTCCTAGTAGGGGACATGACATTTCCCCTGGGACAATTCCCTGAAACAGGGAAAATAATAGATGAGCTTGGAATATTCTGTGGTACCATAAAGTAAGGAAGTGAAAAAGGGAAGGGCTTGTCTAAAGGACACAAGAACCAACTAGAAGGAGCACCCAATGCTCAAATCTGTAACGGATGATAAGCCATGGCATAAAATATGCGTGAGTCATACTCATGCAAATAAATAACTGAATAAATGTATACATGGGGAAGAAGGGACAGTTCTCACTTATGGTAAAATTCCAATTGATGTCAAAGGAATTGTGGGAAAAAAGTCACCATTGAGGAAACACCATAGTGATCATTGTTGCAGGTAAGAATGGAGACAAAAATCAGTGGGCAAAAGTAAAGACATTTGTGTTGTCTCTATCCCTCTACAAGATACTTATTAATTACAAAAGGAGAAATAGTAACTTTATGGTGGAGAGACATTGACACTACCTTAACCAAATAATCAGAGTATACATCTCCAGTAATAAGTCATTGTCTCTGTTTTTTTTTAAGAGGATCTCACTCTGTTGTGGAGGCTAGAGTGGAATGCAGTGGCACGATCACGGCTCACTGCAGCCTCCATCTCCTGGGCTCACGGGATCCTCTTGCCTCAGCCTCCAAGGTGCTGGGGCTACAGGTGGGCACCACCACACCCCACTAGTTGTTATTTTTTTGTAGAGATGGGGGTCTCACTTTATTGCCCTGGTGAGTCTCAAACTCCTGGCTTCAAGTACATCTCCTGCCTCAGCCTCCCAAAGCACTGGGATTACAGGCATGAGCCACCAAGCCCAGCCATAAGTCATTGTCTCTTTTTTTCTTTGCTTTTTTGAGATGGAGTCTCTCTATGTTGCCCAGGCTGGAGCGCAGTGGTGAGATCTCAGCTCACTGCAACCTCCACCTCCTGGGTTCAAGCGATTCTCCCGCCTCAACCTCCCGAGTAGCTGGGATTACAGGCGCTCACCACCACACCCAGCCAATTTTTGTATTTTTAGTAGAGATGGGATTTCACCAGGTTAGCCAAGCTGGTCTCGAACTCCTGACATTAAGTTATCTGCCTGTCCCAGCCTCCAAAAGTGCTGGAATTACAGGCATGAGCCACTGGGCCTGGCCATAAGTCATTGTCTCTTGATGATGCACTAAGAGGGGCCTGATTTTCCCTCTGGTATTCTTGCATCACCTCAGTCTAACCAGGAGCAAGCAGTAGGCAAACCCAAACTGAGGGCAGTCTACAAATGAATAGAGTTGCCTTGTTCAAAAGTGGCAGGTCATGGGGACAAGGAAAGACCAAGTGCAATGTGAGATCCTAGGTTGGAAAAAAGACCTTACCAGGAAAGCCAGCAAAATCATGATAAGGTCTGCTGGTTAGTCCATAGTACTGCATCAGTGTTAATTTCCTGGTTTCAATAATTATGCTATGGTACTGCCAGGTGTTAACATTAAGGAAAACTGAGTGAAGGTTAAGTAGGAACTCTATTATTTTTTGCAATTTTTCTGTAAGTCTAAAATTATTTTAAAATAGAAAATTGCGCTGCGTGTGGTGTCACATGCCTGTAATCCCAGCACTTTGGGAGGCCGAGGCTGCAGGATTGCTTGAGCCCAGGATTTCGAGGTTCCAGTGAGCTATGAACAAACCACTGCACTCCAGCCTGGGTGACAAAGACCCTGTTTCAAAAATAATAACTTAAAAGTTGGGGTGGGGGAAAAGAGCTCAGGGTCTGGAGCTATGGTCTGGGTTCACAATCTTGCCACAAGAAATTGCTAGCTGTGTATTCCTGAGCTGTCCCCAGGCTTCCCCATCTCTATTATGGGGATGGTAATAATAGCAGCTTCCTCATGGGTTTATTCACAGCCTGGAAGACAAGCCTGGAACATTTTATTCCAGAAAATAAAAAGAAATGCTCAAAGAGGCCGGGCGCAGTGGCTCACACCTATAATCCCAGCACTTTGGGAGGCCGAGGCGGGCGGATCACGAGGTCAAGAGATCGAGACCATCCTGGCTAACACGGTGAAAACCTGTCTCTACTAAAAGTACAAAAAATTAGCTGGGCGTGGTGGCGGGCGCCTGTAGTCCCAGCTATTTGGGAGGCTGAGGCAGGAGAATGGCATGAACCCAGGAGGTGGAGCTTGCAGTGAGCCAAGATCATGCCACTGCACTCCAGCCTGGGCAACAGAGTGAGACTCCATCTCAAATGATAGAGGCATGTCAAAAGGCCACAGGAGCCAGCTAGAAGAGGTTCCCGCTGGCCAAATTTGGAACAAATTAAACATCAAAAAATAAATAATGATAGCCATGGATTATAATCCACTGAATAAAATAAAGTATGAATCCATACTGATAATTAGTAAGCTGAAAGTTTGATGAGGAACAAGGTATTGACATTTCTAAGTAGTGCCTCATAAGATAGTAAAGAGCAACTTCACAGTGAAGTTTGGCAGACATTAGCTTCATCAAGTGACAGAAGTGAACCTCCTCAGCAGTGGACAAGTGGGCATCACGTGCCTCCCAGGAAGGGGGCAGCATTCCTTGCCCACCATGCGTAACCTGAATCCAGTGTGAAAGAGACAAACCCAAGTTGTTGGTATAATTCTTAAAAGTGTCAAGGTCGGGATAGTCAAGGAAAGACAGGAACTGTTCCAGATGGAACAACTAAGGGCAACACGTGATTCTGAGTTGACTCCTTTTGCTATAGAAGACATTATTGGAACTTCTAGCAAAACTTAAATGAGTCTGAAGATTAGATGGTAGAAATATACAAATCGTAGTTTTGTGATTTTGATGGTCATGTTGTGGGTATTAAGAGAATGTCTTTGTAAGAAATAAACATGCGTGTGATGGGGCATCAGATCACCTTACTTTCAAATGGCCCTGGGAAAAAGTTCTTCCTTGTATACTTGGAAAGAGTTTAATACAGTTAGAGTGAGGCTTATATTCTTCCTTGGTGAGTGGAGATGGCATCCAATTTAAGCTGCTAAGTGGCCAGAGGTTCAGATGGAGCCCACTTCTACCCAAAAGCAAAAGTTTTGTCCTCCTAGTGGGGAACATTATATCTTTCCCCCTACCACTAGGGCTCCCAGTTACCATGAGGCAAGGAAGCGAGCTATTCCATATGGTTAGCCTGAAGCAGTTCTCAGCCTTGCTGTTGGAAACACCTGTGGAACTTTAAACTTCTGATGCTTGGGTCCTACCCCAAGATACTATTTTAATGTCTGGGTGTGGCCTGGGCACTGGGAGTTGTAAAAGATCCCCAGGTGGTTCTAAGGTGCAGCTAAATATGAGACCTACTGACTCAGGGATTGGATTTATTGATCTGTGTATTCTTTTCCTATTAGTGCCACAGAAAATTCTCACAAACTTAGTGGCTTAAAATAACACAAGTTTATGGCCGGGCACGGTGGCTCACACCTGTAATCCCAGCACTTTGGGAGGCCGAGGCGGGCGGATCACAGGTCAGGAGATCAAGACCATCCTGGATAACACAGTGAAACCCCGTCTCTACTAAAAAAAAAAAAAAAAAATTAGCTGGGCGTGGTGGCAGGCGCCTGTAGTCCCAGCTATTCAGGAGGCTGAGGCGGGAGAGTGGCGTGAACCCAGAAGGCGGAGCTTGCAGTGAGCCAAGATCGTGCCACTGCACTCCAGGCTGGGCGACAGAGCAAGACTCTGTCTCAAAAAAAAAAAATAGTTAGTTATTATCTTACGGTTCCTAAGTCTAATGTGGGTCTCACTAGGCTGAAGTGAAAGTATCAGCAGGGCTTCACTCCTTTCTGAAGACTAGAGTATCATTTCCTTGCCCTTCCCAGCTTTTAGAATAGCTACTTGCCTTCCTTGGCTCGTGGACCCCTTCCTCCATCTTCAAAGCCACCAACATTGCATCTCTCTGACCATTCTGAGTCACATCTCTGACTCTCTTTTGCCTCTTTTGTGCTTTTTGGATCCACCTGGATAATCTGGGAATAACTGTTTTAAGGTCAGCTGATTAGCAACCTGAATTCCATCTGTAGTCTTAATTCCTTCTTGCTATGTGACCTAACATATTCACAGATTCTAGGGATTTATGACGCGGACATCTTTGGGGGATCATTATTCTGCCTGCCACTGTCTGGAAATGTACTGGAGATTTTTCTTTCCGCTTGTTTTTTTGGTTTGAGACAAGGTCTTGCTTTGTCACCCAGGCTGGAGTGCAGTGGCACGGTCATGGCTCACTGAAGCCTCAAACTCCTGGGTTCAAGTGGTCCTTTCCACCTCAGCCTCCCAAAGTGTTGTGGTTACAGGCATGAGCCACCATGCCCAGCCAATTTTTCTTTACAAGTAAATTGGTTAAATTTTAAAAAAGAAAAGCAAAGACTTGGAGATGAGGGAGGGAGAAAACAGACTGGATTAATGATGTGGGGAGTCAAAAGTCTCCCTCAGCCGAGTTTGAGTTGGAAGAGATGTGGAAAGGGAAAGGCAGGCCAGCCACACAGGAGGGCTTAGTGACAGCACAGACTAATCTCATGGGCGTGTAGGGGTTAGATTTCACAGGGGGTTATCTGAGAGCTCCCCTTCCCAGAGGAAAGGGCCTTAAATGGCAGGTCAGTGCTTAGACATTTCCTGGACACAGGTCATGAACAACAAGGATGGAAGCAATAGCTTTGACTACACCTTCAGGATGGGCAAGATGAGGGGAAGGGGCTTTTCTCTGACTCTATCAGCTCCCACTGAAATACCTACTTTCGACCAATTTTGTGAAGATAGTAACTGAAGCCACCTCTGGCTAATCTCCACACAAAATGAAAAGGTATTTCCATTTTGTAGGTAAGAGGGTTTTGAGATTTTAACTTGTCCCAAGGTGTCACAGGTATGAAGCAGCTAAAGTGGGCTTTTTTGGCATTTCTCCCCTCCCTTATTCCTGTGCGTATCTCAAGCATTAAAAAAAACAAAACAAAACTATATAAATACCTGAAAGGGTGGTAAATGTCTACATATCAAATATCCAGAGTTCAAATTCTTCTCAATTTTTTTTCCTTTATAATTGTTTTCAAATCAAGATCTAAACAAGGTGTGCATGCTGCTGACTGGTATCTCCCTTATCTGTTTCTCCACATGTTCTCCCTAGCTTTTCCCCCCACTCCTTGCAATTTATTTGAAGAAACATGGTCAGTGATTTCTGAAATTGTTCCATATTCTGAATTTTGCTGCTGGTATCCCCATGAATTCTTACTTTGCACCTGGGTCCCTCAAGACTTCAAAATCCCCAAAACTCTCTTCACAAGGCCACCCTGTCTCTATGAGGATACTGTGAGGACCTACTATCCACTCAGCTCTTTACATATTAAGCACCTTGTAAGGTACTTACCTTTTTGTAGTTGTACTTGACCCCCAGAGAACATGTCCACAGAGATAGAGCCAAATGATGGAGCCAATATTTTAAGTCCTGTCAGCCTGACTCCTCAGCCCGCCCCTTTCTCTCATACCAGGTGGTCCCATTCATTGCATTACGGGTTGTCGATCTATTCTTATTATTAATCTAAGCACTATACACTGGTTATACACTTTCAGTAAGTGGATGGCAAGCTAGCATTAACAGACAGCTTTTCCCAAAATAAGCATATTCCATGCCTACCAAAGAATACGGGTAAGAAATAAGACCAGCCATCTATGGGAGAAGGAGCCAATGCAATGGCTAGTCTTTACTGGAAAGAAGAAACTTTACAGCACATTTTGAGTAATTTAGTGCAGGTGCTCAGTGTGCCAGCTGCTGGGGCACCAGCTTGTAATGGGCTCCACAGCGGGGGCATCGCTGGGCCTCGCCTTTGTGCAGCCAAAACCAGACGACGCTGGTATTGTCCTCTTCACCTAAAAGGGAAAAAAGGTGGTTTATGGTCATCCAACCTAGAAAGGGAGACTTTCAACATGAATTTCTTTTCCTCAGACATCTCTGATACACAAGTAAGACTATGGTTGATATCTTAAGAGATCAGTTCAAGCCCTCCTCCCATTCTTCAGATGAAGAAATTGAGGCTCTGAGTTCACCTATGAGTAAACTGACCTTGTATCAAGGTCACTGTAAATTCTAACAATTCCCTTGCCTATGTAGAACGCAAAGCAGGGTCCGTTCTGGTATGTATCCCTAGTGTCTAAAATGATGCCTGGCATAGAAGCAGTATAACAATAAATATTTGCTGGGTGGGTACTCCTTCATGCCGCACTCCCAGTGAGCCAGTCTTACCGCTGTGCTGCGCTTCTTTCCAGTAAGGATGAACTATCAGGCATAATGAGGCTTGAGAGTGTCAAGACCCTTAGACAAACTTACCAACATGCACTCACACACTGAAGATTTGAGGCAGCTTACACACTATTGTAGGATATATTAAGCAAGTGGATAAAAAATAGAGGTGAGGTACTTACAGATGCAGCCTACTATTCTCTTGTTGGAGATGGAGGGGACTAAATTAGGGTCTTCCCTGGTGCCTGAAGCTCCCTTTGGGGCCAGTACATTGTATGGGTCCTGAAGAAAAAACAAAAAACAAAACAAAACAAAAAAAACAAGAATTGAACCATTAGGCCAAATAAGCCCTACCTTCCAGAAGCTCAGGGGACTGTTCCTACAAGCCAAGTTTCCTGTATCAAATACTCCCAGAGAGGAGACCACTATGAACACATCCAAGGCCATAAGTTACACAGAAGACACAGAAGGGAGTTTCTCCTTACCAGTCCCTTCTTTGCAGCCAGCATGATCTCCCTCTCCAACCCAGTCGCCTGCTCTTCATCAGTGGGAACACCACCTAAAGGAAGATAACGTGAATTATGACGCTGACTGAAATGACTGATAGAAAAACTACAAACAGAAATGATCAAGGAAAATGGTGCCCCGAAACTTCTGTATAAGTTTTAGCGGGCTCACAAGCTCCTAAAGGCTACTCATATCCATGGTCCCCTAAGAACCACCAAGTACCCATCCACACAAGCGGCAGCACTCGGGGGAGCTTTTTTTTTCTTTTTTGAGACGGAGTTTTGCTCTTGTTGCCCAGGCTGGAGTGCAATGGCGCGATGTTGGCTCACGGGAACCTCCGCCTCCCGGGTTTAAGCGATTCTCCTGCCTCAGCCTCCCGAGTAGCTGGGACTACAGGCGCGCGCCACCACGCCCGGCTAATTTTTGTATTTTTAGTAGAAACGGGGTTTTACCATGTTGGCCAGGCTGGTCTTGAGCTCCTGACCTCAGGGGATCTGTCCGCCTCGGCCTCCCAAAGTGCTGGGATTACAGTTGTGAGCCACCGCGCCCGGCCTATGAGCTTTTCTTTCTCCAACCACCGAGGCAAATTTGTCGACATTTGTCTAAAAGCATGTAGAACCCACTCTGCTTGAGGTGGGCGCAGGTTTGAAGGGAGGCCGGACCCCTCCCCATCCCGGTGGCAGCCCCGGTCCCTCCCAAGGTCACCCGGCACCTCCGTTTAGGATACTTTCGCAGCGGAGTGAGTTCGGGGAGCGGCAGGAGCAGCGGTCCAGAATTACAGGGAGATGCCTGCAGAGCCTGAGGCACTGGGGACCGTAAAGCGGCCACTGGGACCTCGAGAAGCTGCACGAGCCGCGCCGCTTTGCCGCCCTGGGACCACCCTGGGAGGGCAACACTCTGGTCCCTGGCACGCCCGGAGACCCGAGTACCTCCAGATGCCATGGAGCGCATCGCGGCCGCGCCACTGGGGCCGCGAGCCCTCAGGGCCTGCGCGGCCAGCGTTCCAGCTCCGCGAAGTAACCTTGAAGCCATTGCGTCCGCGACTAGCAGCAAAACTTCCGGGAACAAGCTGCAGAGACAGGAGGGACTTCCGGGGGCGGGCTTCTTTCTCCTCTCGGTCAGCTTTCGGCTTCCTCCCAGCCCTCGAGCCCGCCCACTCCCAAGACTGTGGCGGGGGCGGAAATTGCGCATGCCCAGCTCTGCCTCTTTCTGCACCGCGTAGTGGCTGAGGCTTGGGGGCGGGGTTGCCTTTAATAACGCTGGGAGGTGGGAAAGTCTTTTTGGTCCCTGGAGTTGAGCGGCTGAACCACATTGGAGTTCCTGTGGGTCTGGCCCCGTAGTCGTGTTCAGCAAACGTGGAGGCTGCTAATGGAAGCTATTAGGTCCCCGTCTGTGAAGAGACTTACTGAACCCCAAATGATTTGAATTTAGAAGTGGGCTCCTAAAGATCACTGCGTTCCTTACTAGGCTGGTTAGTGGCAGGGCTGGTTCTGGCAGTGCGTGGGCCGTCGCGAGCGTGTCGCATTGGACGGGACCTACCTGCAGTCCTGGCCCAGTTTCGTGTTAGAGTTGTACTGTGTGTGGGAGGCGCGGAGGTCCCGGCCTGGGGAGGAGGACAGGGCCGGGGGCGGGACCCCCTACCAGGACCAAGGCCCTGGTGATGTGAAGGAAGTGGCCACTCTTTTTCGAGGCTACTAAGGGAGGAGGAGCAGGAAGGGGAGTTGATAATAGGAAATGGAGTTAGAGCCTGCTGTGACTGGAGTTCCTTGTTTGAAACGGAAAACATATTCCGTCCATGGCTTCCCGTTGCCCATAGGCTAAGATGTGCAAATTTCTTAGGGTGAGCTTTAGTCAGTATAGCCCTGTGACAGGCTAGCTGCATGCGGTATCTGAGTTTCCCTACCAGATAGAAAAATCCCCTTAGAGTGGGAATTAATGCTCATCATTGAATCTTCAATGCCTTGCAGAGGTCTGGTATATAGTAGGATCCAGTAATTTTAGTAAATTTACTACTTGGATAGAGTATACAAAACCAGTTTATAGGGCTTTTCCTGGCCCAGTGAGGTCAATTGGAGGCAACATGGGGAGAGTTGAAGGCTTAGGTGCTCCCGCCTGTCTCATGCAGGCTACGGTATTTTCAAAAGGACGTGGTGGAGCGTTGCTTCACAGGAGCACGTCTGGTCTTCCTGGGTGCCCCCTCCACCAATTAAAAAAAAAAAAAAAAAAACCCTGTATTCTAAGGCCAAAATTTCTTTAAAGGTGGTTTTTGCTTTGAATGGCTTCACTGTTACTCCCTTCTCCCTCACCTCCACTGCAACCCCTCCAAGTTGAATTGGGCGAAAATTCTGAGGATCTGTAGTTAATTTGCAACTGTGGTTAAGGTCTTAGGCAGGAGAAAAAAGCATTGGTCTGGAAAGTAGCCCCACCAGCTAGTTCAGCTACTTTTTATCCTTTGGGCCGCCATTTCTACATCAGTAAAACTGTCGTTCAACTAGGTTAGTATTTCCCAAAGTGTATTGCATGGCATCCAAGTCTCAAGACATGATCTCAAGAAAAAGGACTTGGTCAAGACAGGGAGGGCCTGCATTTGATGACCACCCTTTTGGAGATGGACACTAGCATAATAAAGGCTCTGATTAGGCTTGCAGTAAAGACCTCTTATTTAATTTACCTGCAGTTTAAGCCAGAGTTTCCCTGTCTTAATTGACCACAAAATCCTTTCTGAGGAACACCTACTAACTTGCCCCTCAGCAAACCAGTGAGGTATTCAGCTCTGATATGTTATGATTCCCTGCTGCCTGACCAGAAGTGGTTTACTCCAGGCTATAAAATGGAAATTGAGTTTAGGCTTCTCACTCTCATAGTAGGCTTGCCTAATAATAGGAAATTTTCGCAGGCCCTCATCCAACTCAGGAAAACCTCAGCCTCACTCTGGGATTATTTAGATTGTGTGAGTGAGCTCCAAGGTCAGGTCCAGGCTCCCCAGATGTCCCCGCATCCCTTGCTGCTTCCAGCTCCCACCACTGTCAACTCACACCCAGTCCCTCAGGTCTCCTTTGGAAACAGTTGGCTTGGGGAACAGTCTGCCACCTCTGCTCTATCATTGTCTTTGCCAGCACAATAAACTTATTTTTATAGGATAATTTTCAGTTGTCAAAATAAATGTACATTATAAGTTGAACAGCACAGATATATAAGGAACAAGCTAGCAGTTTGGTGCTTATCCTTTTTTTCCTTTCCCTATGACAGAGTTTCTCAAGCTCAGCACAACTGACATCTTGGGTTGATAATTCTTTGAGGGAGGTTGTGCATTGTAGGATTTAACCCTATGTCATTAGCACCTCCCTGACATGATAACCAAAAATATCTTCAGCCATTGCCACATGCCCCCTGGATTTGCAAAATTCCCATTGAGCATCACTGCATATATGAATATAAAATATAAAAACATAACTACTATACAAAGTTTTAGTTAGTTGCTTCTTTCATTAAAAAATATTTTGTAGGCTGGGTGCGGTGGCTCACACCTGTAATCCTAGCACTTTGGGAGGCTGAGGCAGGCAGATCACCTGAGGTCAGGAGTTCAAAACCAGCTTGGCCGACATGGCGAAACCCTGTCTCTACTAAAAATACAAAAATTAGCTGGGAGCGGTGGTGGGCGCCTGTAATCCCAGCTACGTGGGAGACCGAGGCAGGAGAATCACTTGCACCCGGGAGGCAGAGGTTGCAGTGAGCCAAGATCACATCATTGCACTCCAGCCTGGGCGACAGAGCAAGACTCCGGCTCAAAAAATATATATATTTTGTAGATGTCCCTTCAGATCAATACATCTAGATCTTAACTTACGTGATGGCTGCAGAATATTCCCTACTGTGAATGTACGTTAATGTGCCCAGCCATTCTCCCATGATGAATATTCCAAAGGCTTCTAGTTTTTTGCCTCTCATACAATGCTGCAGTATATTCTCATACAATATCTGAGAGTATATTCTTATAGAAGCAAATATTTCATTTTCAGTAGAAGCTTATGCTCATTAACAAATGGCCATAAAATGTTTTTTTAAAAGTTGATAATTTTAAAAATAATATCAGCAAGCTTTTACCATTAAAATCTCCAAGGGGTTTAGTCCTTTTGATATTTTTCTGTACATGTTTTTGTCTATATCCACCTTTGTCTATTTTTTAAAAAAATTTTTCTAAAATAAGTCATATTTATTTATTGTATTTTAAAGCTCAAAATGTATTTAAACATTTTATTAATTTAGGCTCTTTTAAATAATATCTTATTTGATATGTTCAGTTAATTACTAGTTGGTAAGTTTAGATATAAAGTTTTTAAATGGCAGAGGTCTATTTCATAAATTATGAAGCCTGAGGTTGTCAAACCCTAATTTGATCAATGCACAATTTATACATGTATCAAAATATTATATCGTATGTCATACATATGTGCAATTTTTATATATTGATTAAAAATGAAAATTTAAAAATTATTGAAATAAGTTGTCATTTAAATAAAGGTTTTTTTGATTAGTTTGAATTTAGTAAAAATGCTTTAAATAAAATCACCTGAATATTTTTTATGCACAGTACCTATTTCATTTCCCTGAGTTTAAAATTAAATCAGCCATAGGTGCCAGACATTGAGGCTCTACTTGTCTTTTTCCAAAACCATCCATCATGGTCATTAGCATTTTGGTCTTCAAATCTAAAGACTGGTAGAAATTGATCAGTACTGAAGGGATTTACATGTCGATGAGCCAGGTGAGATGGTAGCAGATCCTAGATTTCAGTGAAGAAAGGGCAGAAATTATCAAAGAATGGAATGATGTATTCAAATATCATATAAAAATACTATCAGATGTGGGAGCAGAAATGAAAGTAGACTTGGGGCCCCAAAAAATCAAACATGAATTTGCCACGTGGGTGTTGTTTAATAATCAATGACAAAAGCCAGGCATGGTGGCTCACACCTGTGATTCCAGCACTTTGGGAGGCCAAGGCGGGCAGATCACTGGAGGTCAGGAGTCTGAGACCAGCCTGGCCAACATGGTGAAACTCTGCCTCTACTAAAAATACAAAATCAGCCGGGCCTGGTGGCACATGCCTGTAATCTGAACAACTCGGGAGGCTGAGACAGGAGAATCCCTTGAACCTGGGAGGCAGAGGTTGTGGTGAGCCGAGATCATGCCATTGCACTCCAGCCTGGATGACAGAGGGTGACTCCCTCTCTAAATAAATAAATAAATAAATAAATAAATAAATAAATAAATGACAAGATAAACCAGCACTAACCACAACTAGAGGGTGTTTGTAGAGGGCTATTTACAGAGATTAGAAATTGAGTTGATGTAAACAATGGTGGAAGGGTAAATCCTTTCATTGGTCCTCTGTACTGCAGAAACCTAATAAGGGAGGGGATTTAAGGATCCTATAATACATTGGCCTCCAAAAAGCAAGGCTTATTATTTATAGAGGCATTTGGAATTTGCTAGACTGTGGAAATCTCAGAGAATAACATCTGTTATCCAGAAAGCCCAGGGGACACCCAACTCCTGAGCCAAATGCATGAATTTTCCTGCAAGCACTGTTCAGACCAGTTATAGAATATTCAGGTGAGTATGTCCTTTAATTTTTTTTTTGTTTATAAAATTGTGAACTTCTGGACGGAAAGTCCTGGATATTTTACAGTTTTATCTATAGCATGACATCTAGAATTTAATTGGAAACATTTATTGTAGAATATGAAAAGTTCTGTGTTGTCTGTAACTTCAGGTTGCATGCAGCCTTGGTCGTCTGCAAAGTTTTCAAAGTGCTCAAAGGCACTTTTTTATTTTCCTAATATTCCACTGAAGTTTTTATTTATGTAATGGTATTTTTAATTTACAAAATCTATTTTGTTGTTTGAATGTTCTTTTCAAAGTCTCTTGTTATTTTTTGATATTTTTACTCTATAAAATAGAAAACATGACTTTGTGAAGGTTATACATTTTTATTTATTTATTTTTATTTTTTACTTTTCATGTCACAAAAATTAAAAAAATTAATAAAAATTAAAAATTAAGAATTCATACAGCTTCACAAAGTCACAGGAGTCCATACATTATGTTTAAGATCAAAACTTACCCTCAAATGGTTCAAGGATAAAAGGATGTCTTAAACTTCTAAGTATTTTACAAGTGATGATGATAAAAAGTAAAAAGTAAACAAATAAAAGATGTATTCTAACACAGAAAAGGGGGCAATCACATACAGTTCACAAGGTTAATTTTTTTGAGACAGGGTCTCACTCTGTTGCCTAGTCTGAAGTGCACTGATACAATCAAGGCTCACTGAAGTCTTGCCCTCCTGTGCCCAAGCCATCCTCTCACCTCAGCCTCCAGAGTGGCTGGGACTACAGGCACTACAAGTGTGGGTCTGGCTAAATTTTTGTTTTTCTAGAGATGGGGTCTCTCTATGTTGCCCAGGCTGGTCTCAAACTCCTGAGCTCAAGCAATCTTCTTGCTTCAGCCTCCCAAAGTGTTGAAATTACAGGCGTGAGCCACCGTGCCTGGCCCTGTATAAATTCTTAGTATTTCCCAGCTTCTTTCTTTCTTTTTTTAAGAGATTTCTTTTTTTAAGGGGATTTCTCACTTGTTGCCCAGGCTTATCTTGAACTCCTGAGTTCAAGTGATCCTCCCATCTTAGGCTCCTAAAGTGCTGGGATTACAGGCATGAGCCTCCACACCTGGTCGCAGTTTCATCATGGAAGTAATAGAACAGCAAGCATAAAATGACCTCATAGAAATTCAAGGCGAAAAATAAGATATTAATAATAAGTGTAAAACATTTACATTTTAGTTTGCTGGGGCTGCTGTAATAAACTATCACAGATAAAACAATAATTTGCTCTCTCACATACTGAAAACCTAAAATTTAAAATCAACACGTTGACAGAGTTGGTTCCCATTGGGGATTCTGAGTAGAAATCCAGCCCCTCCCTGTCTGCTGGTTTCTGATGGCTGATGGGAACATTTAGCTTTCATTGGCTTGTGGCAGCATAGCTCCAGTGAGCTCTGTCTCTGCCTCTGTCTCCACATGGCTGTCGATGTGTCTCAGATCTTCCTTTGATTTCTTCTATAATGATACGAGTCATTGGACTTAGGTCCCACCCTAAACCCAGACTAATCTCATTAGGAGATTACCAAGGTAATTACATCTGCAAAGATCCTATTTTCAAAAGGTCATATTCACAGGTTTCAGGGGTTAGGACTTAGACACATATTTTGGGGGGCCACGCTCTTTGGCAATTTGAAAAAATGTCTGGCTCATAAAAGAGCCACATAACAACAAAAACACAACTGTATTTTTATTTTCACTGCTTTATACGCATCATCCTAACATTTACAATTGGGAAGACAGTACTTCTTTTCCTAAATTCAGATTCTGAGTATTCCACATCTCTTTTCTAACATCAAGTCTATGTGACTTCCCCTTTTTCCGAGTTAGAATACATCTTATATTTATTTATGTATTTATTTTTTATAATCATCACTTACAATATATTTGGAAGTTTGACATCTTTTTATCCCTGAACCATTTCAGAGTATGTTTTGATCTTAAACACAAAGTATGAAATCAAATATTTTTTAATTTTTTTATTTTCCTTTGTGAATGTTACTTTTTTCTTAATTACTCTCCTGTTACATTATTACGTTTATTTTTATTTTTTTAGGACACTAATGAACTGACTTTTTTCAGATTTTTGAGGTTAAAAATTCAATAACTTTCAAGTTTACCCTCTTCTAAGTTTTTCACAGTTTATTTTAATGCTTTTTTATAAATTTTAATTTTTATTTATATTTTCATTTATTATGAACAATTTTCCAAAAGTCTTTTTCACATAATAAATTTGATATATGAGCTATTCTTTATTTTATCTTCTACCTCAAATATGGACTTGAATTATTATCCAATATTTTAAAACATTTTAATCTCTATGTTAAGGAATTTGTGTTTTGAGGCATGTGATATTATAACATTCTTCACACTTCTAGTGAATTTTTAACGTCATTCAAAGGCTACATCCTTCTATACTCTACTGAGAATTAAAAATAGTTCTCAAAAATATTCTCACATATTCTGAAACTCATTCTCAGAATTTCAACCTCCACTGGCATCTTAACTCTGTTCTCTTTCCCTTCTAATGCATATTTTCCCCTGAAGTCCCCATGTTACACTCCTTATGCACCCTCTGTTTAAGATCTGGTTTCATTTAATGTTGTATGTGTTTGTACACAATTTTACTGAAGTTAGGCTTTGTCTTAGAATAGAAGATTATCCTAAAAAGACTAGTGAAAGAGTTATGAGAATTTGGAGAATTAGTTGGGAAATCATGTCCCAGAGGAATTACTTTAGGCAAAACAAAATTGGTAAAAAAATAAATAAATAAAATTTAAAAAAAATAAGCAGTAGTTATCGGATCTGCCATGTTTTCAAGTTCTATAATGGAAAATGCCAGGTATTTTGGAGGCACTTTCCGGAGGAAGTCAAACTTTCACTGAGGCTTAAAGATGATGAACAGTTAACCAAATAAAATTGAAATGTTTTATAATTGTCATTAAATCCTTGATATTTAAAAGGAGAAGCGGTATGGTTCACTAGAAAGCATTCATTCCCATGCATGGTTCCTGGAGAATCTTTAATTCAGTCTTTTATCACAGATTCACATTCCCTCACAAAAAGGTAACAACAGTTGGATGCATGTCTGGAGGAGCTCTTGGGCTTGTCCTATTGCATCTTTAACTTCTCATCTGCACCTTTAGCTATGGCTATTTGGGCTGTGCTTAGAAAATGGTCATACTCAGGGCACTGTAGAATGAACAGTCTTTCCCGTTTAGGCATTTCTCCTTCCACTTTAACTCTTGACTCTGTCTTCAGGGCATTTCTGTTCTATTAAGCTTCTTAAGTGATGAGTGGTCTGGTGTTTGCCTTATGCAACTCAATTTAAGATCGGTTCATGCGAGATCTGGCAGAAAGAAGGCTGGGGTGGGGTGCGGAGATATTGAATATTGCGCATGTAGCATATGAAAGGCAAATATGGATTTTCATTCAGAAATGGGCTATATTTTATTTATATCATTGAGTAAATTAATTATACAAGGGACATATGACAAATAGGGTGTAATTTTTTTCATTAATCCCAATGAAGCAGAGTAACTTTCTTTTCTTTCTCCTCAGAAATACAGAATCATACATACTGCAGGACTTCCAGAAAGAAATCATCCACTGACTCTTAAAAGTAAGGAACTCTGTGTTCTTACTCTGGTGTCTGCATAACCGGGATCTTATAAGTAAGCCAAAGACATCAAAGTGGCTTTGCCTAGAAGCCAAGGCCATTGGTCCAACGCAGACATCTTGAGGTTACTGGAATGCATGGAGAATAATCTCCCATATGATGACAACGGCACGTTCAGCTCAACTCAGTCACACATGGACTGGGGAAAAGTAGCTTTTAAAAACTTTTCTGGTGAAATGTGCAGACTCAAATGGTTAGAGATTTCTTGCAGCTTGAGAAAATTCAGCACTTTGAAAAAATTAGTCCTGGAAGCTAAGAAATGTGTTAAAAATACAAACAAAAGCCAAAAAGGCAGGAACCATCCAGACTTTCCAAAGAGGCTCCTTACTGCTTATATCCGCTTCTTCAAGGAGAATTGGCCCCAGTACTCCCAAATGTACCCTGGGATGAGAAGCCAGGAAGTGACCAAAATCCTGTCAAAGAAATACAAGGAGCTCCCAGAGCAGATGAAACAGAAACATATTCAGGATTTCCGGAAGGAAAAGCAAGAATTTGAGGAAAAACTTGCTCGATTCAGGGAAGAACACCCTGATTTAGACCAGAAGGGCAAGAAATCTGATATCTGCAAGAGGGTTCAAACCAAAGTGCAAAAGAAGGTTCAGAAAAATATTGAAGAAGTGAGGTCTCTTCCAAAAACGGATCAATTTTTCAAGAAGGTAAAATTTCATGGAGAGCCTCAGAAACCCCCCATGAATGGATACCAGAAGTTTCACCAAGATTCCTGGTCAAGTAAGGAGCTGCAACATTTGTCCCTGAGGGAGCGCATGGTAGAGATTGGCAGACGCTGGCAGCGCATCCCGCAGAGCCAGAAGGATCATTACAAGAGCCAGGCTGAGTTGCTGCAGAAGGAATACAAAGTGGAATTGGATCTCTGGCTCAAGACTTTGTCACCTGAAGATTATGCTGCATACAAAGAATCGACCTATGCTAAGGGTAAGAATATGGCGATGATGGGAGGCCCGGCCCCCAGCTTGAAACAAACAGATCCGCAGTCCTCATCAGCAAAGGGTCTGCAAGAAGGGTTTGGGGAGGGGCAGGGGCTCCAGGCTGCAGGAACAGAGGCATCACAGACTATTTGGGTAAACTGTCAGGTCTCTATGGAACCAGAAGACAACAGGAAGAAAGATGGCGAAGAGGAAGAAAGCAGTAACTCTTTAGACTGCAGCAGTGGGGAAGACATGGAAGTTGATGTCTGAGGGCAGTGACTCTAGTGCAGCTTCCTCAGAGGACTTCTAACTGGGACTCCACCTGACTCAGACTCTGCCTGACTCAGACTCCAGGGTCAGGCAGAGTTTCTCCGCAAAAGCCCATTCATGCCATCCGTGTCAAGGAAAAGGGACTGTCCTTCTGCCTCTTTTTACTTCTTTGCTTTTTTTTTCTCTTTTCTTCCTTCCCCGCTCTCCTCCTCTACACAAAGTAGGACAGGTTGGAAAGAAGCGACTTGGTGCAGCAGCCTCTTACATCAGGATTACAAACCTGGGAGGGACTCTTTGGGGAGAATAAATATAAATTTGAGCCAATACCAACCTTATCCTTAAAAAACAGACAAATATCATCCCTTTCCCAGTGAATTTTGTGCAATTAAAGCTTCTGGAATGAAGTGATGATTAGGTGTAGGGTACACACTGTATTAGACTGAATATTTCTGAAGCAAGAAGCTTTGCTTTACTCATTTTTGTTCTGCTAAAGGCAGTAAGAAGACACCCATGAGCCTGGGACCCCGACTTTCCCTGTGGAAATGTTTTTCAGGACTCCTGCACTTAATCTAGGGTTGGGGATATTTGATGAAAGGTGGGGTAGGTGTCTTAAGAAAATTGTACTCTTGATATCTCGCTCCTCCACTCCCTGAAGTAAGGAGTTGGTCACTTGCATGCCTGGGAGTAGGCAGCAATATTTCTATATATGTGTCTGACTCTTAGCTTTCATTGAGACTTTTCTTTCTCATTTCAAAAAAAAAAATGAAAATACAAAATAAAAACTTACCTATTTCATCGGAATGAGCTCCTCCACAGAATCCCTTATGACATTGGGTGCAGCATCTCTAAGTGCCATCTGCATTTATTCTTGAAGCTCCAAATATTTTCTGCTGATTCAGGTGCAAGTGAATCTCACCTTAAGCACTCAGGATTGATAGAAAGATGCACAGAAAGACACATATAGATAAATACACTATTCTGTTTCACTATCTGCTCTATGAATTCATGCACCAATATAACATTGTTTTAATTTTTTTTGGTTAACTAATATGTTTGAAAATCAACCTAAGGTTAGTGCCTTCTCAGTATACCTTTATTCTCTTAAACATTTCTGGCTATTTTCATATTTTGTTCTCATGAACATAAGCATCACAGAAGTAGATGTATACTTTTTATATGAAAACCATTGACTATCATGTGTTTATTTTGTCCCTAGATATCTTAGTAAATTTTTATTTATAAGTTTTTTCTAGGTAAATAAGTTTCAGAGAATAATGAAAATATTTACCATTTTATACCTCTAAATGTATCAGATTAAAATATCCAGGAGAATGTTAAGCAATAATAAAGTAATATGTTCTTGGCTTGCTTCTGACTTTCAATCTAATGCTTACAGAATTTAAAATCATGAAAATTATGCTGATGTGTACATTTGAAATAAATTACAAAAAAATAAGAAAATTGCTATTTACTGTTATTATTATTTGGTTAACTTTATAATGTATATCGATTTTTAACAAATTTATTTTGTTAAATTTATCATATATTTATGTAATTTTTCCTTAGTGTATTAGTCATCATCCTTCAGAGAAACAGTAGCACCAAAATAGAGAGAGAAACAGAATGACAGAGAGAGAGATAGAATAATACAGAGAGGAGACAGAGAGAGACAGATAGGGTGTCTTGTCACCCAGGCTGCAGTGCAGTGGTGTGATCTGGGCTCACTGCAACAACCGCCTCCTAGATTGAAGCGATTCTCCTGCCTCAGCCTCCTAAGTAGCTGGAATTACAGGCACCTGCCACCACGCCTGACTAATTTTTGTATTTTTAGTAAAGACAGGGCTTCGCCATGTTGGCCAGGCTGGTCTCGAACTCCTGACCTCAAGTGATCCGCCCACCCAGAAAGACCAATTTTATTATGAAGAATTGTCTGACAAAATTGTGGAGGCAAAAAATACCATGATCTGCAATCTGCAAGCTGGTCACTTAGGAAAGCCAGCGGTGTCATTCAATCTGAGTCTGAAGGCCTGGGGACCAGGGAAGCCAATGGTGTAAACCCCAAGTCAAGGGTAAGAGAAGAGAAGATGAGATGTACTAGCTTAAGAAGTGAGGCAGGAACAAAAGGGTCAAACTCCTCTGTCATCTGCCCTTTGTTCTATTCAGGAGCTACTGGGGAGGGAAACCTACTTTACAGAGACCAATTCAAGCTGACACATAAAATTTACTATCACACTTTCATTTTCTTACAGATTCTGGGGATTTAGGCATTTTCACCATTTTTTCATGAATTCTAGATGGCTGATGGGTTGAATTTATTTAGAAAATGTATTTGCATATTATGCCCCTTGTTTCGCTTCTTAACATCAAGTTTGCAAAATTAAAGACCTGATTCTTTTTACTTCCAATTTAGAAGATACTGTAAGTCACATTTGCCACTAAGTGGTAGTAAGGCCTATAGCTCAGGCTAGATGGTGAGATGTACAAATGCAATTGGGACTTTGCTTGTGATTTTAAATACAGCATTTTAAAATTTATTCTGCATCTACTCTTTTTTAAGTCTTGCCCTCCTTATGTGTGACACACAGATGAAAGATACAATTCTTGACTTCATGACACTCAGAGTTAAAGATGGTGGGGGGAGGGGAGAGTCTGAAGAAATTATATCAATATTCTACAAATATATCAATATTCTAAATTTCTATCAATATTCTACAGTCTCTTCCAGAAAATAGAAGCAGAGAGAATACTTCCTAACTCATCCTAAGAGGCCAGTATTACCCTAATACCAAAATCACACAAAGCCATTATAAGAAAATAAAACTATGGGACCAATATCTCTCATGAACATAGATGCAAAATTCCTCAACAAAATAAAGGCAAGTAGAATCTAACAATGTAAACAAAGGATTATACACCAAGACAAAGAGGGATTTATCCCAGGTATGCAAAGCTGGTTTAATATTCAAAACTTATATAGATATATAAATTATCACACCAACAGGCTAAAGAAGAAAAATCACGATTATATCAATAGATGCAGAAATCACATTTTGACGAAATACAACACCCATGATAAAAAACTCTCAGTAAACTAGTACTAGAGGGGAACTTCCTCAACTTGATAAAGAACATCTGCAAAAAACCTATAGCTAACATTATACTTAATGGTGAGAAACAGCTTTCCTGCTAAGATCAGGAACAAAGCAAGTATGTCTCCTCTCACCACTCTTTTTCAACATTGTGCCAGAGTCTTAGCTAATGTGATAACACAAGCAAGGGAAATAAAAGGTATACAGATTGGAAAGGAGGAAAAAATATACTCTCTGTTTGCAGCTGACATGTTTGTCTATATAGAAAATCTGAAAAGAATAAGCAAAAAAATTCTAGGCTGGGCATATTGGTTCACACCTGTAATCCTAGCACTTTGGGAGGCCAAGGTGGGTGGATCACTTGAGCCCAGGAGTTCAGAGACCAGCCTGGGCAACCTGACAAAACCCTGTCTCTACCAAAAATACAAAAATTAGCTGGGCATGGTGGTGCATGCCTGTAATCCCAGCTACTTGGGAGGCTGAGATGAGAGAATCGCATGAATCTGGGAGGCGGAGTTTGCAGTGAGCCTAGATCACACAACTGCACTCTGGCCTAGGTTACAGGGCAAGGCTCTGTCTCAAAAAAAAAAAAAAAAAAAAAGAAATTTAAAAATTAGAAAGTCAATAATTATACCAAGGTTGCAGGATACAAGGTTAATATACAAAAGCCAGTCACGTTCCTAGATACCTACAAAGAACAAGTGGAACTTGAAATTAACACACAATACCATTCAGCTAGTATCATACCAAATGTGAAGAAACTGAAAGCCTTCCCTCAAAGATCTGGAACACAACACAGACACCCACTTTTACCACTGTTGATTCAACATAGGACTGGAAGTCCTAGCTAGAGTAATCAGACAAGAGAAATAAATACAGGGCATCCAAATTGGAAAGGAAGATGTCAAATTATCCTTGTCTGCAGATGATATGATCTTGCATTTGAAAAAAAACCTAGATTCCACAAAAAAACTATTAGAAATGATAAACAAATTCAGTAAAGTTGCAGGATACAAAATCAACATAGAAAAATCAGTAGTATTTCTATATGCCAACAGTGAACAATTTGAAAAAGGAATTAAAAGAGTAATCCCATTTACAATAGCCACACATAAAATACCCAGGAATTAGCCAAATAAGTGAAAGACTTCAATAACGAAAACTATAAAACACTGATGAAATAAATTGAAGAGGACATCCAATAATGGAATGACATTCCAGGATCATGGATTGGAAGAATCAGTATTGTTAAAATGTCCATAATATTCAAAGCAACCTACAGATTCAATGCAATCCCTATCAAAATACCAATGACATTTTTCACATAAATAGAAAAAAAAAATCCTAAAATTTATATGGAACCCCAAAAGACCCAGTATAGCCAAAGCTATGCTAAGCCAAAAGAACAAAACTGGAGGAATCACATTACTTGACTTCAAATTATACTACAGAGCTATAGTAACTAAAGCAGCATGGTACTGGCATAATGATGGACACATAGACCCAATGGAACAGAATAGAGAACCTAGAAACAAATCCACACACCTACAGTGAACTCATTTTCAACAAAGGTGCCAAGAACACACACTGGGGAAAAGACAGTCTCTTCAATATATGGTGCTGAGAAAACGAGATTTCCATATGCAGAAGAATGAAACTAAATCCTAGACTTCTGTATCTTGCCATATGTAAAATCAAATCAAAAGTGTTTAAAGACTTATGAAATTACTACAAGGAATCATTGGGGAAAATCTCCAGTACATTAGTCTGGGCAAAAATTCCTTCCTTCCTTCCTTCCTTCCTTCCTTCCTTCCTTCCTTCCTTCCTTCTTTCTTTCTGACAGAGTCTTGACCTATCACCCAGGCTGGAGTGCAGTGGCATATGTCTGCCCACTGCAACCTTCACCTCCTGGGTTCAAGCCTTTCTCGCATCTCAGCCTCCCGAATAGCTGGTATAACAGGTGTGCGCCACCACGCCCCATTAATTTTTGTATTTTTAGTAGAGGCAAGGTTTCACCATGTTGGCCAGACTAGTCTTGAACTCCTGGCCTCAAGCAATCCACCCCTCTAAGTGTCACAAAGGACTGGGATTATAGGCGTGAGCCACTACGCTTGGCCCAAAAATTTATTTAGCAATACCCCACAAACAGAGGCAGCCAAAGCAAAATTGGACTAATGGTAGCACATCAAGTTAAAAAGTTTCTACATAGCAAAGGAAACAATCAACAAACTGAAGAGACAGCCCACCAAATGGTGGAAAATATTTGCAAACTACCCATCTGACAAGAAATTAATAACCAGAATATATGAGTAGCTAAACAACTCTATAAGGAAAAAAATATAATAATCCTATCAAAAACTGGGCAAAAGATTTGAATGGACATTTCTCTGAAGAAGACATACAAATGGCAAACAGGCATATAAAAAGGTGCTCAATGTCATTGATCATCAGAGAAATATGAATTAAAACTACAATGAGATATTCTCTCACTGCAGTTAAGGTGGCTTATATCCAAAAGACAGGCAATAACAAATGCTGGCAAGGGTGTGGAGTAAAGGGAAACTTTGTACACTGTTGGTGGGAATGCAAATTAGTACAGCCACTATGGAGAACAGTTTGAAGGTTCCTCAGAAAACTAAAAATACAGCTCCTCATAATCCAGCAATCTCATTCACAGGTGTATACCCAAAAGAGAGGAAATCAGTGTATCAAAGAGATATATGCACTACCATGTTTGTTGTGGCACTGTTCATAAGAGCTAAGATTTGGAAGCAACCTAAGTGTCCACCAACAGATGAATGGATAAAGAAAATGTGGTACATACACACAATGGAGTACTATTCAGCTGTAAAATAGAATGAGATTCTATCATTTGCAACAACATGGCTGGAACTGGAGATCATTATGTTAAGTGAGATAAGCCAGGCATAGAAAGACAAGCATAGCATGTTCTCACTTATATATGTGAGCTAAACAAATTAAAGCAATTGAACTCATGATGATAGAGAGTAGAGGAATGGTTACCAGAGGCTGGGAAGGATAGTGGGGGTGAGGTGGGGATGGTTAATGGGTACAAAAAATAGTTAGAAAGAGGGAATAGGACCTAGTATTTGATAACACAACAGGATGAATATAGTTAATAAAAACTTGCTTGTACATTTAAAAATAACTAAAAGAGTGTAATTGGATTGTTTGTAATACAAAGGGATATGCCTGAGGGGATGGATATCCCATTCTCCATGATGTGATTATTTCATTGCATGCCTGTATCAAAGCATCTCATGTACCTCATATATATATATACATATATAAAATATGAGATACATATATGATATATATATTATGTACCCAGAAAAACTTTTAATAAGAATATATCAGAAAAAAATCACAATGCCATTTACATTAACACCCCCTAAATTGAAATATTTAGGTATAAACCTAACAAAATATGTATAAGATCTATATAAGGAAAACTACAAAATTCTGGTGAAAGAAATCAAAGAGGAACTCAGTAATGGACAGATAATCCTTGTTCATGCACAGGAAGACTCATATTGTCAAGATGTCAGTTCTTCCAATTTCATCTATGCATCAAATATAATCCCAATCAAAATCTTAGCAAGGTATTTTTTGGATATTGACAAACTAACTTTAAAGTTTATTCAAAGAGGCAGAAGAGCCACAATAGTCAACACCATATTGAAGGAGAAGAACAAAGTTGGAGGGCTGATGCTACCTGGCTTCAAGACTTGCTATAAAACGATCATAATCATGACAGTGTGGATTGGTGAAAGAATAGACAAGTAGATAAATGGAACAGAGAGCCTAGAAATAGATCCCCATAAAATACAGTCAGCTCATCTTTGTGAAAGGATCAAAGGCAAAACTGTAGAGCAAAATCAATCTTTTCAACAAAAGGTGCTGGAACAAATAGACATAGACACACAAACGCAAAAAAAAATAGAAGAAGAAGAATCTAGACACACACCATATACCCCTCATAGAAATTTACTCAAAATGGATTAAAAACCTAAATGCAAAATGCAAAACTATAAAAGTTCTACAAGATAACATAGGAGAAAATCTAGATTATCATGGGTACAGTGATGACTTTTAAAATACATCATCAACGGTGAAATTCGTGAATGAAAATATTTGATAAGCTGGACTTCATTAAAATTAAAGACTTCTGCTCTGTGGAACACACTGCCAAGAAAATAAGAAGACATTAAATGTCAATAAACCTTTTTAAAAGGAAATAAATACATGCACTAAACAATACATTTTTTTAAAATTGAGATGGAGTCTCTCTCTGTAGCCCAGGATGGAGTGCAGTGGCACAATCTCAGCTCACTGCAACCTCTGCCTCCCAGGTTTAAGGGATTCTCCTGCCTCAGCCTCCCGAATAGTTGGGACTACAGGTATGTGCCACCACACCCGGCTCATTTTTTATTTTTTTTGTATTTTTAGTAGAGACAGGGTTTTGCCATGTTGGCCAGGCTGTTCTCGAACTCCTGACCTCAGGTGATCTGCCCGCCTCAGCCTCCCAAAGTGCTGAAATTACAGGGGTAAGCCACCATGTCCAGCCAACAATGAATTCTTTTAAGGACTGTTATCTAAAATGTATAAAGAACTCTTTAAACTCAACAATAAGCAAATGAATAACCCAATTAAAAATGGGCAAAAGACCAGAATAGACAACTCACCAATGAAGACATACAAATGGCAAAGAAGCATATGAAAAGATGCTCAACATCATATGCTATTAGGGAACTGCAAGTTAAAACAATGAGATAGCACTACACACCTATCAAAATGGCCCAGATCCAAACCCTTACAACCCCAAATGCTGGTGATGATGTGGAGCAACAGGAACTCTCATTCACTGTTGGTGGGAATGCAAAGTGGTGCAGACACTTTAGAAGAAACTGGAAAACTAAGTATGCTCTTACCATGTAATCCAGCAACTGCAAGTCCATTCTGTTTATCCAAATGGGTTGAAAATGTACATCCACACAAAGAACTGCACATGGATGTTTTTAGCAGCTTTATTCCGAATTTCCAAAACTTGTAAGCTATCAAGATGTCTTTCAGTAAGTGAGTGGACAAACTGTGGTACATCCAGACAATGGAATATTATTCAGCACTAAAAAGAAATGAGCTTTTAAGCCATGAAAAGACAAGAAGGAAACTTAAATGCATATTATTCAATTGGAGGCCACCCCCAATGCCTTCACCAGCTCCCAAATGCCTCTCACCTCTGCACCTTCGAGCCTTTGCCCAGGTGCCCCCTCTGCCTGGATGTCCTTCCCTTCTTCTCTGCCCAGCACACTCCCACCAAAGCGGCCCCCCAAGGCAGGATGCAGCTCATGGTCCCAGTGGTGGACGGCTGTTCCGAGCTTACCTAAGGGTTTCCCTTGCTGCCTGCAGCCTCCTCTTGGGGAAGGAGCATGTCTTGTCTCTCCTGTCCACCCACTTCCCAGTGCATGGTTCCTGGCATTCAGTGGGGTCGGGACATACGTTCTGAGCACTTCAGAGGGCTGGCGAGGCACAGTGTCCCTGAATGTCCTCAGAGTCTGGGTCTGGCCCAGCCACATTCTTGAGGATGGGAAGCTGGAGAGGTAGAAATGTCTGGACTGAAAGCCCAGCTGGTCACATAGAAGCTGTTGTACTGGACACTTCACCTAATGCCTCCAAGCCTCACCTTAACATGGGAGCTCAGCTCCTCCTCTGCAGCCTGTGGTAGTGAGCAGGTGAGGTCGTGTATGTGAAGACTTAGAGCAGATGTGCCTCGGACATAGGACATGCTCAACTTCTTCTTCCTGTTAATCCTCCCTTTACACCTGAGGGACCCTGGCCAGGCCAACCAGCGTCCTCTGTTTTCTCATGGTCAATGGGAATAAGAGCCCTACCACTGCCCAGCCCCTAAGGGGTGGTGAGGGTGCAGATGGTTCATGATGACAGTTGCTGGGAGCTACAGGAGAAGTGAGGAGGGCCGGTGGGCCTGTGGCAACTTCCCACAGCTCACAGGAGGGCTGGAGCTGACCTGGCCGCTCCGCTCTGCTGCAGAAACAACAGCTGCTGCTCCCTGGGCTCAGGGCTGTGTCTGCAGTAGCCTGGGGACACCAGAGCCCCAACCCAGTGGAGCCCCTGCCCTGCCGTTCTGTGTTCTCCAGTGCGCCCCAAGCTGGTGTCCATCTCTCTTGCTTTAGGGATATAAAACAGTTTCATTTCCAAAATAAAGAGAACAAAGCCTCCTTGTGGCAACAATTATGCAGTCATAAGAGGAGACTTAATAGGCCCTCATTAAGAGTTGCACTCAGGGAATGACAGCTCTGACAGCTGCCAGTACTGACTGTCGTAGAGTCATGGCGCTGTTCCCTGAGGGAGCACCACCCCTTCCCCTGAGTTTGAACACCCCTAGGAGTATGGCACAGGTCACCTGTGGGGTGAAGATGTATGTGTGTTTGCAAGTGGGTGGGTGGCTGGGACCTGGAAGATTTGGCTGAGCCAAAGATGGGCTGGGTTTGCCCATCTTAGGGTTGTAGGCCTGGAGCTCAATTGCTCTGTGATGGAGGAAGGTGACTCTGGAGCTCTCCCAGGCACGGGAAGGGGCAGAGGGGCAGAGGGACAGAGAGAAGAAAGGGACGTGGGAAAGACAACACACAACCCCTTCCATGAGGCTCGCTGGATCTTCAGTCGTGTGGTTGGAACTCCGGGAGATGTCCCCTGAGCCCGGGAAGCAGGATAGGTCAGGAGAAGGCCCTAAGGAAAGGCTTTGGATACTACCTGTGGCCACACTCTCCTCCAGGCCAAGGAGAGACAGACAGAGAGGGGCTCTGGGCAGCCAGTGGCACTGAACTCACAGGGTCGAGGTCTGGGGCAATATCCGGGCTCCACTCTCATTCCGTAATGGCAACATAATAGAGTGCAGAGTGATGGCTAAAGAGTGGGTAGCTTCCCTGGTTCAAGGCCAGCCTCTGGCAGCTGCCACTTTTTTTTCAGTTGAGCAGTGGCCAACCTGCACAACAGGCCCCTTACCACATGCCAACACTGGGTACAGCCTGTGTTGTAGGGGTCTTGGGAACTTGAATGTTGAATGCACCCCTTTGCTCTATCTCTCGCTGGGGACCCCTCACTGGGCTGTCTTGGTTTGTGCTCCGTTCACTGGGCCAGCTCCTCCCTGTGCCCCCAGCCCAGCCTTGGCACTGCATCTGGAACTCAGATGGGGGATGGTAGCAGCTTTCAGGAAACTGCCCAGTGACAGGACTGGGCATCGTGCAGGGGGTGACTCATGTTCTAGTCTGTAGTTTTGACGGAATGCTTCTAAAAGTTTCCTGAGAAAAGGTGCAATAGAAGAAAGGATGTCTGCAAATGTCTTTAATGCATCCCCACGTTTAGCCGAATGAGTGGCTGCCGTATTCAACGAGGTCTGAGCTGCAGACAGCTGTCTCCAGAGGGGCTGGTGGGTTGACCCCTTTGGCTTCCAGTTGCCAGGCAGCTCTCCTGACTTCATGGATACCCCCCTCCCCGCCACTCACCACCTCTGCTGCAACATCCTGTCACTCAGGAACTCCAGCAACCCAACCCCATCTCTACTAAAAACAAAAAATTAGCTGGGTGTGGTGGCAGACGCCTGTAATCCCAGCTGCTTGGGAGGCTGAGTCAGCAGAATTGCCTGAACCTTGGAGGTGGAGGTTGCAGTGAGGTGAGATCGCGCCACTGCACTCTGGCCTGGGCAACAGCCTAAAACTCTATCTCAAAAAAGAAACTCCAGCAATCCTCACAAACAAACAAGATAACAGGCAAAGAACATGCTAACAAACGGCAGCTTTGATGACCAGGAAAGCGCATGGAGCTCCCATTCCAGGAATGTATTTTAACTGGATGTGCCTCCTTGGGAAAAAAAGAACAAAAAAGAAACTCCTAGTAAGAAAAAAAGCCCCGCCCTGCTTCTGACAGACTCAGCTCTGGCAGCAGCTGCTCCTGTTTGGAAAGACCTACATCCCAGGAATATAAATTTTTTATTGTGATTTTATTTTATTTGTTGATGCAGAGGGTTTTTATTTTATCTTTTGAACCAGTAGCAGCAGCGGGAGAGGGAGAAATGGGGGAGCTGCAAAGCTGGCTGGGGGTGTTCTCCCTCCTCTGCTGGGGGTGGAGATGACACCTGAGCCCCCTTCGCTGGGCTTGCTGGCCACACAGGCTCCTGTCTCTGCCATGGTGTGGGGACTTGTGGTATTGGGAGGGAAAGAAGAAGTAAAGAGGGGGTGGGGGCAGAGGAGCAGGGGTGTCCAGGGGTGTTTGGCCCAGAGCAAACCCCTGGTGCTCCCACATTCCGGGTCCGGGTCATCTGCTAGGACAGGCACAGTGGGAGGGGTGTGCCCCCTGCCCATCCTTGGGGAGGTTCGAATGGACTAGATCCAGTCCAACCCCCCAGCTGCAGTGGAGGAAGCAGAGGCCAAGTCCCTGCGGAAGCTGCCCAGGACCCGCTGAGTGGCGACCTCGGGGGCAGTCACCCTACATGCACCCAGGACTGAGGGTATGTGTGCTTCTCCTGTGCTGCCTGGGAAATAACAGGAAAGACCACGGGCGTCCACCCCCAGGGAAAAGGGTGAAGAAAGTGCGGGGCCCTGGCTGGGTCTCTCTGGGTGTGCAAGGAGAAGCCGAGGCGTCACAGGAACCCAGGAGGTGGGGAGGATGCAGAGCAGGACCTATTATTCCTATCATTAAGTATCGATTCTTATTTATGAGAAAACAACAACTATCTGGTGCCTGAATATGAATATGAATTTTAAAAGATCCAGAGGAGTACCCGAGAAATTGTTCATGATTATTAGGGAAAGGGAAACATTTTATCTTAGACATTTGGTATGGCTTGAAGTGTATTTTTTTGGAGGGTGACATGTATTATTTTTATTAAACGGTAGTAGCTGAAGTGGTTACCTCTAGAAACAGATATTTGTTTTGTGGGAGGGTTAGGTGGTTAAGAGACATATTAACACTGCCTGTAATACTTCAGGGTTTTTTTTTCTAACAAAAAGAGATGTTCTTGTACAATTAAAAAAAGTCTTTAAACTGCAATAATAAAGAAAAACAAAGCAACTCCTGGCTGCAGCCTGTGGCCTTTTTTCCCCTGCACACCCTGCCTGGGAGCTCAGGTCTTAGGAAGGCAAGCCCCTGCCTGCAGCTTGCCTTCCTAAAAGGCCTCACTGACTTCTCAGCATCTGTGTGCTGTGGCCAGGGCAGCTCAGCACCTGGATCCCAGCTCCATGGGGCTCCAGAAAAGTTCAGAGGGCACAGCGCTTACTCAATCCTGCTGTCCGCTCTCAGAGGAGCAGGGTGGGAGCCCAGGAGCCTGGCCCAGCTCCCCAGCAATCCATGATGCTCCTGGCACCGCTCCCGGCCCCCAAGACAGACAAAGCACCTTCCTAGTCTCCAAAGTCCTCTAATCCCCGGTCGTTTTTTGCTTTCCAAAGGAGCCCTGGTCGACCCTGAGCCAGCAGTCCACACCTTTGCCCAGGGTGAGCTCTGACTCAGCTCTCTTGCTCCTTCCCCCTCACCCATGGCCCCTCTGGTTCCTGAGGCTGAGGGACATGGGCTTGTGGGGGGAGGGTTTTTGGGGGAGGCGTCCCAGACCCATTCCCGGTGCCAAGCTCCCCTCCCTCTCCCCCCATTCCCCCATCCCCTCTGCTCCTCAGTGGCTGGCAGGTGGCATTGTTCAGCACCTGACAGCTCCCTCCACTCCCACAGGTCCTGCCTCCTGCACTGTTGTGTCAATTTGGACAGCTGTCATGCCAGCTCTGAAACACACCCAGTGTTTCCTACCCAATTCTGGAGGCCCCACTCTGCTCCAAGCAGGCTGGTGACCTTGGGTGTCCTTTTTCCTGTCTGGGCCAGGGATCCCACCTGGGTTGAAGAGAGCAGGGACAGTGTGGTGCAGCAGGAGCCTATTCCCATACTGTGCACTCGCTGAGAGCTTGTTTCCCCTGGGACATGAGAGATGCACCACCTTCCTGCCCAGCTGGGCAAGAACATCAGGAGAGCCAAGGGTTACAGGAGGCCTGGAGGAAGCAGTGTTTTCAGTAATGCAATATGCAGCATTGACCAGCACCTGCAGCATACCAGGTGCAATGCTAGGGGATAACAGATCACAGAGAAAGGGCTGCAGCACACAAGAGCTCACAGTGCAGCAGAGTGGCCAGCAGACAAGTGGCTGGAGAATGATGTGGGAAATTCCACAGTGAAGACATTTGAAGGCAGCAAGACAGGGCTTTGAGTTCTGCCTAGGGGAGCTCAGAAGCCTTTGTAGAGGTAGGGGAATTTGAGTTGGGCTTTGAAGGATGACTAGGAGTTCACCAATTTGAGGAGACTAGAGGGGCCTTGCAGTTAGCAGCCAAAGCAAAGAGAAAGCAACACATGGTTCACCCAGAGAGGCATCAAAGAGCAGTGGTGGAAAATGAGGCTGAAAAGACTCCCCAGATAGGGTTGAGCCTTTGTATTTGTGAGGGTGCTTTTGGCTGTCAGTAAACGAATTGTCCAATAAAGTGTATAAACATACATCATGTCTTACCGTGTGATATAGTTTGGATGGTCCCTCCAAATCTCATGTTGAGATGTAATCCTCTTGACTGCCAGAGCCTTGAATGTGAAGACACTTAGGCCACAGTGGGAGGGAGAACCATTAGGGCTCAGAGCCCAGGGTGTCTGGTTGAGAAGGAGGCACTGATGTCCTTGGTTGCTCCCAGCACCTCCCTTTGAGTCCTCACTCTGTTCCTAGGAAGCAGCAGCAGAGCTGTGTCTGAGCTGCAGCCCTTGAGGTTCAGGCTGAGGATGGATCAGCGATGCAGGCAGCAGGGCCAGAGCAACAGCCTCATAGATTCTGGCCTTTCCTGAGTCCCCAGGGAGAGGCCCCTGCACTGGCAGCACTTTGCAGCAGCCTGGAGGAGTAGAGCTGGCCTTGTGCTCTGTGGAGTGCCACGCGCAGGCCCTGAGCAGGTGTGCTGCACAGATGACCTCATCGAATCCTCAAAGTGACCACCTCCTAGAGTGGACACTATCACTACACCCACTTCACCGACGAGGCAGCTGAGGCCCCGTGAGGCTCCACACATGGCTGAAAAGTGCAAGCAGAGGGAAGAAAGCAGGACTTCTGCATGCGCCTGTCCCCACCCTATGCTGCCTGGGAGGCTGGGGCTGTGCGGTGGGGGCTCCCTCCACCTCTGAGACCCCTTCCCTTGCCAGCAAGTGCTCTGAGCTTCCCACAGACAGATAGGAGAGAGAAATCAACTTCCATGGTATTCAGCTGCTGTTACTCACAGCCGAAATGGATCCCAATAGACCTGAGCCCCTTACCCTTTGGAGTCCTGTAAGGTATGGCCAAGTGCTGTTACCACACCATCTCCCACAGGACCTGCCAAAACCCACAGGATTCCCTGGTCATCCTCATTGAGCAGGTAAGAGGACCGAGGCTGGGCAGTGTTCAGGTGGCCTGCCCAGAGCCAGATGCCATGGGGTGGTTCAGCCATGGGGCCCTCTGCCCTCATTCAGCCTGTCTCCTTAAATGCTTGAGTGGCAGCATTTGTAAACTGCTTATTTCTGAGTTCTCTGCAGACATGCTGAAGCAGAATCTCTAGTGACAGGCCCAAGAACATGCATTTTTCCGCAGTCCTGAGTGAGGCTGAGGAGCAGGGCTTGCCTGAGGCAGAGAGGAGAAGTGAGCTTTCCAAGGCCACGCAGCCAGCTAGGGGCAGAGCTGAGGTCAGAGCCTAGATCAGACCAGATCCCAGGCCATGTTGGCTGGAGCTGAAGTGGGCATTGACTCCTGGGGCCCCCAGAGCTAGAGGTGGAGGGGCATGAAAGCCTAGGGGCGGTGGCTGGGCTTGGAGGGCTGCCCAGTTGGTGCATTCCAGGCCAGAGCCTGCTCATCCTGCCATGGGGCAGGGATTGCAAGGCCAACAGAGCACTTGCTGCTCCTCTGGGCAGCTGGGACAGCTTTGCCACACAGCACACACTCTTCCTCCTGCTGGGAATATCCAAACCCCACTCAGGAAGGTTCCTGCTCTTCAGAGGCTCCTAGTCTTGGCTTCTACTCTGGCCACTGGCTCCGCTCCTGGGCTCTAGGCTTCTGCTGCTGCTCCCAGGGACTGCCGGCACAGGAGGCTCTTAGTAGTTAGGGGGGAAAACACTAATTTGGGTGAAGAATACCCAGGCCGGACACCCGGCCCTGCTCTTTCCTTGCCAGGTGGCTTTGGACAAGTCATGCCCTTTCCTGGACTTGGGGCTGTACCTCTGGATGGCCTGGGATTTGGACTGGATCATCCAGAGTTGAAGATGAGAGCTGGTGAGCTCTACTCCCCTTCTCCAGGTGAAGAATCTATTCATTCATTCAGTCATTTGACATTCAACAAATATGTATTCAACACTGACTTTCTGCCAACTTCTAGGCACTAGGTTACCACAGGGAACAAACCTAGAAGTAATCCTTCCCCCTTTAGAGCTGATGTTCCAGGAGACCCATGTGCACGGCGTGACATCATTAAGCATTCTGAGATTAGATGGATGGATGTGTGGATGGATGAACAGATGAATGGATGGATGGATGAATGGATGGATAGATGGGTGGATGGATGGATGGATAGATGGGTGGATGGATGGATAGATGGGTGGATGGATGGATGGATAGATGGGTGGATGGATGGATGGATAGATGTTTGGATGGGTGGATAGATGGATAGACAGACGAATGAATGGATGGATGGATGGTAGATGGATAGATGAATGAATGGATGGAAGAATGGACAGATAGGTGGGTGGATGCATAGATGGGTAGACAGATGAATGGATGGATGGATGAATGAATGGATGGTAGATGGATAGATGGATGGACAGATGAATGAATGGATGGAGGAATGAGTAAATGGGTGGATGGATGCATGGATGGATAGACAGAAGAATGGATGGATTGGTGGGTAGATGGATGGATGGATAGATGGACAGACAGATGACTGAATGGATGGATGGTAGATAGATAGGTGGATGGACAGATGAATGGATGGATGGATGGATGGGTAGATAGGTGGATAGACGGACAGACAGATGAACCAATGGATGGATGGGTAATGAGGAGGGGAAGAAGCCTGGGCCCCTGCTCTCCCCCTGCTCTCCTCCCTGTGGCCGCATTTCCATCTCAGGACAGAGCTGACTGGCTGGCTGGGTCTCCTGGATAGAAAGTGAAGGGGGCAGTGGCCTGACTGAGGCAGGGCTTGGGATGACAGTAGTTGGGCTCTGGGGAGACTTTGGTGATGGATGGGCTCGATGTCAGGGAAGGTGGCCGGGGAGGAGGTGGTAGGGGATGGGCTGAGTGTTATGGGCACAGGGGACACAGTTCAACCACGTGAGCCTGCCTCTCTTCTGCCTCTGTCTAGGTGGGAGACTCTCTTTGGGTTTGAAAACCCCAGTCTGAGATGTGCTGTTTCCCTTGTGCCCCACCAGGGCCCAGTGTGTAGCGTTCTGGGGACACCGGGTGTTGCTGAGAATGAATCAGGGAGCCATAATCAGGGGGCTCAGTGCAGGGCAGAGGTGAAAGGAGCACCGGAAGCAAGCAGGCCTGGGAGTGGGGCATTTATTTACTATTTGTTGGGGCCATCTTGGAGGGGGTGCCCAGCAGGCTGGGGTGGCCTGCCACAGCACTCTGTCCTCTCAGTAAGTCTGCAGCAAGAACCTGCTGGAAGCTGCAACATTCACAGCTGCAGGATGGGCAATTGGCTCTATGAGTCGGGCTCTGCTTCCATCTAAAGGCCTAGATGTGAGGGCAGAGGAGCACTCAGCCTGCCGAAGGTCTGCACAGCTGGGCGGCAGCGGGCGAGATTGGAATTCACTCACCATGCAGCTACTGGCTGCCTGGCTACTGCTGGGAAGCAAGCTGAGGGCAAAGACTGCCCCACAGGGGCAAGATCGGGGCCCACCACAGGAGGTCACCCCCCAGGCATGCAGGGCACAGAGCTGGGGGGAATGAGCTCCCTCCCCATGCGCCCCTCCCCAGCTGTCCCTGAGTCACTAGCGCCCTTCCCTTTCACTACCAGGGAGGCTCTGGAGCTGCTTCCTATCCCCCACTGTCCTGTGAGTCACCGCCCCACCCTCCAAGTCCCTCCCACATGGTGTGATCAGCATCCCTGCCTCTGCCCACGAAAGTGATTTCAAAAGGCAGAAGTGACGGGTGGTGGGTGGTTAGGCGGGCAGTGCCTCTCACCTCCCCATCCATCTCTCTTCTGTCAAGTGGGGCAGCAGCAGGGCCAAGAAGACTGAATTCAAAGCATCCTGGAAGGCCTCAGGTTGTCAAGGGCCCCAGGCAGCGCATGAGGCTTTGAGAGGGGCCCCTGCCTTGTGCCTGGGCAGGCTCCTTCCCTGCTCTGCACACTGTGTCTTGAGCAGGCTCTGGAACCCACCTTTCCACCATCAGAGTGATAGACGGGCTGGATGTCAGGAAGGTGGAGTGTGTTCCTCCAGGTCACAGCCCTGGGCCTCTATGACAGCCCCTTTGAGATGAAGAGACCTGGGTGAGGAGTCTGCAGCGGGGGCGGTGGGGGCATCTTCAGTGCTCTGGCATGGGTTCATTCCTCAGGATGCTCCTGCAGCCACCCCAAGCTGAGGACAAGGCCCAGATCCACAGTGGCCTGGGAAGTGCTCCCAGCAGAGTGAGCAGACCTGGGCTTCGGTGCTGTCTGCCCTCTGTCCTGCTGCAAGGCTAATCACCTTCTGGTTCTGGGCCTTGAATCCCTTTTACAGCATGGGGGCTGGATGCTCTTTGAGCTTCCTCCTGGTTTCGATCCTGGAAACTGACACCTACTTGTTTGCAGTTGTGTGACTTGGTCAAATCATGTAACCTCTTGAGCCTCAATTTCATTCTGTGTGAATGAAACAGTGAAAGCCCTGAAGATTAGATTTTTGATAGAAGAATTGTAACAGCAGTGACCCCATAGCCCTTTACCATTTGCAAGGTGCTTCAGACAAAATATCTCACTGGTCCCTCCCAACAATTCTGCCACAAAAGCTGGTATTACTTTCATCCCCAGCTTACAGTTTGAGGAACGAAGGCCCAGCTATGGGGGCAGGTGCAGAGGTGGGCCTCGCTTCCAGGTCTCAGTCTCTGGATGAAGGGCAAGATCCCTGCAGCTAAGGACGAGGGAGTGGTGGCACAGAACATCCGGCCTGCTGGTCTTTCTTTCCCAGCCTGGGGCATCTCTGTGAAGGCCGATGAGTGGCAGCCCCTCCCCAGGTGCTGGTGCCAGGCGGCGGGGAGCTGCTTCTGATAGCTGTGCAGACAATTGTCACTTCTCCATCGCTGCTAATAGCATGTTTAGCTTGCTGACTCCTCTGTTTGCCTGGTGCCTCCCACAGACCCAGAGCTTGGAGTTTCTTCATTGCCTTTGGTGGGGCAGGGTGGCAGAGAGGGATCTCTGCTCCCTGGCCCTGGCTGCAGCCAGCAGCTCCACCCAGGGCCCTGCACCTGGGAGGCGACTGCAATTCCATGCCTTAGCTCCCAGCACCCCAGGGAAGTCTGTCTGGGCTCTGGAACAGCAGAAACGGCCTCCTGCAAATCTCCTACCCGACACAGGACCAAGTGTGGGAAGGCTCTGGTCCAAGGGGCTTTCTCCAACTCTCTGGACCACAGGGAGCCGGCAGGATGGGGGCCAGTCCACCTTCAGATTACACCTTTACCTTTGACTCAGACCCCTTTGCCTCCCAGGCCACCATACGACATCTCCTGCTTGCAGATCTGGCCATGCTGGAGGCAAAATGGATCCCCAGCCCCTCAGTTGTGACCCTTCCTAGCTTGTTAGGTTAGTAGAAAACTGAGCTCACAGTCTCGGGGACTGCTCCTCCCCTGGTTCATGCACAAACCCCAAAGGTTCATGGGATTCCTAAAAGCAGCCTGACAAATTTCCCTCCTGTGGGGAGAAGACCCTGTGGTCTGGCAGGACCCACTGCCCTTGGCCAGGTGCCCCTCGCTTTGATCCTGGGTCTGGCTCCTGCCTTAGGAGCCTGCAGACCTCTGTGGGGCCACTCCCTGGTGACCCACCAGCCCAGGAAGGATGGACCCCGCAGTGGACAACACTCGGTTCTGTCCATCTCCCTGCCTTGGGGAAGTACTTGCCTGTGGTTTTAATTTACCTTTGACCCTATGGTGCACTTCTGGAATGTTCCCTCCACGAGGGCGTGGACTTGGTCCTGTTCATGGGGATCTCTCTGGCACCTGGAGCAGCTGTGTAGCCCAGACGGGGTGCTCAGTCATTGTCTGCTGCCTGAACAGATATGTGCAAGTTTGTCTTCTCACTGCTGTTAACATTATTGTATGAGTAATTTTACAAGTTTACCATTTTTCTTGTACGTATAATAAATATCCCACCTTATTGACCCACAGTTCCCCCTCCCACAACTTGCAAAGTATTTTGGCTGACTTGACTTGTTTACTATGATAAATAGTGTTGCTATAAACAGCTGTGCACATATAGCTATTTTTCCCTTTGCAATTATGTTTTTGGGAGGAATTCCAAACAGTGGGGTTAGCGGGTCAAAGGGCATGGTGTATTTATGGTCCTGGATGTGCTGGGACTGCCGAATTCTCAGCCCCCAGGCCACCCCTGTTTTCCCTGAGGTCTAGCTCTGGGTGAACACCCACAAAAGTGTCTGTCTGCCTGAGGCTACCCCGGCCTCTGTCTGGCTCCTGCGGTCGTGGAGCAGACCTCACGGTGCGGGAGCTGGAGGTGGCTGTGGGAGTTTGAGGAGGGGAAGAGGAGGCAGCTGTGGGAGTTGTGGAGATGGCTTCACGGAGCCAGGAGCCCTGTTCCGGGAGGGCAGTAGGACCCCCTCTTCTCCCAGAGCCCTGGCCTTCTCTTGGATGGCTCTCCTGTCCTGGAGCCATCCCACCCCCTGCAGCTAAGCTTCCACCCCCAGTCTCTGAGAGGGGGCAGTGCCCCCTGTAGGCAGGTGTGTTTGGGAGAAGGGAGGGGACCCAGTGCCTCAGCCTACTCCGGACTTTCTCCTGTGGGCCCTGATGTGGTGTCATGTGGGGGAGAAGTGCCGTGGAAGCTAGCTGCTGAGCAAAAGGTCTTTATCACTGCAGAAAATGTGCCTGAGATTTGCCCGCCTTCTGCCTCCATCCACTGGCTCTGCCCCGCCTCAGCTGCTGGAGCCCCCTTTCCCCACCATTAGCCCCAGACCTGCAGGCCTGGATGGTTGAAGGGGAGGGGTCCACACTGGCCCCTCATGGGATCTTCCGGAACCTGGCTGCTACTGGAGGGCAGGGTATCCAGGGTGGCCCCTCCCTAAGTAAATCTTCCCATCCTGGGAAGACCTATTCTCTGTCTGGCGATGCCTGCATTTTATGGGGACCCCAAGGCTTTCCCCTGCCATGGGGTAGTGTCTTGGAGGCGGGGCCTGCTGTCTGTAAGGGCTGGTGAGCCCCGGCCCAAGCAGGGCTAGGCAGTGCCCTGTGGCTCAGGCCTGAGTGGCATGGGCGTAGCCCGTGCTGGGAGGGAGGAATGAGACTCCCTGTGTCCCGAGGCTCTCCCTTGGAGCAGGCTCTCTCTGCTCTCTCTGTACCTCCTGCCCTGTCCTTTCTGGCTGCAGGTCCCTAGTGGCAGGAAGTTCTGGGAAGCAGTGCAGAAAGAGCACTGGACTCGGGCGTTCTCATCCAGTCTCTGTTACCAATGGGCTGTGGGATCCAGCCCCTACCTCAGTCCTCAGCCGGACATTTGCCTGTGGCCTTGTGCAGCACCTGCGGCCTTGGCAGGGTGGCTGAGGGTGGCTGAAACCCAGGTTGTGGGAGGATCTGGAAGGAGCCTGGCTCCTGTCTCCCCATGTCCATGTCAGCTCTTGGCCTGACACCAGGAGACCCTCAGGGTTGGGGGTGTCACCCCCCCTTCCTGCAGCCTCCGCATCCTCCTCCCATGCCCCACTCTGCTTTTCTGCTGGCTGGTGCAGGAGACAATGGCTGTGGGGCATGTGGGTGCACGTAGGGGGGGTCCTGCGTGGGTTGTGTGATTTTCCCGGACAGGCAGGCGTGAGAGGGAGAGGAAATTATTCTGTCTAAAACCTCAGAGATGAGTCCTTGAGAGCTGGCAGAGTGACTGCTTCCCGTCTGGGTGGGGAGGCAGGAGACAGGGTGGGCCGTTCCCAGGGGCAAGAGCAAGGCAGGGCAGGGCCAGTCCTCAGGGAGAATCCCAAGAAGGCCACAGCAGCACAAAGATAAGCCCTCATATTTCCCACGTGTCACCTGGACAAAGAGCCGTGATGCCCCCCATAACAGCCGGTCCTCACGAGAATCCAGAGAGCTCGCTAGGGAGGCAGACATTATGATAACCCAGTTTACAGATGAGGAAACGGAGGCTCTGGAGGGGTTCATTGACCTGCCTAGGTCACAGAGCCAGCCCGTTAGCGACAGAGCCAGAGCTCGAAACCCAGATCCCGAGGCACATCTTCCTCCAAAATGACCACAGAGAGGTGATGTCTCTGAAAGCAAAGCCAGGGACAGCCACCAAGGCAGACAGGGGCCGCAGTTTTGTTCAGGCAGAAAATGCCAAAGGTGCCACACTCCCACCTCACCCCCACCCGGCCTTCACTCTCAAAAGTGCAACTTTCCTGCTGGAGGAGGGGAAGGGTTGAGCTGGGAAGACATCTTCCCTCCTGTGACTCTGAGGCCCAGAGGCTGGGCTCGGCAACTCTCTGGGATTCACAGGGCGCCTCCTGCGGGACTTCTACATCTCTGCCATGACAATGTTTACCTATTTATTGCCACAGAAAAGGAGCCAGATAGCAACAGCTAGAAACTGAACCCTCCATGGACTCTCTCCCTCCTTCCCTGGCAGCATTCACCTGCACAGTGGGAAGTCCTGCAGCGATGGGCCAGGTGAAATGGAGTGGGCAGGGGCTCTTGGTGAGGTGTCATTATGGTAGTCATCCGGGCTGTTCACAGATGTTCAAGTCTCCTTTATGCCAGGCCCATGGTAGGAGTTGACTTCTCCATCCACTTCAATTCAAGCATGGCCATGTGAGTTGCTCTTACCAACAAAATGTGGGTGGAAGTGGGTGGAATGTCACTTTCAGACAGAAGCCTTAGGAGCCCTTGTGTGGGCCAGCATGTTCTCTATTCCTGTCTCTGAGATCCTGGACACACCTGTTGAGATGAAACTCTGTCAGACTGGGTCACCCAGTGACTGTGATGCCCAGAGCCCTCCTGCTGACTCAGTGGTCATACTGCATATGTCAGAAATAAACTTCGCTATTTTCATCCATTGAAACAGTGGGCTACTTGTTACCTACATAACCCAGCCTATCAGCCTCGATGCAGTCACCAAGCTAGTCAGTAAGATCCCTGCCCAGGACTTTAGAAATAGGACCTGCAACTCTCTAGAGGGCTGGGCCCATAAGGTGTAAACCTGGCTGCTGTGTTTTGAGATGCCCTGAACAGGCTAAGTGTGAGCAACAGGCTGTTTATCCACTCAGATGCAAGTGGGCTGAGTCCGAAAAGAAAGTCAGTGGAGGGTTGTGGGAGTGGAGTTAGTTTTATAGGCTTGGAGTAGGTAGTGGAAAGTTACAGTTAGGGGCAGTTTTTTCGGGCAGGGGAAGAATGTCACAAGGTGCATAGTCACGAGGTGGGGGAGGTCACAAGGCACAACATCACAAGGTGGATGGATTAGTTGGGGCAGGAACATATCACAATGGTGCAATGCTGCAAGGTCAGTTCATCAGTTAAGGCAGGAACTAGCTGTTTCTTCTTCTTTAGTGGTTCTCCTAGTGCTCCAGGCTTTGTGACTCCAGGAGGCCTGTACGTGTGGGTCACAGGGGTCACAATGGCTTGACCATGGTGCAGCCCATTCAGAGGACCTTACAGGAAGCAGGCACACAGTAAGGAGACGTGCAGAGCCCTCCCCAGGATTCTCTCCGCTGCCTAAGGTCTGGATGCATAAAAATCCTTGTGTCCCGGGAAACTCTTCCCCTTTTCTTAGACAAGCTTGGGTTGGTTTAGGTTGCACTCAACCACGCGTCCTAATCCAGAGTAAAAGGGGACATGGGAGAAGCCTCCCTCTTACAGATGAGGCACTGAGGCTCAGAGTGGCCAGGCGCCTTGTTCAAGATCATAGGGCCTTTGAGGACTAATGCTCGCCTGCTCCCTTTCTAGTGAAATAATCCAAACAGTGAAGATCCACTGTGAGTCCTCCCTCTCCCTCTCCTCTCCCACTCTCCAGAAGTAGCCACTCTTAGTAAGAGTTTGGTGGGGTTTGTATCAGACCTTTTAAAAAAGGTGTTTATCAACATATATGTATACAATATTCATACAGTTATATTGGAAAATGGGATATTGACCTCATTTTTCTGAAATTCACTTCTTTTTCACTCTTCAGATTGTCAATATTGCCAAATTCTAACTGTGCCTGGAGAATCTGGTGATGTATCTGGGAGGGAAGTGGTGATTAAGGTCGGGGCCACCTTGAGCCCTCGTGTGTCCAGACTCAAAGGACTGAGGTCAGAAAATCCTCCGGGCAGGGCTGAGACTTAGAGTCAGGGTGGACCCTTCCAGGAAGTGGTGCAGCCCCTCTGGGTGGCTGGCCCCTCTGGCTAGCTCTGACCTGGAGGAGTTCAGCCTTTGGTTTCAGTAAAATCTGCTACCCTGTGGAATCCTCCCACTGGCCTGTTATCTCCCCCTTAATTTCTGGGGCAAATTGCATTAAATGCTTTCCTTCCTCCCACAGTGGGCCAGGCAGGAGAGAGGCTGTTAGCTGCAGGCTAGGGAGTGTAGCCCCGGATTCTCACCTGGCAACCCCAGTAATGAGCACTGCAGAGACAGCCACAGACACCCTTATTGACCAGGAAGAAGTCAGGAGCCCAAAGGCAGAGAACCAAGGGCTGCGGGCCTGGAGGGAACCCAGGGAAGCCTAGACAGCCAGAGGCAGGCAGGCAATTAAAGGAGGGGGTGGAGTTTTCAATTAACAGCTCTTCTGCTAGAAGCAGGTAATTAATGGATTAGCAAGGCTGTTAGCAAGGCTGCTTGCTGCCAGTGAGGAACCTGGCAGGTGCTGCCTTGGAGAAGGAGGACCAGGCTCCAGATTCCACAGGAAGGAAAGGACTCTTCAGAGGCAGGATCCTGAGGGCAGCTGAGAGTCATGGGACTCAGCAGGGACACAGTGAGCAGGCTGGAAGGGCGGGAGGCAGGCCAGAGGGGATGGGGCAGTATAATCCCACTGTCCCCTGGCCTCGCAGGGTCCCTGGTTTGCAGAGCCCTCTTTGCCTGGGATGGGCTAAGGAGGCAGTGTATGAGAATATCTGGGGGTCATGGTGTTGACACCCCTGGAATTGGCACATTACCACACAGCTCACACGTTTTCACAGTGGTTTAGGGGGGAAGCTGCATAAGGCGGGGCTGACAGCAAGGACTTTGACATTAGACACGCTTCAGTTAAGCCTCGCTCCCACTTCCCAATCTAGGGGACTAGGGGATCCTCAGACAGCCCAGATGTTCCTCAGACTACTCAGCACCTTTCTAGTTAGGCAGGATCATGCCAAATTCTAAAGAAGCCAGTACGCACCTCCATCTGTGTCTTCCCCTGCCAGGGAGTTGGCAGAGGCCACTGTTCCAGACAGCAGAGCCTCAATCAGCCTGAATCCCTGAGCGACCTGCATGGAGCAGATTCCCTCGCCAGCCCCCATGAGTGGGAGTGAGAGGTAAACTACTGTGTTAAGTTATGAGATGTTTAGAGCTGTGTGTTACAGCAGCGTAACCAAGCCTACCCTGACTATTACACAGGGTCAACCTCACCTTTGTAAAATGGGTAAGAATGATACCACCTGGAATGATTATTGTGAGGTTGAGTGAGAGGATATATGACTTGGCTGAAGGGTACACTTAGCTCCTGGACCCCACACCCTCTCCAAAAGCAAGGAATGTTGCCATGGACCAAGAGCCAAGCCCAGGGACATTTGATTGGCCACTTCTAGCAGAAGAACTCCTGTAATGCTTAGCAAAGTGTTAAAGGGTTGAACACACAGGGGAGGGGCCTGACCTGTAATGCTTAGCAAAGTGTTTAAGGGTTGAGCACACATGGGGAGAGGATGGTGGAGGCCTGGGCTGTGCCCTCCGGAAAGGCTTGGCCAGCTCCCTCTCTCTGGCTTCTCCAGTTCTCTTTTGTCCCCAATATGGGGAGAGAGGCTGGGGGCTGCTACCCCAAGTCTTGCTGGCTGGAGCCGTGAGCATTGCTTGTGGTGGTGCTGGGCTCTGGGAGGGCTTCCCTTGGTTCTTGAAGGCCCCAGGCCATAAGTGACTCTTGTGACCCCATTAGCAGCACAACTTTCCCTCTGCCCCCTCTGTCCCATAGCAGCCCCCAGCTTTGCCTCCTGTCCTGCCACACCTGGACCCCACCATCTTTCCGTCATAAGCCTCCAGCCTGTCCCCTGAGCTGGCCCCACTTCCCTCCATTTGGGAGAAGCCGTGGAAGCTGCTGACTGTTCTCCCCTCATTTTTCAGCCTGTTCCCCACTGTTCATGTTTGGTCTACAACATCAAACCCATTTCTTTTTCAGCTGATCTCATTTCTCCTGAGTTTCTGATGCTCTGAGTCCAAAGCCTAAACAACCGTATTCTTTTCACTCTCCAAATACAAAGCCCTCTCACCCTGGCTCAGCGGTTGGCTCCCTGCTCTGAGCCAGCTCACCTGATCCTTTAGAGGAAGAATGTTCGAAGCACAGGCTTTAAAAACGTCCTTCCTAGCTTGTGCATATTCTATTTGCACTTCCCCACTCACTCAAGAAGATGCCATTTCCCCCACAAAGCTGGGAGCCTTAATGCCCTTCTCCAGCACCCATCCTGCCCACCGTGGCTGAGGTCACAGCTCTGGGCTTTGAAATGCACAAACACAATCAGAGGTCAACTCCTGTCATTTGAGGATCCCTGATTAGAAAAGAGCTTGATATACAAGCAGGGTATGTATGGAAATAAAAAAATTAGAAAAAAGAGAAATAAAACTGGACACACAGATCAGCAGGGGTTAGCGGTCTCCTTGTCACTGTCACAAACAAACCCCTGTTCTGGTTCATGCCAGCCACTGCCACCCTTACAACCAAAAGTACAGTCACTAGGCCTGTGCTGTCCAGGGCAGCAGCCACTAACCATGTGTGCCTGATGAGCACTGAAAAGGAGCTCAGAAATGTTGAGATGTGCTGTGTGTAAAATATACACTGAATTCTAAAACTGGGGATTAAAAAGAATGGGAAACACCTTCTCAATATTTTGTATATTGATGACACATTGCAATGATAGTATTTTGAATATATTGGGTTAAAATATATTATTGAAATTAATTTTACCTGTTTTTTTTCTTTCTTTTCTTTTTTTTTTTTTTACATGGAGTCTCGCTCTGTTGCCTAGGCTGGCGTGCAGTGGTGCGATCTTGGCTCACTGCAAACTCTGCCTCCCAGATTCAAGTGTTCTCCTGCCTCGCCTCCTGAGCAGCTGGGATTACAGGCACCCACCATAACTCCTGGCTAATTTTTGTATTTTTAGTGGAGACAGGGTTTCACCGTGTTGGCCAGGCTGGTCTCGAACTCCCAACCTCAAGCCATCCACCCACTCAGCCTCTCAAACTGCTGGTATTACAGGCATGAGCCACCACACCCGGCCTCTTTTTCTTTCTTAATGTGGCCACTAGAAAACTTAAGATCCCCATTGCAGTGCATGTTGTATTTCTGTCACACACCGTTGCACTGGGCACCACTCTGTCACTCCTGCCATGCAGAGTACTGCCCTTGGAATGCCGTGTTTTTGTTTCTCACTGCTGCTGTAACAAATTACCACCAGCTCAGTGGCTCAGAACAACACACATCTATTATTTTGCAGTTCTGGAGGTCAGACTCTGACCTGGGTGTCACTGGGCTACAGCCAAGGCGTCATCGGGGCTGCGTTCCTTTCTGGAGACTGTGGAGAAGAATCTCTTTCTGTGCTTCTCTGAGCTGCCCACATGCCCTGGCTCACAGCCCCCTTCCATTTCCAAAGCCAGCAATTGTTGTGAGGCTTTCTCACACTGCGCACCCTCACGCGGACTCGCCTACCTCCCTCTTGCACATCCCACCTGAATAATTCAGGATAATCTCCTGACATCGAGGTCAGCTGATTAGTGACCGTAATCCCATTTGGGCCCTTAACTTCTCCTTGCCATGTAACCTAACATATTCATGGGCTCCAGAAATTAGGACTTGTACATCTTCAGGGCCCTTCTTCAGCTGCCCACATGCCAGTGCCCCGTGCGTGTGTTTTCTTGTTCTGTGCTAACTGGCCAGCTCTTGGAAATGACTAGTGTGGGAACACTTGCTTCATTTTCTCCCTGTTCTTGATCATAGTCCAGAGATCTGCTGGGGGATGGTGTGAGCCCAAAGAAGCCGATTTCCTTCTTGAAGGGGCTGAGAAGAAGGGAGACTGTGACTTGACCAAGCCAATCGGCAAACTACCTTCCTTCCCAACAGGAGTTGATTTGTTCAGGAGGGGGCATGTGACAAAAGCTGGGCCACTCAGAGCCCATCTAAGGACTTCACTGAAATGCTGACATAAAGCAGCCACTTGTGCCACAGGGGGAAAGCCAGCCTCAAATGAAACTGTCTCGCAAAGAAATAGAGATGAATGACTTGTAGAGAACTGGAAACAGAAACAAAATGAAACTTGCAGAGAAAATATTGCAAGTAAATGTTGAACCTCTGGATCGAACCATGGCTGAGTCCCTCCTGGCTCTGACTTTTCAGTTAGGTGGGTCCACACATTCTCTTTTTCAGCCAAGCCATTTGAATGGCATTTTCTGCTATTTGCAAAATAAAGATTTGCGATGACTTAGAGAGGGGTTAAAGCCGTATTTGATCTGGACACATGAGAGTACCTGAAGCCTGTCCTCACCCAGCTGTCTCTTCCCACTGGTCTTTGAGGCACAGGTCCTAAAGGAATGCCCTGTCTCTCTTTCCCCCAGATCTCCAAGAGGACCCTCCTGCCTCTGCTTCTCTTCCTCCCCTGAAGTCAATTTTGCAGTGTGCTGGTCAGCCTCATCCAGCCCCTCTTTTCTGGGAACTGCTCTAACTCTATGGCTGGATTGACTGGCCAAGAGACAGACATCAGGGTGAGCTGGATCATCAGACAGTCTCTCCTAGGAATGTGAAATACGAATTCAGAGAGACTGGCAGCCCATTGTTCATGGGAATGCAGAAGCTGTGAGGCTGAGAAACCCCTTTCCATCCAGAGGGAAAGAAGGTATAGTGGGTGAGGGGAGAACAGCAGAGGCAGGCAACCCTGGGGCCGGGGAGCAAGGAGGAGTGGCTGCCTCTGTCTCCAAGGGCTTGCTAGCTTGAGGTCAGTTCCTTCCTGAGGTCTGACTGCTCCTCTTGCCCATTGGGTCTGAAATAAATTAATTATCACCCGCCCTTTTTCCCTATAGATGAGTTGAATCAATTTCTATCACTTGACATCAGAAGAGCCTTGAATAAGCCACACTTCCCATTCCATGCTTGCCCTAGGACCCATTGCCCCAGATGGGGAGAAGGCCAAGTGAACACCCAGCCTTCAGGAACCCTCATGGAGGCAGTTCTCTTCCCCCACTTTCTGCCAGGCAGGAGAGGCTGCTGAGGCTGCAGCAATGACCTGGGCTGCCTGGGGTTACTGAAGGCAGCAGGAAGCAGTGTTGGGTTGAGTCCCAGGTTTCCGGACTCCACACCTGGTGGCCGACGCAGCTAGCTACCTAGTCCACAGCCATTCTCCCCTTCCTCTCCCTCAAAGCCAAAGGTGGTTACACAACACAGTACAGCCCATGACAGGCATCTTCAGAGTGGGGCTTCCAGGACAGCTACTGCTTTCCTGTTGGGCCTGGTGGCTCTTCACTGTACCTTTCCCCTTCCCTATATTCCTCCCTGGGGCACAAAGTTCTGCCTGAAGGTGTAGCAGCAGGTATTTGTGACCCTGAGGATGAAGGCACCTGGTGAGGATGTCAACACAGGGAGCTGGAAGGACCCTGGTCCCCTATAGCCTCACCACAGCCCCAGCAGTGGGACCATCATGGATCCTGACCTTTGGGCTTCTCATTACTCAAGGAATAGAAAAACCCCAAACCGTGTTTGCTTAAGACCCTCTTGTCAGGTTTCTAAGTCTTTATTATTTGCAATTATAACTGATAATTTCCTATGTTCTCTGGGAATTTGGGTCATGGGTGGAGTTTTCTGGTGAGAAGAAGGGCTCAGGGACTCTCTAATTTCATCATTTTGCCCAGGGTCCAGTTTCCTCTGAAGTTTGCAAGGACACATGGAAGGTCAGCAGAAACTTGGCCATCTCAGTGTCCTGGTGGGTGATTTTTACGAGGATTTCTCATCACAGAGGATGGGAACCCAAAGGAGAATGGCTGCCATTGGAGCCTTTCCTGTCCCTCCACTGCCCAGAACAACTGAACTCTGTGTCAGTTGGGCTGCAAGTAAAGAAAACTCAACTAATGGAGGCCTCATTGAACAGGAGTTCATTTTACTCACATAACAAACCTATGTGGTCCCAGGATTGTCTCACGGCCCAGTAAAGGCAAAGCATGGCATTAGCAAGTCTGAGATGTTCTTGAATTTCCCCCCATTGCTGCAAGATGGCCCCTACAGCTCCAAACATCACATCCTCAATGGTGAATAAAGCTGATCTCCAACTGGGAAGAACTTCTGTCTCCTGGTGTGGTGAAGGCTGTTGGAGCATCTGCAGGAGCATCCAAACCCTGTGCTATTGGGGTAGTCCATGCCCTTCAAGCCAGTCATGGCTTTCCTGTTTCCTCTGTCAAATACTGGCTAAGGATAGGTCTGTGATGCAATTCTGGCCAGTGAGACATGATGGAAGAGCTGCTGGGTGAAATTCTGGGAAAAGTTCCCTTACTCTTTAAAAGATGGATCCAGGAGAAGAGAGTCTCTTTTGCTGGGTGTTGTCATATCTGGAGGTGATGCCTGGAACTGTGGCAGCTGTCTTGTGATTATGAGGGAAGCTGGCCTGAAAACAGACTGGCCCACTGAAGAGGAGGGCAGCATGGAATGTGGAATAAACCTGGGTCCCTGTTGGCTTCCTGCGGCCCTGATCTAACCAGCCCTGAGCTGTCCTACCTCTGCACTGCTTGGCACAGGAGACACATCTTGATTGTTTAAGCCCCTTTGAGTTGGGTTTTCTGTTCCTTGCAGCTGACAGCACTCTAACCAATCCACACATTTCCCTCTGCTCGATTTCCTGCTCCAGAGAGACAGGCACAGACCAGTACCGGGCAGCCCCACTCTGGGGAAAAACAACAGTGCTTATTGTTTGCCGGCACAGTGGGAGCTCTGCCTCCTGGCACAGTGGGAGCTCTGCCTCCTGTGGCAGGCTGGCCATTCCAAAACCACACTGCCTGCCACTGCCATAAAGAGGCCAGGACTGTGTTCAAAACCCCAGGCAGCAGGAGGAGTGGTTTGTGGGAGGTGTTGTGGTAGTGCATAAAGGAAGGTCATTTCCTGACCCTCAGAACCCACACTGCCCTCAGCCCCACACAGCCCTACCCAGCCCAGCATCGCCCCCAGTGCCCCTGGAGACAATAATGGCAGCCACCCACTGGCTGCTCCTGTGCGGGCAGGGCAGGAAAGCTGGTGGTTAAGTGCTGGAGAACCCCCAGGCCCTGGGGCTTGGCCGGAAAGGATTTCTGTAGAGACAGCGTGGACATTCTGTCCTCTGCAGGCCGCCTGGTACAGGATGAAAACAGGCCGGCTCAGTACTTTTTTGGCAACCGATTATATAGATTTGCATCCACATGAGCTCCCTCTTGCAATGACCCAGGCCCCCACGAGGGCTCTCCCCACAGTCATTTGTGTTGAGAACGCTCTGAGCCCTTGAGCCTCCTTCCTCTCTGGGAAAGGGACTTTTTGGCAGTGAGAAGGACCTAGAGGGAGGCACTTCTGGAGGCATTTCCTTTCCGGGAGGAAATGCTCCAGGGCTCTCCTCCATCCACCAACAGCCTCCAAGTTGAGTAAGTGGCAGCGAAGGTCACGCCTGAGCTGGCAGCCATGGAACCTCACCTCCTACTTTTCCAGCTTTGTTCCCAAAGACGTCCCTCCACGAGCTTGTGCTCATGCCATGCCTATGCTGGAAGCCCTTGCTGTCTGCAGGTGGCGATGTGACCCGGGCCTGGCCCTGGGGATTTGTTCAGGCGTGTCACTCTTTCTGACCAAAGGGGACCAGCCTTGGGGCTTTTGTGGAAACCTCTGAGAAAGGGAGGTCCACAATTCTGGTTTCCTAGCTGGAGAGAATACGCCTGGCCCTGCTGGCAACCATCTTTCCCACCCAAGGGAGTCAGCCTGGACATTTTAGTCACTTGAGTCAATAAATTCTGTTTGTAAAGAAAAAAAAATCGCTTTGAGCCGGGCTTTCTGTGGCTTACAGTGGAAACTCATTAGTAATATAAATGCAGATATCCCTCTTAGGCCAAAGTAATCTCTCCTTTCTTGCTCGCTCTATACCACACACACCTGCTTCATTGGCATTTACTGTTTCCCCACCTGCACGGGTGACCTCAGCCCCCCTGCACAAAGGCCTGGACGTCGCTGCCTCTGCAGCTGCCCCAGATCCAGGTGCCATTAATTTTACCCTCAAGTTGCGCTAAACTACTCAGTGAATTATTGTTGGTCCAATAAAACCACTTTTGTTTTATTTATTCTTTTGTCTCCACACTCACTCCCATTCCCTTCCCCTGCATGGGCAACATGCTCCCCATAGATTCCCCCACCTCCTGTGCTGCTTTAAAAATGCTCTTTCAAAAGAGATACAGTCTTTATGTGTTTTTTAATGTCTGCAAATGGTAATGTTTGGGTTCCCATGTTGCTTCTTCCTTTTTAAACTCAGTCCTGTGTTCAGGCCCATCCATGTTGCTATGTGTGCCTTTCATCTCTCCTTGTGGCTGCATAATTCTCCATGGTGTGGACCATTCCCATTTTGTCTCTCCGTTCTCCCCAGGATAGAAACCCTAGGGTGCCTCCCGCAGCCCCCATCCCCACACTACCACAAAGAACTCTGCAGTGAACATCTTGGTGTGCATGTTTGACGAATGTGTCAATTTCTTTTACATCTCTACCTGGAAATGGAATAGCAGGGGTGTAAGGGATGCATACTATTGATCAAAATCCCTCCACAATGGTGGCTCTGGTCTACACTCCACAAGCAGTGCCCTCATCAACTTCCCCACTTCCCCACCCAACATGAAGACTTCTTTTTTTTTTCTTTTTGAGGCAGGGTCTCACTTGTTGCCCTGGCTACTTAGAGGTGCGATCATAGCTCACTGCAGCCCCAAACTCCTGGGCTCATGGGATCCTCTCACCTCAGCCTCCTGAGTAGCTGGGATGACAGGCATCTGCCACTGTGCCCAGCTCCAATACTTGTCTCTTCCTAGATTAGTTTTGCCTAAAAGATTGCATTAGTTTTCTACAGCTGCAGAACAAGTTAACACAAATCGTGTGGCTTAAAACACCATTTATTTTTCATCTCCCATTTTCTGTGGGCCAGGATTCTGGGCTCGGCTTAGCTGGGTGCTCTGCTCAGACTGTAACCCGGTGTTGGCCAGGCTGCATTCTCATCAGAGGCTCCACTGGAGAAAGATCTGATTCCAGGCTGCCTCAGGTGGCTGGCAGTATTCATCTCCGAGTGGTTGTAGAACTCAAGGAGACTTGCTTCTTCAATGTCAGCAGGAGAGATAGTCTCATACCTTTACATCCTTTTTTAAAGGGCTCACCTGATTAGATGCACCCTGGATGATGTCCTTTTTCATTAACATAAAGTCAACTGATCAGGGACTTTAATTACATTGGCAAATTCTTTTCCCCTTTTCCATATGGCACATCATCACCTTTGTTAGAATCTATTAATTAGAAGCACATTTACCAGGAGAGGATTACAGAAGTGCTTGCCTATTGGAGTTCAGCTGAGAATTTTGCCTACCATGTATGTATAAGGTTGTATCTAGTTCAAATTGTAGTAAAGCACACAGAACATAAAGTTTCCCATCTTAACCACTGTTAATTGTACACTTTAGTGGTATCAAATACTTTCACATTGTTGTGCAACCATTACCACCATCCATCTCAAGAACTCTACTTTTGTGAAACTGAAACACTGTGTCCAATTAGATACTAACTTCCCATTCCGTTTTTGCCCCAGCCCTTGGCAATCATTCTATTTTCTGTTTCTATGAATTTGATTATTCTAGGTATCACATGTAAGTGGAATACTGTCTTTTTGTGACTGGCTATTCCACTTAGCATAATGCCCTCAAGGTTCATCCACGATGTAGCCTGTCACAGGATTCTCTCCCTTTCTAAGGCTGAATCATATTTTATTGCATGTATAGACCACATTTTGTTCATGCATTCGTCTATCAATGGACACTTGCTTCCACTTTTTGGTTCCTATGAATGCTGCTGCTATGAACTTGGATATACAATATCTCTTTAACATCCTGCTTTCAATCCTTTTGGGAATACGTCCAGAAGTGGAAATTCTTGGTCATACGGTAATTCTATTTGAATTTTTTTTTAGGAATGGCCATGTTGTTGTCCACAGTGGCGGCACCATTTTACATACCCACCGGTAGTGCACAAGGGTCTAATGTCTCACTCCTCACCAACACTCGGTATTTTCGGGTTTTCTTGACAGTAGCTATTCTAGTGGGTATGAAGTGCTATCTCACTGTAGTTTTCATCTGCATTTCCCTTATTCTGGGTGATTCTCAGCACCTTTTTTTGTGCTCATTGACCATCTGTGTATCTTTTTTGGAGAACTATTTCCTCATATATCTTATTGTTAGAATGTGTATTTCTGTACTAATGATCTTAGCCACTTCCTCATATGCTTCCTGGCTTTTGGGGTTTCCTCTCCCAAAAACTGCCTGCTCGTGTCCTTTGTCTATTTATTTTTCTTGTTAATTTTCAGGAGTTCCTCGTATATTGAGGCTGCTAATCTCTTGTCAGTTTTAGACTGCACATAACTTCTCTCATTTTGCCATGTGTCACTTGCAACAGATCTATTTGATTGTAACATCATGAAATCCCCTCCACTTTTTCTGCCTTATGGTTTCTGCTTTGAAATTTTGTCTAAGAAATCTTTTACTCCTTTTGGTAAGTTCCCCTGTGTGTTTTGTTTTCTAACATGTTATAATCTGGCCATTCATGGTGGTCATCATGAAAAGCAATCCCATATAAGGTGGATGCTCAGATTATGGATTAAAGAATCAATTAGTCACTTCCAAGATGGCCAAGTAGGAACAGCTCCGTTCTGCAGCTTCCAGTGAGATTGACACAGAAGATGGGTGATTTCTGCATTTCCAACTGAGGTTCCTGGTTCATCTCACTGGGACTTGTTGGACAGTGGGTGCAGCCCATGGAGGGTGAGCCGAAGCAGGGCGGGGCATTGCCTCACCTGGGAAGTGCAAGAGGTCAGGGGATTTCCCTTTCCTAGCCAAGGGAAGCCGTGACAGACTGTACCTGGAAAAACGGTACACTTCTGCCCAAATACTGCACTTTTCCCATGGTCTTAGCAACCAGCAGACCAGAAAATTCCCTCCCGTGCCTGGCTCAGTGAGTCCCATGCCCATGGTCCTTTGCTCTCTGCTAGCGCGGCAGTCTGAGATCGACCTGCGAGGTGGCAGCCTTGTGGGAGGTGGTGGAGGGGCGTCTGCCATTGCCGAGGCTTGAGTAGGTAAACAAAGCTGCCAGGAAGCTTGAACTGGGTGGAGCCCACTGCAGCTCAGCAAGGCCTACTACCTTTATAGACTCAACCTCTGTGGGCAGGGCATAGCTGAACAAAAGGCATCAGACAACTTCTGCAGACTTAAAACGTCCCTGTCTGACAGCTCTGAAGAGAGCAGTGGTTCTCCCAGCATGGCGTTCGAGCTCTGAGAACAGACAGACTACCTCCTCAAGTGGGTCCCTGATCCCTGTGTAGCCTGACTGGGAGACACCTCCCAGTAGGAGCCAACAGACACCTCACACAGGCAGGTGCCGCTCTGGGATGATGCTTCCAGAGGAAGGATCAGGCAGCAATATTTGCTGTTCTGCAGCCTCCCCTTGTGATACCCAGGCAAACAGGTCTGGAGTGGACCTCCAGCAAACTCCAAAAGACCTGCAGCTGAGGGTCCTGACTGTTAGAAGGAAAACTAACAAACAGAAAAGAATAGCATCAACATCAACAAAAAGGACATCCACACCAAAACCCCATCTGTAGGTCACCAACATCAAAGACCAAAGGTAGATAAAACAACAAACATGGAGAGAAACCAGAGCAGGAAAGCTGAAAATTCCAAAAATCAGAGCGCCTCTTCTCCAAAGGATCGCAGCTGCTCACCAGCAACGGAACAAAACTGGACAGAGAATGACTTTAATGAGTTGACAGAAGTAGGCTTCAGAAGGTAGGTAGTAACAAACTTCTCTGAGCTGAAGAATATTCTAACCCATTGCAAAGAAGCTAAAAACCTTGAAAAGATTTTTAAGGTTTGTCTTAATCTAACCTTGATTAGACAAATGGCTAACTAGAATAAACAGTGTAGAGAAGACCTTAAATGACCTGATGGAGCTGAAAAGCAGGGCATGAGAACTTCATGACACATGCACAAGCTTCAGTAGCCAATTCGATCAAGTGGAAGAAAGGGTATCAGTGATTGAAGATGAGTTGAATGAAATGAAGTGAGAAGAGTCTAGAGAAAAAAGACTAAAAAGAAATGAACAAAGCCTCCAAGAAATATGGGACTAGTGAAAAGACCAAATCTACATTTGATTGGTGTACCTGAAAGTGATGGGGAGAACGGAACCAAGTTGGAAAACACTCTTCAGGATATTATCCAGGAGAACTTCCCCAACCTAGCAAGGCAGGCCAACATTCAAATTCAGGAAACACAAAGAACACCACAAAGACACTCCTTGGGAAGAACAACCCCAAGACACATAATTGTCAGATTCACCAAGGTTGAAATGAGGAAAAAATATTAAGGGCAGCCAGAGGGAAAGGTCGGGTTACCCACAAAGGGAAGCCCATCAGACTAACAGCGGATCTCTCAGCAGAAACTCTACAAGCCAGAAGAGAATAGGGGCCAATATTCAACATTCTTCAAAGAACTTTCAAGCCAGAATTTCATATCCAGCCAAACTAAGGTTCATAAGTGAAGGAGAAATAAAATCCTTTACAGACAAGCAAATGCTGAGAGATTTTGTCACCACCAAGCCTGCCTTACAAGAGCTCCTGAAGGAAGCACTAAACATGGAAGGGAACAACCAGTACCAGCCACTGCAAAAACATGCCAAATTATAAAGACCATTGATGCTATGAAGAAACTGCATCAATTAACAGGCAAAATAGCCAGCTAACATCATAATGACAGGATCAAATTCACACATAACAATATTAACCTTAAATGTAAATGGGCTAAATGCTCCAATTAAAAGACACAGACTGGCAAATTGGATAAAGAGTCAAGACCCATCATTGTGCTGTATTCAGGAGACCCATCGCACGTGCACAGACACACATAGGCTCAAAATAAAGGGATGGAGGAAGATCTACCAAGCAAATGGAAAGGGAAAAAAAGCAGGGGTTGCAATCCTAATCTCTGATAAAACAGACTTTAAACCAACAAAAATCAAAAGAGACAAAGAAGGCCATTACATAATGGTAAAGGGATCAATTCAACAAGAAGAGCTAACTATCCGAAATACATAGGCACCTAATACAGGAGCACCCAGATTCATAAAGCAAGTCCTTAGAGATCTACAAAGAGACTTAGACTCCCACACTATAATAATTGGAGACTTTAACACCCCACTGTCAACATTAGGCAGATCAATGAGACAGAAGGTTAACAAGGATATCCAGGACTTGAACTCAGCTCTGCACCAAGTGGAACTAATAGCCATCTACAGAACTCTCCACCCCAAATCAACAGAATATACATTCTTCTCAGCACCACATCACACTTATTCTAAAATTGACCACATAATTGGAAGTAAAATACACCTCAGCAAATGTAAAAGAACAGAAAGCACAACAAACTGTCTCTCAGACCACAGTGCAATCAAATTAGAACTCAGGATTAAGAAGCTCACTCAAAGCCACACAACTACATGGAAACTGAACAACCTGCTCCTGAATGACTACTGGGTAAATAATAAAATGAAGGCAGAAATAAAGATGTTCTTTGAAACCAATAAGAACAAAGACACGATGTATCAGAATCTCTGGGACACATTTAAAGGACTGTGTAGAGGGAAATTTATAGCACTCAATGCCCACAAAAGAAAGCAGGAAAGATCTAAAATTGACACCCTAACATCACAATTAAAATAACTAGAGAAGCAAGAGCAAACACATTCAAAAGCTAGCAGAAGACAATAAATAACTAAGATCAGAGCAGAACTGAAGGAGATAGAGACACAAAAACCCCTTCCAGAAATCAATGAAACTAGGAGCTGGTTTTTTGAGAAGATCGACAAAATAGACCACTAGCAAGACTAATAAAGAAGAAAAGAGAGAAGAATCAAATAGACACAATAAAAAATGATAGAGGGGATATCACCACCAATCCCACAGAAATACAAACTACCATCAGAGAATATTATAAACACTTCTATGCAAATAAACTAGAAAATCTAGAAGAAATGGATAAATTCCTGGACACATACACCTTCCCAAGACTAAACCAGGAAGAAGCTGAATCTCTGAATAGACCAATAACAGGTTGCGAAATTGAGGCAATAATTAATAGCCTACAAACCAAAAAAAGTCCAGGAGCAGATGGATTCACAGCCGAATTCTACCAGAGGTACAAAGAGGAGTTGGTACTATTCCTTCTGAAACTATTCCAAGCAATAGAAAAAGAGAGAATCCTCCCTAACTCATTTTATGAGGCCAGCATCATCCTGATACCAAAGCCTGGCAGAGACACGACAAAAAAATTGAATTTTAGACAAATATCCCTGATGAACATCGATGCAAAAATCCTCAATAAAATACTGGCAAACTGATTCCAGGCAAACTGAATCAAAAAGTTTATCCAGCACAATCAAGTTGGTTTCATCCCTGGGATGCCAGACTGGTTCAACATACACAAACCAATAAACGTAATCCATCACATAAACAGAACCAACAACAAAAACCACATGGTTATCTCAATAGATGCAGAAGAGGCCTTTTGACAAAATTCAACAGCCCTTCATGCTAAAAACTCTCAATAAACTAGGTATTGATGGAACGTATCTCAAAATAATAAGAGCTATTTATGACAAACCCACAGCCAATATCATACTAAATGGGCAAAAACTGGAAGCATTCCCTTTGAAAACCAGCACAAGAGAAGGATGCCCTCTCTCACCACTCCTATTCAACATAGTGTTGGAAGTTCTGGCCAAGGCAATCGGGCAACAGAAAGAAATAAAGAGTATTCAATAAGGAAAAGAGGAAGTCAAATTGTCCCTGTTTGCAGATGACATGATTGTATATCTAGAAAACCCCATCGTCTCAGCCCAAAATCTCCTTAAGCTGATAAGCAACTTCAGCAAAGTCTCAGGATACAAAATCAATGTGCAAAAATCACAAGTATTCGTATGCACCAATAAGAGACAAACAGAGAGCCAAATCATGAGTGAGCTCCCATTCACAATTGCTTCAAACAGAATAAAATACCTAGGAATCCAACTTACAAGGGATGTGAAGGACCTCTTCAAGGAGAACTACAAACCACTGCTCAACAAAATAAAAAAGGACACAAACAAATGGAAGAACATTCCATGCTCATGGATAGGAAGAATCAATATCATGAAAATGGCCATACTACCCAAGGTAATTTATAGATTCAATGCCATCCCCATCAAGCTACCAATGACTTTCTTCACAGGATTGGAAAAAACTACTTTAAAGTTCATATGGAACCAAAAAAGAGCCTGCATTGCCAAGTCAATCCTAGGCCAAAAGAACAAAGCTGGAAGTGTCACACTACCTGACTTCAAACTATACTACAAGGCTACAGTAACCAAAACACCATAGTACTGGTATCAAAACAGAGATATAGACCAATGGAACAGAACAGAGCCCTCAGAAATAATGTCACACATCTAAAACCATCTGATCTTTGACAAACCTGACAAAAACAAGAAATGGGGAAAGGATTCCCTATTTAATAAATGGTGCTGGGAAAACTGGCTAGCCATATGTAGAAAGCTGAAACTGGATCCCTTCCTTACACCTTATACAAAAATTAATTCAAGATGGATTAAAGATTTAAATGTCAGACCTAAAACCATAAAAACCCTAGAAGAAAACCTAGGCAATACCATTCAGGACATAGGCATGGGCAAGGACTTCATGACTAAAACACCAAAAGCAATGGCAACAAAAACCAAAATTGACAAATGGGATCTAATTAAACTAGAGAGCTTCTGCATAGCAAAAGAAACTGCCATCAGAGTCAACAGGCAACCTGTAGAATGGGAGAAAATTTTTACAATCTACCCATCTGACAAAGGGCTAATATCCAGAATCTACAAAGAATTTAAACAATTTCACAAGAAAAAATCAAACAACCCCACAAAAAAGTGGGCGAAGGATATGAACAGACATTTCTCAAAAGAAGACATTTATGCAGCCAACAGACACATGAAAAAATGCTCATCATCACTGGCCATCAGAGAAATGCAAATCAAAACCACAATGAGATACCATCTCACACCAGTTAGAATGGCAATCATTAAAAAAGTCAGGAAACAACAGGTGCTGGAGAGGATATGGAGAAATAGCAACACTTTTACACTGTTGGTGGGACTGTATACTAGTCCACCCATTGTGGAAGACAGTGTGGCAATTCCTCAAGTATCTAGAACTAGAAATACCATTTGACCCAGTGATCCCATTACTGGGTATATACCCAAAGGACTATAAATCATGCTGCTATAAAGACACATGCACACGTATGTTTATTGTGGCACTATTCACAATAGCAAAGACTTGGAACCAACCTAAATGTCCATTAATGATAGACTGGATTAAAAAAATGTGGCAAATATACACTGTGGAATACTATGCAGCCATAAAAAAGGATGAGTTCATGTCCTTTGTAGGGACATGGATGAAGCTGGAAACCATCATTCTGAGTAAACTATCGCAAGGACAGAAAACCAAACACCGCATGTTCTCACTCATAGGTGGGAATTGAACAGTGAGAACACTTGGACGCAGGATGGGGAACATCACACACCAGGGCCTGTCAATGGGGTGAGGGGAGGGGGGAGGGATAGCATTAGGAGACATACCTAATGTAAATGACAAGTTAATGGCTGCAGCACACCAACATGGCACATGTATACATATGTAACAAACCTGCACGTTGTGCACAGGTACCCTAGAACTTAAAGTATAATAAAAAATCATATGAGAAAAAAAAAAACCTTCGCACGTACCCCTTGAACCTAAAATAAAAGGTGGGAAGACAGAAATAAAATAAAAGAGATTGTCAGTGTAGATTAAAAAGTTGGACTCAACTATATGTAGTCTACAAGAAACACATTCTAAATATAAAGATGCACCTGCATAAATTAAAGGGATGCAGAAAGATATACCATACTAACACTTATCAAAAATACCCCCAACATATCTCTATTAATTTCAGGCAGAGCAGCCTTAAAGAGCAATAAAAGTTACCATAGATAAAGAAGGACATTACCTAAGAAAAAGGAGTCAATTCTCCAAGAAGACATGACAATCCTGCATGTGTGTATGCACCTAACAACAGAGCATAGAAATATGTTTAATTTACACTTATCTTCTTATGAGCCATGTTGCGTAACTTTTCACATGTTTAAGATCAACTTCCAATTATTTTCCTATGAAATCTCTCTGTGTATCTTTTTAATTTTTTCAATATATTGTTGGTCTATTTCCCCTAAATTTGTAAGAACTATTTGTATATTAGAGATAGCACCCCTTTGTCTATGATATAAGTTGCAAACCTATTTTCCCACTCTTTCATTTGTTTTCTGACTGTGGTGGTAGTCTTTTCTTGCCATGCAAAAAATTTTGTTTTGTTTGTCTTTGATGTAGTTGAATTGACCAGTCTTTTAAAATTGTGTCATTATTAGATGAGCGACTTTCTTTCCAGCTCACCTGAGAATGTGTTTTCCTGTTGAGCTACAGAATGAGCATTGGGTACTTTGTGTTCCTCTGAGAAAGAGAAGAGGTGTGTCTGGCAGCCAGGAGTTGACCTGGTCCTATCTGCTGGGCATTGGCGATGCTGTGAGCTGCCTGGCACCCACAGATGGATGTTGATGTTCTCTTGTGAGCATAAACAATTCCATAGAACATCTGCTTCAGACCATATCATTTTGTGCCAATACTTAAGACAAAAACAAGACCTCTTCATAATCATGTCTGAGCATGAGCAAAGCATGAGCATTGTTCATATCACACAAATGACCAATGTGTCTCTATTCTAGCTAAGATGAGTAACTACTGTTTCTTCACCAACTACAGCTTTAACGTTCTTTACCAATTATAGCCTTAACCCATTAAGGCTTTAATGCAGGTTTACATCTTTCCACATAAGATTTATTAAGATACCCTACTATGCTAGAATTACCCCCACTTCGTGACAACACCCAATTCAGAACGAAGCCCCATTTCCTTAAACCCTTCTCCCAGATTATTGCCTAACACAACCCCAAATCTTCTAAGTCCTTTCTGTTGTCCTCTTAGTGAGACACCCCACCGTTCCCTGTAGTTTGTATTCTCCCTCACTTAACCAGTAATAACTCACTTCTTCAACTACAGGTGTGTTCATGGTGGCCTTTGATTGGAGCCCATTAACATCTCCACTTTTCCTGGTAGCCCAAGGGAATGGGGAGGCAGTAGAGGGAAAGGGCAGCTGAGGGCTCTGAGCATTGGTTAGAATGCTTGGGCAACAGATGGCTCTTCCTGTTTCAGTACCATGAGGACTCCCCTGGGCATTGGATTGCTTTCCTCATTCCATGTGTAGCCTTGACTTCTCTTAGAGGAAGTGCACCCTGATGTCCCTCCACCTTGTTTCTCCTGTTTCTCCCCAGCATCTGTTTCCACCAGTCACCAGCAAGGGGAGGATCGTATAAGGACACCCTTCAGTGTCAGTGTGCTTCACTATGCTCAAAATCACCGGATTTGGAGGTGGATGTGGAGGGTGGGGCTGGAGGACGGAAGAGGAACTTAGGAGCTAAATGCTGTCCCTCTCTATTTTGCTCCAGAATGTTCTTTTCCTTTCTCTCTTTGAGTCACCAGTTTCTTTACTGTATTAGGCTATGCCCCTTTCCTTGTTTTATTGCTATCAGTCATTTCTTATTGGCCTTTATAATTTTATTAGTACCAGGATGGAAAACTCTACAATATTGTTTTTCTCCAATACCGAAGGCATCTCCTCTCCTCATCCCTGCTCTTTCCCTCCAGTTAAAAAAGATAAATAAACACTCCCTGTTGACAAATGTCTTTTCTCTTTTCTGTAGACTCTGCGAGTTCTCCTTTCAGTTTATGCTTTTGGAAACAAAAGTCCTTGTCTGTCCTTCAGGTGTGAGTCAGAGCCAGATTCCTGACTAAATGGAGGGAAGGTTAAGAAAAAATACAATGAGAAATTCATTATAAGAAATTATTTTGTTGTCATCTAGTCATGTAAGTTTTTTCTTTAGTGGTGGTAACATGTGCTCATTCATCGTAGTTCGTTGCTCATGCCACGTGGTCATTGTCTCATGCTTATGGGCACCTCTCTTTAGTGACACCCACCTATTGGGGGGTCCCATTTGTAAAGAATTTTGTTGATGTGCTGAATACAAATTGATTTCCTAGAGTCTTGTCTGTTTTGGGCTGCTATAAAAGAATACCATAGACTGAGTAATTTATAAAGAACAGAAATTTGTTTTTTCCACAGTTCTGGAGGCTGGGAAGTCCAAAATCCAGGGGCCATTAGATTCATTGTCAGGTGAGTGTCTGGTCTCTGTTTCCAAGATGTCGCCTTGAAGGCTGCATCTTCCAGAGAGGAGGAGTGCTGTGTCCTCACATGGCAGGAGACTGAAGGGCAAAAGGAGTCTAACTTCCTCCATCATTCCTTTTTCTAAGCATATCTAATCCTATTCATGAAGGCAGAGCCCTCATAGCCTAATCACCTCCCAAAAGGCCCCACCTCTTAATACTATCACATTTGTAATATTTGATTTCTGGAGGGGATACATTCAAACCATAGCAGATGCTCATGAAAGTAGAAACAGTGGCTAATGCCAGAGAAAGAAGCTGAGGATCTGGGAAGTCTTACTTGTGGATTTTACGTTATATGTTCCATTCCCACATGTAAATAAATGAGTTAATTGAAATGGAAGAAAATGAAGAAAGATGGAGAATTGTGTCATGGAACAATGGACAGCAGTCATAACATAATGGGTGAAAACAAAGCTCAAATACATGAGGATGATTATATCTTTAACGGTATCTCGAAGCTGTAAGAGATCAAGTCTTGACTTCTATGTTAAAAAAGAAAGAAAACTGATGACCCATATTTAAACTGAGGCATGTGACATTTCTGCTCTACTCAGCACTCTTCACTCATCTAACAAAAATTCATTATGGCTTCTTATGTTCCAGGCACTGGGCTAGGTGTTTAAGGAAGACAGAGGGAGGAAATAAAAATTTTTATAAAACAGTCTTTGTCCTCAAGCAGCTCACAGGGCAGAGAGACCCTGACAGAGTAGAGATTTCATGAAGAGTGGGGATGGGAAGGGCATTCTCTCCATACGCATCCCTGTCCCACCTCGGAGATTTCCTCCTCAGAACGCTACCTCTTACTGCTTTCCTGCCTCACTCTTTCCAGCTCTCAGTTTAGAAGGTGTTTCCTCAGAGCACCTTTGCTGACCTCTCAAGTCTGGTGAAAGGCCCTTCTCACTGGTGCCTGGATGCCCTGTGTGCTCCTGTCATACACACAACACAGCATAGTAAAATGCCTGGTGTATGTGTTTGTCTTTTCAATACTCTGAGCTCTGCTCATTGGCAAATCTCAGGACATAGCACAAGATGTGGCCCCTAAATGTTAACTGAATGAACGAATGGAATCACTGGTATCTCTTTAGCTTGAAGAATAGAAAGCCCTTGTAGGACAAAGAAGATTGGGAGAAATGTGAAGTCTGGCGTGGACTCTGTCAGAAGGCAGAACTGAACCAATGGATGGACTTAGAAGAGAGAGACTTCGGTTTCACATCAGGAATGATATCATAGTCAGAACTCACCACACACATAATAGGTTAGATGAGGGAGGAGGGAGTCCTTCATTGCAGGAGTTTTAAAGGTGAATACAAGAAATGGGAGGCACTTGGCCTGGCGCGGTGGCTCAGGTCTGTTAATCCCAGCACTTTGGGAGGCCGAGGCCGGTGAATCACAAGGTCAGGAGTCGAGACCAGCCTGGTCAAGATGGTGAAACCCTGTTTCTACCAAAATACAAAAATTAGCCGGGTGTGGTGGCGGGCACCTGTAATCCCAGCTATTTGGGAGGCTGAGGCAGAAGAATCACTTGAACCTGGGAGGCAGAGGTTGCAGCGAGCCAAGTTTGAGCCACTGCACTCTAGCCTGGGCGACAGAGCAAGACTCCGTCTAAAAAAAAAAAAAAAAAAGAAATGGGAGGCACTGAGTTTCTGGCTCAGTTTGTGATGCCAGAAATACAGAGATGACTGATCAGTAAAATCCACTAGAAAGTGTGTGACAGGTTTCTTTTTCCTTATATTTTTCTTTTTTAAATACAAAAGTAATAGCAGCCCACTGAAAATTTGAAAAGTATATGGCATTAAAAAGAGAAAAATAACATCTGATAATCCAACAAGATAAACTCTCTAAAATTTCTTTTCTCTTTTTAAATGAATATAGTTAAGCTTGAAATAGAATTTTAAATTTATCCTGATGTTTTACTCAACAGCGGAGAAGCATCTTTTATGTCATTATTTTAAGTCACAACCACTTTTAGTGATGATGATTAAAGAACCATTTGCTTTTTCCTTACTGTTCCCTGTTTTTAGATTTTTGGCTAGTGTCTAATTTTTCCCTGTTATAAATAATGCTGAGATGAACAGAATATGTAGATTTCTAATAATTTGCAAATGAACAGCATATGAAAAACATGGGCAAAAATTTTGCAGTTATAATTACTCAACACAAGTTTTAAATAAATTACTTTTATTTTGAGCGTTCATTCTTACATATGTTATAGGAAGTAAGAAGCATTCCTTACTCCTTAGAATTTTGTTTATAAATTAGTGATGAATTGGAAAGGGTAGCTTGCCCCTGGAATTCTCTGATAAGCACAGGTGATGAGGAAAATGGAGAAATCCAAGAATTCTTTTGTCTTTCCTTAAAAGTAGTCAACTTTAAGTGCAGTGCAGGCGTGCCCTCTAGCGGCCAAATAAAAAATAAATAGGCCTTCAGCCCTGTAACAATCGCACGTCCCCATCTAGTGGCTAACGTCTGTAAATGCAGCTTTTCTAATCACAATAGCGAATGTTACTTGATTTATATTTGTCTTAGGTGAAGAACTGGGAGGACTCTTAGAGATCACGTATTTCAACTTCCTCACGGAGTGGCATGCAGGCAGCAGCAGCCTTGGGAACCCCGATTGCCCCTCCTCACACCTGCCCATCACAGGACTTGGGCGACGGGGTGGTGAAGTCAGGCTGTGGCCCCAGCGGCGCCACGAGGCCGAAAACCGGCGCTCAGCCTCATCCCGGTGGCTGCGGAGTGCCAAGCGCCAGGTCCTGCGCTCTGGGCGTGGGTCAGGAGCAGCTGGCAAGGGCAGCGCAGCCTATGGGGCCTTTGGGCGCGGCCGGCCGCAGCTCCGGGAAGCCACGTCAGCCCACGGGCGCTGCAGCTGCAGCCGCCACCAGCACATGGAGCAGGGGTCCCCGAGGATTGGGAATCCCCGACCAGGCCTGCGCCTCCAGCCGCGCGGACCCCGGGGCCAGCCTGGCCGCGGCAAGTCAGGCAGTCTGCGGCAGGAGCGCCGGGCATGGGCTTCGGCCGGGGGTGCAGGAGGCGCGCACCCTCCGGCCGGATGGCGGCGCACTCAGGGCTCAGGAGGCCATCCCACGGGAGCCCCGCCAGCCCCCGCCGGAGCCCGAGCTGCAGTGCCGCCTGCAAGTGGTGCGCTGGCTGCAGCTGTGGCAACCCCGGATACCGTCCTCCCGCCTCGCACCCATCAGCGCGGACCCCGGGGGCGACGCAGTGGCGATGTCGGGCTGTGGGCCCAGCGGTGGCACTAGGCGGAGAAGCACCACTCAACCCCATCCCTGGGCTGCAGAGGGCCCAGCGCGGGGGGCTCCGAGCGTCGGGAGCCTGTGGAAGAGAAGAGCGCGCGGGCGACAGTTAAACAGGCCCTGGGGCAGGGCGCGCCTCGCGCTCCAGGGAGCCCCGCCCTCCCGCGGCACCTCCGCAGCAACCGCCGCCTGCACCGGGCGCGCGAGAGCTGCTAGGGCGGTTTCTCTGCCTCGGGCCTGTTGGGCAGGGCCGGCTAAGGTGCGCGTGCTCGCTGGTTCTAACCCTTCTGTTGGGCGTTTCTGCGGAGAGGCGGGAGGCGCTGAGAGTCTGCGCGGAGGTCCGTGCACAGACTGCTTTGCCTGTTGTTGCTCTTCGGAGGCGGCGATCCCCGAAGGCGAGCTGAAATACGGCTGCAGGCTACAATTTGCAGCCGACGATTAAGGAAGACGACGAGCGGGAGAGGTGGCCCACCCTCATGGAGCGCTTGTGCTCGGATGGCTTCGCATTTCCCCATTACTACATTAAACCGTATCATCTGAAGAGGATCCACAGAGCTGTCTTACGTGGTAATCTGGAGAAACTGAAGTACCTTCTGCTCACGTATTATGACGCCAATAAGAGAGACAGGAAGGAAAGGTAATGGGGGCCGGGAGCCGGGGCTGCGGGAGGAGGCCTGTGGATGTGGAGAAGTACCCCTTTGCAGGCTGAGGGCTGCGGGGCGGATGGTCCGGGGCTCGGGGTATGGACGGGGGCTAGGGGGTGCCTGGCTGGGGTGGGAGTGAGTGGAGCGGGGCCTGGGGAGTGGCGGTATATGGGGTGGCGGGGTGTGGAGTGAGTTGGGGGATGGGAGTGGGGAGTAGGGGGTGCATGGGGTGGGGGCGTGAATGGGCTGAGGTGGATGGAATGAAGGCTTGGGGGGTAGGGGCGTGGATGGTGTGGGGTGGGGAGATGGGGTGAGGGTTCAATGGGATAGAGGACTGGAGGTGGGGGTGAGGTGTGGGGGTGAATGGGGTGGGGGAAAGGGGTGCAGAGGTGAGGGGGGCGAGTCCTGTCACCAAAGGGGCTGGACTTTCTTTCCTGGCAGGCTCAGCCGCACCTGGGATGTGGAAACCTTGGCGGGGGCGAGCACCCAGGTCATTTTCACAAGCAGCAAAACAAAAACAAAACTTCAGCTGGTTTCCAATCACTCACCATGCTGCTTCTTTATAAATCATTTTAAAGTGATTTCACTAATAAAATTCAGCATGTACAGCGTTTTATTTTTAACGTGCACATTTTAAAGCATAATGTTACATACATTATGGAAAGGTGCATAATGAGAGAAATCATTTCCATAATATATCAACTTCCTGGCTAAAAATTCTTTGGATAAAAATCCAATATTTATTTGATATCAATGGACACCTATGTCAATTTGGTTTTCACTGAGGGACCTTAGAGGGAAACTTTGAAGTGGGAAGATGGTCTGTGTTCTTGAATAGAAAGACACATTTTTCTAAAGTTCTGAGCTCTTTCTGTGTTTATAAATTTTACATAATCCAAATAAAGTTATCAAAGTGTTAACATTTTTGAATTACTCATGCTGTCTTTTACTATTGTGACGACATTAAGAAAACTTTTGAAATGGAGTCAAAAAAGACTTGCCTTTCTAGATATGAAAATGTGCTGTTAATTTCCACAAGTTATTTACTAACAGCTGAAACAACAAATCAGTGAATGGAACAGGTTAGAAAATCCAGGAACACACCAATATGTGTAAGAATATATTAGGTTGGTGCAAAAGCAATTGCGGTTTTTGCCGCAATTACAAGTAATGGCGAAAACCGCAATTGCCTTTGCACCAATCTAATAGAATTGGATAATGGTGACATTTCATATTAGTAGGAAAAGATGAATTACTCATAAATGAAGTGCCTGCTAACTATTTGGAGAAATCTGGCTAGATTTTCATGTCACAGAAATAAGTTCGTTATGGAATGTAGATTAAAAATTTTAAATGCACAAAATAAGAAAGATAACAGAAAAAAACACAAATGCCTACTTATATTGATGCATGTTTATATTCCTACAAATATCACAAGCACACATTCTGAAGGTCGATTTAGCAAAATAAAAAAAATCCAGTTTATAAGAAAAAATTAACAAAAGACAATATGTGTGTATACATATTAGATAAAAAAGTGATTTTCATTTTACAGAGAATTCTTCAAATAAACAAGAACTCTCATTTAAAATAGAGCAAAGCATTTATTTTTCAGATATTCAAGCAACCTATGCACATGGGAAAAAATATTTAGTGTTCCTGGGAGGAGAAGGTATTTAAGTTAAAAAAAGAATGAAATACTGTTTTCTATCCACAAGTTTGTGAGGGTAAAGGGTAGCAGTACATATACTGCTGTTGAAAGTTTACATTTCTGATGACTTTTCAAATAGACAATTTGTTGGTAAGTATCACACTGTAAAAATGTATGTGCCCTTCACCCATCAATTCCGTTATACTAAAATATCTCTAGGAAATAGAGATACATGCAATTTGTTTTTCTCAGCACTGCTTAAAATAGCAGTGTATTTGGAAAACCCCTTATAGTGGATTTTATAAATTTTATAAATTTATCAATAAATTTCAGTGCATCCATAGGATGGGACAATATGGGACCTTTGCAGATGTCAGTAGATACAGATGTATGTTGAGGTGTGAAGATGTACTCTGAAAAAAAGTTGGTTTGATTATACATACACACAAACAATCTATGGTGTTAGTAAGCCAAATATGTGTACAAAATATAACATTTCTTCTTTTCTGGCAGGTGTATTGTGATATTTTTTCTTATCTGTGATGTATAAATGATCAGCATGTTTAAAACTTCTAGTAAATGTTTTTTATTAATGAAATTATCCTTGGGAAAAGAAGAAATATAAATCTTGCAAAGAAAAAAAATTCTCAGTTTCTATTTTATTATTAATTTCTTCGTTTGTTTGTTTATTTTTGAGATGGAGTCTCACCCTGTCGCCCAGCCTGCAGTGCAGTGGCATGATCTCAGCTCACTGCAATCTGCCTCTCAGGTTCAAGTGATTCTCCCACCTCAGCCTCCTGAGTAGCTGGGATTACAGGTGTGCGCCACCATGCCCAGCTAATTTTTGTATATTTTAGTAAAGACGGGGTTTCACCATGTTGACCAGGCTGGTCTCAAACTCCTGACCTCAGGTGATCCCCCCGCCTCGGCCTCCCAAAGTTCTGGGATTACAGGTGTGAGCCACTGTGCCTGGCCTTATTTTTATTTTTTTGTTTATTGGTATCTTCTGTGAACTTTTAGCCTCTTCAGAGGCAGAGGGAATATTTTTATTTGTGCTTGATTATTTTATTATGCATAGATTTTAGTATATACATAAGTTTTTATTATAGTTTTATTACATATAAGGAAACAATTTTAAATTAATTATTTTAGTTTATCAGTGTCCTCATGAAAATGAAAATGAGCAAATATAAGTGATTATCACTATTCCAAAAGCACTGCTTTAATTTATAGTTTTTTTCACAATAAACTTCCCAACTGTATGTATGCATTCTTTCAATCCAGTTATTCATCAAGCATAACCTGAATACCTATTATGTAGCAGACACATTCCACCATCTCTCAGGACTCTTCCACCCTTAACAACTTCATGTTTACCTGCCCAGCCTGAGCAAGCTGAGATTTAAAATGGAAGCATTAGGACTGAATCCCAGTTGGATCTTTTATTCCTTTTTTTTTTTTTAAACAAAAGCAATTCTGAAGTTAGAAAATAGTGAAAGATAACCTTTAACTGCCATTTCAAAAACTTATGACAGTCTCAAATACTACTATTAATCATTGCAAATACCTAATTTACATAACATTCTGTAAGTATTGAAAAAAATGAGCCATACCTATTCATTTGAATCCTGAGTTTTCTTTGGATTATTTTTTTTTGAAAGTTGAAGTAAGAATTACTTTGTTTTAAAAATTTGTTTTTTTATTTTTGCCTTCTTTTTCCACAGTACTTCATTTAGGTGCCAATTATATGAATAGAACTGCCTGTTCTATGAACTGTATCCCACTTAATGTAAGGCATCACGGATTGGGTGATGCCACATTACTTTATATATCGATAAGATAATGTTTAAAATGTTGCCAGTTATAAATGTAATAAATAATGAATTGTAAACAGTTTTCCAATGTCAGGAGATGTTAATATATAAGAGAATAGTAGCTTATATAAGAGAATAGTGAGAAAATGAGCATCTGAGAATGACTGAAATACAATGATACATCTAATCTTTAATAGATACCTCAATGTAGATATGATTGTATCATTTTACTTAATTAAAATGTCTTTGTCTTTGTAAGTAGTGATATCTAAAAATTATTGAGCTGTTATTTGTGTTAGAAAGTGTTCTAAATGCTGTGCATAGATTCTTATGTAAGCATCACAGCAGTGTTCTGTGGGCTAGCTACTATTCTCTTACATATTTTATTGATAAGGAAATTGAAGCAAAGAAAGGCTAAATAACAGCTAAGTGACAGAGCTTACAGTAAATTTTAAGCCCCAATTAAACTGAATCCAAAAGCCAAGCCTTTTCTATTAAATAGCCTGCTCTTTCATTAATGTGGTGAGTAATAAGCGCTAACAAATGTTGTACTTTCTTCACAAGAAAATTACATATTTGTTTTGAAGACAGAGAAATAACATGCTAATTAATGCTTACAGTTACATGTTTTAAAAAGTCCTGTCACTCTCACAGGACTGCCCTACATTTGGCCTGTGCCACTGGCCAACCGGAAATGGTACATCTCCTGGTGTCCAGAAGATGTGAGCTTAACCTCTGCGACCGTGAAGACAGGACACCTCTGATCAAGGTACATAGTAGCTGACTCTTTGAGCATGAGATGGATTTGGTTGAAGTACATAGGATAAAATGAATTTATCTCATTGGAATACCACCATATAACTAGTAGGAAATCCTACGGAGTGTTTATTTTGATTTTTTCAGTATTTGCATGTTTCTCGGTCTAATACTGACAGGCTGTACAACTGAGGCAGGAGGCTTGTGCAACTCTTCTGCTGCAAAATGGCGCCGATCCAAATATTACGGATGTCTTTGGAAGGACTGCTCTGCACTACGCTGTGTATAATGAAGATACATCCATGATAGAAAAACTTCTTTCACATGGTACAAATATTGAAGAATGCAGCAAGGTATAGGTCAACCAATGTTATTTTCAAACTATCTGAAATGCATTTATTTTAACATTGACACATGTAAGGGTCAATTTTTCATATTTGGAAGCTCAAACATTCCTTGAATGAAAATATTTTGAAATGCCTTAACTGTCTAAGATTTTACTTTAAATATTGGAACTTTTAAAGAAGCATTATAGGGAACAGCCTTTTTTCATGCACTTATGGTAAATAACTATAAAAACAAATGAATTACAATAAATTTATAATTCATGACAACTGAATTTGGGAAAGGTAATAGTTAAGTGTTTTTCCACTAAATTACTTTTTTTCTAATCAGTGTGAAGTGACACAGGAAAGTAAAATTGTCCCTTATAAATAGGCTTTATTTTAAATGTCAAAGAAAATTAAAGAATTTCACAATAAATGTACATGTTGTTGCTGTTGACAAGTGTTGTATGTGAAGGTGATTTCATTTGAAAGTGATTCCTCTGTGGAAAGGCTTAAGAGGGAAAAATGAAGAAAAGGAGAGCAATCAGAAATGCACAAGCTAATTTGGAAATTAGGTAATGAGGGAAAATACTGTGGAGAGGGTTTTTGTGTGTTTTGTTGTTTGTTTTCAATTTATATGTTTAGACAAAGATCGCTTCAGTTTTGGGGATGATTATTCTTACTTTGGGAAAGAGTTTGTGAGTTGTGAAATTGCCCAGGGATCAATTTTGGTAAGACTCTGAGGAAACCAGGTTGGCAGTGAATAGTGGTGATGAAGCGGCACACAGTTCAGCAGAGAGAAGAACACATAATTAATGGACATTATTCAATTCTGGCAGAAACAGCCACTCAGATAAGCATCTAAACTCTACTCTCAAGTCCAGAATGTCTTGATGGGCAGGTGGGAGATACGGAGCTTATAAATAGTAAAATCAAGTTGGATTTTGAGCTTACTAGTCTCTTCCCTACCCCTACCCAGGAAAAGTAAATGAAGTCTTCAGTGAATGGCTCTATCTTTTGCTCTTTCCTCTTTTCGGCCAAATCCCAAACGATAAAGGGAATTTGCCACGTGGGTGAGAAATGAGACTGAAGTGATTATCAACTGTGCTGGTTCGCAGTTAGAATTGTGCATGGCAGTAACCTGGGGAAATTAAAAGCAAATCTCTAAGTCTAGGATATCCCCTGAAGATTTTAATATAGTAAATCTAATATTTACTATTAAATATTACTGGGCATGTATGTTTTAAAATATTTCCTTGAAGCTGGGCATGGTGGTGCCTCTAGCCAGAGCAACAGATTAAGACACTGCCTCTAACAGCAACAACACAACAACAACAACAACAATAAAACATTTCTTGGGACACTGATACGCTGCTGGTTAAGAACCACTGAATAGATAAGTGTAATATAAATTCCCATATCTCAAACACACAAAAAATCTCTAGAAGAGCTGGAGATAGGTGCTGCTTCCTTTAAATTTCTCCTTTCCAATAATATTGGCCTGACTTTTACCTGTCTCTACCTCTGTGGTTGGGAAGTGGAAAGGACTATTATTTGCAGTATCTATCAGCATAAGAATAACACCTTTTCTTTGCCACCATCACTTATTCACTGCCATTCATAGGGTCATTAGAAATTTGCTATTGTGGACTCTTTTAATAAGTAGAGACTGACTCTTTCAGGACTCTGAGTCTCTTTGTTATCATTCTGGTGATTAGGTCAATACATCATTATTAAAAGCGGGGTTCTCTCAATTACAATAGCAAAAAATTCTAAACCTTTTTTTAAAGCTGAAGCTCTATTATGGACTGCCTCAGTATGTCAGTTAAGTACATAGAACTGTGGCATAATCAGGATAGCAGTTTTAAACACTGAAAACCATGAAGTTAGTAAGAATACAAAGAATACATATAGGTCATTATTAGAGCTTTAATTGATAAGCCATTGTATTTTTATTTCTGATTTATATTTTACCTAAAATAAAAAAAATTAGGTTACAATATAGAAACTAGAATTATAATTTAATATTATTTTAATAATTTAGTTGCAGCAGTCCTATGAACTAATTATCCATTTGGTGAACAATCTGGGAAAATTAAACATAAATTATAAATGAATGAATGTTGTAAAAGTGCTCAAAGTGGGTATTATGACTCTTAGTAACAATTTTTATTGCATTCTTGGGCCTATTTTGGAAAAAAAATCTGAAACTAAAGAAAGGAAGTATTTTACATGAAAATACTTGCTTTACATACAATCGCTTGGAGACATATCCATAGCAAATATAAAAATACAAGGTATATAGTCCAAATGTGTCCCATACATGTGTTTAGTTTGCGTCTACAAATTGTCTCAACATGGAAGGTTTAGGAGACTCGTGCACAGATCTGGATTCCAAGCTTCTCTTCAAGAATCCAATCTGGTGTCCCTTGAGCCTATCTCAGGTTTTGGATGCTGTGCAGAGGTTGCCCCTTTCTATGAGGCATGTGGTCTCCATTTTGCTACTGTGCCTACCTAGGTACTTCACTTCCTCAGGTCATCTCCCTTGCCTCTGTAGGGATGACTTTACAAGCCCTGTTTTATAATATATTTTAGTAAATATTTCAAGGTTTTCAAGACATTTTATATTTATTTAAATGTAGAGTCTATATTTTATATAAATCCTTTGGTAATCGGGTTGAACTTTTGAATTTAGATGGTGGTGTTTTATAAACTATTTATACATACCATAAATAATCATCTTCCCATTAGAATGCATGTAAGCTTTTTAAGGTGAATCATGGTATAGTTGCATAGGTTATGCATATTGCAGACAACATTATATTTTTCTCTTCAGCATTGCCTCCTAAAAATGCAAGTAATTGGCCGAGCGCAGTGGCTCACGCCTGTAATCCTAGCACTTTGGGAGGCAGAGGCAGGTAGATCACGAGGTCAGAAGATTGAGACCATCCTGGCTAACACGGTGAAACCCCCTCTCTACTACAAATACAAAAAATTAGCTGGGTGTGGTGGCACACGCCTGTAGTCCCAGCTACTCGGGAGGCTGAGGCAGGAGAATTTCTCGTGCTTGAATCCGGGAGGCGGAGGTTGCAGTGAGCCGAGATGGCACCACTGCACTCCAGCCTGGGTGACAGAGCGAGACTCCATCTCAAATAAATAAATAAATAAATAAATAAATGATGCAAATAATTTAGTGGTTTTCATTATGCTATAAATAATTCATATAGGTCATTATTAGAGCTTTAATTGATAAGCCATTGTATTTTTATTTCTGATTGATATTTTACCTAAAATAAAATAAGTTAGGTAAGAATGAATTGGAAACTAGAATACAAATAGATTTTTAAAGGAGTTATGTACCAGGGTCCTAAGATTATAATTACATAAATATTTGCATCAGGGTCCTAAGATTGTAATTGAGAATAACATTTCATACAGAGCTTTCTGACAGCTAAGATAAAAATATTACTAGAGAAAACCCATGGACTATTTAATAATAAGCAGTGAAAGTTCACTCGAAGCCTATCTCTATTAATTCAGAGCCCGGCTCTCCGAATTAAAAAGAGATAGGCTTCAAATGAACTGTCAATCGTGTCAGAATCTCAGATGACAATGTCAGGTGCTCAGGTGCTCAGGAGCTCCTGACATTGTCACCTGAGATTCTCACACCATCGATAGAAGAGAATGAGGCAAGTGTGTATCACCCAGAGGAAACCTCTACCTTTACTGGTAAGCTCTCACAACTGTATCCCTGAAACTCTCATTTCTCAAATGTTAACATTCTCCAAAATAAGTATTTACAAATAGGGATTAGGTGAAGTTCAAAAGATTTCTCAAATACTAGACACATAATGCACAGTTTTGTAACATTTTTCAAACATGGGTGATCATGGAGTCTCTCTTTTGGGGTATAATGTTCAAATTCTGGTAAAGTAAATATCCTTTGGAATATATTAATAGTTTAAGAAACACCGCTCTATAGATAATAATTTAGATCATTAATAAAAATACCTGAAACATTTATTACTGTGTCTTAGAGTTTGAGGACATAGAGAAAAAAATACAGCTGCTGCCCTCAAGAAGCTCTTGGTTCAGGTGGGAAACAATTAAATCCTTGAAACATGCCATGCTAAATGCTGGGACAGAAGCAAAGATTCTTGGAACTGGGAAATGTTTGAAGTGAGTTTTGGAGATGACCAGAGTTCTTGTGGTGAGGCAGAGGAGGTTGTTTCCAGGGGAAGGAGCAGAACATAGAAAAGCACCGAGGAGGGAAAAGAAAGGGACTACCTCTTACGACCTTTCAATTGTATATATTGAAGCTCACAGGATCTTACATAAGGTTTTCATTTCAGTTGATAAATATGTAATTTTGTGATTATAAATTGTTGCTGTTATTTTACAGAATGAATATCAGCCACTGTTACTTGCTGTGAGTCGAAGAAAAGTGAAAATGGTGGAATTTTTATTAAAGAAAAAAGCAAATGTAAATGCCATTGATTATCTTGGCAGGTACAGACCTTAGTTCTTATTGTGTTGTTTTTAAACCTGAGTGTCATTTTAGAGTGGTAGCAGTCACTCAAGTCACAAATATTACATTAGTAAGAAGACTAACTTTTAATTACTGGGATATAGTGAGAAATATCAACACAGATCATCACTTAGGTAGAAAAACAATTATTTGGACTGAGTAACATAAAGAACAGTGTATAGCAGGATTCATCTCTCTCTATAGACATTATACACATAAAAGGCTTCTATATATAGAAAGCTCTGTATATTGATAGATGTTTGTTATTTGTAAGATGATGTGGTGTTATTTACAATGTAATAATGTGATGCTTTTGATTGTATGATCTTACATTAGCTAAAGGGGTTTCATGTTAGTTTTTCATTTCTACTGTGTTTTGATGTTGTTTTTAATTGATATGGGGAGGGGGAAAAAAGATAGCTTTAGATGGATAAAACTTTACTTCAATGAAGACAAGCTTTAGGTTCACACAGGACTGGGTTTAATCCCTAGCTTTCCCACTTGCTAGATGTGTGACCTTGGTAACATTACTTACCAAGTATGTTTTCTTCTGTGAAAAGGAGGGTAATAATATATCCTTCAAGGGTGGTTGTGTGTAAGTAACATTATATATATATAATGTTAGAATGTCCAGCTAACAGAGCAAGGTGCTGATGTTTTGGAAACAATGGCTGAGCATATAAGTATGTGCATATAATATATATACACACATATGTATGTAAGAATATAATGTAACTAACATCATATATAATATATAATATATACAATATATATTTATAGATAATATATAATATACTATATATTATATATTTTATAGATTATATATAATATACTATATATATTTTATATATATGTGATATTACTTATACACAACCACCCTTGAAGGATATATTATTATCCTCCATATATATATATATATAGTGTTTAATTAAATGCCTAGCACATGCTTATGAGCATCATTAACTGAAGCTATGACTACTACTATTAGCATTCCTATTAATATTATTGTTTTAAGCCTGCAGATAGCTCTTATCTGACCCTTCAGCTGATTTTGCATTATAATGTATAGTATCAGACTAGGGAAGAAATGAATAATTTTTCACTTAAATTTGCCTACTGTAGATAGGTGGCCTGAGCATATTTCTTGCCCATCAAAGGACTTTAAGTTAGCAACTTTATGTCATACCACAGTGGGACAAGAGGCTTCCTTTTTGTTCCTTGCTTTTAACCTTTGTGGTAACTTGCAAAGATAAACCCTTGAGCACCCAAGATGCTTGTTTCTTAGTACATGTAATTGGGTTAATTCTACATGGACAGGCAACATGTTAAGTTGATAAAGTATATAAACTTAGCTTTTAAAATGTCATTAAAGTTTTTAATTACCTCTCTGTTATTTTAGATCAGCCCTCATACTTGCTGTTACTCTTGGAGAAAAAGATATAGTCATTCTTCTTCTGCAGCACAATATTGATGTGTTTTCTCGAGATGTGTATGGAAAGCTTGCAGAAGATTATGCCAGTGAGGCTGAGAATAGAGTGTAAGTCTTTACGTAAAAAGGCTAATGAACACTAAATTGAAGTTTAAAATAATTGTAACAATTGCATCTTATATATCAGGTGAGATTGCATAGTTTGGTTCAAGTAGTTTTCAAGTGACAAATTTTCAAGTTTTTAAGTTTTCGAGAGTTGTGCAACTTCATCAGCCAGAAATCAAGAAAAAGGCTAGATAAGTAGCAGTAGGTGCAAGATTCTTGATATTGAAACTTTCAGGACTTTTCTCCTTAGGGATTCCAATGTTGTCCATTTTATTTCCAGTATAACCCCTATGCATAGGGTAAAGTAGTTTCACATCTTTGATTTTTCTAATTAGTTATTTGGGTCTCAAAATGTCCAGTTTATCAAAAAACCTTGAGTTGTGTACTGGGGACCATCTACTATAGCCTGATCATGGAATTTTTCAAGAACCTAAGGGGTTCCCTAAGTCCAAGGAAGACAATCAGTGTCTACAAGTCAGAAGGAGAAGGGGAAAGGACATTCTAATCATTGCTTTGTTTTCATTGATTCTGTTGCTGCTTTCTTACCATTGAAAGTACTCTTGCAGTCTGGTAGTGATTAACCTTTGCTACCAGCATGCCCTTTCTGTTTGAGATCCCTCAATCTTCATGTTGATCCATAAAAAGGCTTCAAAGTTACAACTGTTTTTTTTAGTTCAGTTGCACATACTTATATGCTCAGCCATTGTTTCCAAAACAGCAGAACCTTGCTCTGTTAGCTGGATATTCTAACTTTATCAACACACATACGGAGCAAATTGACACTTTCACCCACACTCAAAACCTGATGTAAAGCCCACATTTTAACCTGGGCTTCTAGACCTTCATGGTGAGTTATTTTTTGAGTCCCTTTTTTTTCTCTTTAAAGCAAATATTAGTTAGGATAGTTCTAAACTGTCAGAGATATTCAAATAATGTTGTAGAAAGAGATCACAGTGTTCTTCTTTATTGCTACCAGATCTGTACCCTGAGACTTTTTATATAAACAGCGTAAGAGCTTTTCTCAGGTAGTGGAAGCTTCTATGCCATCCTTCCTTAGAGTAGTAGGCATCAACTTGTGGTTGGCCCCTCAAGTGATCTGTTATCTATAATAATGAAGATCTCTCAAGCTGCTTGCATCAGTATCTCAAGTTTATAAAATATTTTCGGATTCTATTTCACAGGAAGCCATTCATTGGAATTATCTGAGTCTCAAGTTTGTTAGTTAGATTTAACAGAGCTAACCCTCATCCATGACTTATCAGCAGTTATATGTAAAAGTAAGGCTTTGTGCTTGCTTTGGCAGCACAAATACTAAAATTGGAACAATACGGAGAAAATTAGCATGGTGAAGCATTTCATATTTTGCAGTCACGGGAAGGTCATTTGACTGTTTGCTGGCTAGCTAAGTCATAGTTTGAATCAAAACAAAATGGGTGGCCCCTTATATTAGAATTGTGATTTTTCACTACAAAAACATTTGTGTAAGGTGATCTATAAACTGAGAATGGAGATAAGTAACACATGGGGTGTTGTGTAAATATTTTGTTAGTATGTATCTTGGAAATGAGAAAATGTCAACTTGCATCTACTTCATGGAACTTAAAAAAAATGAAAGTAGGGTTTTGTCTTCCATGTCAGTTGGAGATAACATCACTGATGGAGATGAACCATCATTCTAGCAAACATCTGCTCATTCAGTTAGAGTCTGTAGAGAAGTAATAGTGGTAGCCCAAGCCAGATCTTGACATCTGTTAGTTTTCTGCCCTTGGAATTGATGAGCTCAATAATAGTTAACAATCGTGTTACCTATTTTAATGAAATAATATATTCATAAATTAATTTATTTATGAATTATGAAATAGTTGAGATACACTGAATTATAAGCCAGAAATAATAGAACAATAAGCAAAATTAGGACTTAACATTTTTCTTAAACTGAAGCATTTGAATATTAGAACCTATGAAAAAATACACATTGGGTTTGATTTGGGATTTCAAAATAGTTTCAGCGATAAAGTTCAAGAACAAGCTCCACTGCTTTACTATTTCTCTGTGAATGTTAAAAATGCTGCTTCATTAAACCTATATAACAACCTAGTGAAAGAAGGTAGTAAAATCTAGAAGAAGACATTGTGCCTAAGAGAAGCAACTTGTTTAAGAGCAAATACCTGTTGGCTATAGAGCCAGGACCTTCCAGTAAGAGCCAGGAAGGTGACTTTCCATTATGTCAAGCTGATGTGAGATAGTTTGCTGAGCTATACTGCCTTCACTTCATGAGTACTTCACCTGTTTTTATTATTTAATTAGAAAGGTACTAAGAAGTTTGTAGAGCTTACAAAAGAGAAGTGTATAGGATAATTAACATCCTGATATTGTTCAAGATACTCTAATAATTTAGTATATTTGGTAAATGTTTTTGATAATAGTATTAAAATATTAATTTCATTTATTTTTATGCATAGCATTTTTGATCTAATTTATGAATACAAAAGAAAGAGATATGAAGATCTTCCTATAAATAGCAATCCAGGTGAGATTTCTGATAGTGAATTACTCTTGATGGTACTACCATAGATAAAAAAGAATAAAGATGTTTTGATTACAAAAAAGCAGTTTAAAAAAATCACTTTAAATTGTACACATTTAAAAAATACTTAGTAGTCTAGATTTTATAATTATTTAAAAAGTTAATTGTAGGTAATTTATAATCTCAGTATTGTTTGAAAAAAATTATTATTTAATTATCGTTCCTAGTATTCTAGATGACCTTTTTGTGTAAATAAGAAAACAAATTTTTAAGTTATTATGTTGTATTTTTTTAATAGTCACATGATAATGAATTAGACTTTTTATATAATTAGAACTTCTATTTAATTTGTAAAATAAATTCTTTGCAATTACTAAATGAATCAATAATTACAGTTGGCCCTTGAACAACATGGGATTTAGTGCTGCCAATCCCCATGCTGTTGAAAATACATATTTGGTATGTTATATATATTATATATTGTATTCTGAGTACAAGAAAGTAAGCTAGAGAAAGGAAGATTTTGCAGTAGTTAAAGCTGTAGTTTCCTTGTAGTTCGATGCTTGAACTACTATCAATCTAGTGTAAGGTGTTCACCCATCCACGGTAAAATAAAGTAAATTTACTCCATTTACTCATTTTAAAATGTTGGTCTTTTTCTTGCCTGTATGCCTTCTTTATTTGTTTTACTTAATTTTTTATTTATAAAAAAACAATAATAGTTGATAGGGATCTTTTCCTGTGAAAACCATCAGTGAAGAGGCCATGTTGATCTAGGAAATATAAACATATTTATTTGGTGGCAGTAGAAATATAAAGCAGAAGCAGAAAAGAGGTACAGTTAATATGATTTAGTGAACATTGAATGTAAAACATTAGTGGGGAGAGAGAAATCTTGGATCATTCATAGGTTTCCAGGTTGTGTACTGGCCTTTATACTGCACACAAGAAAGGAGTAGGACGTGTTCACTGAATGGAGAAGTACAGCTGGTCAACAGGGAAGAATAACTTCCCTTCCCTCCAAATCTGAGGTTGGAGATGCAGACGTAGAATGATGTTATTATAATTATTAGGCAAAGTCATCGATCTCAATGAGCTGTCCATGATGCAGATGTAGAATGAGAAGCTATCCTGTGACAAAACCCTGGGAATGTCAACTTTCCCTCCCCACCCCCAGGAAAAAAAGAGTTGGTGAAGGAGAATGAGCAGTGGCTAGAGAAAAGTAGGAGAGGAGTCAGAGGAAGTGATGTTGCAAAAATAAAAAAAGTGAGAATTTTAAGGAGGGAGTATGAATTCTAACAAGTAAGATTACTCAAAAGCCAATTAGATTTAACTTTTAAAAGCTCTTTGGCGGTACCCTTTTCAAAAGAACCATTTTTGAGGTGTAATGTGGGCTATTGATGTGATTGGTATGTCTGTTGTCCAAATATGGAGGAACAAATCTACCAAGATCCTGCGTAACCCTTTTGTAACTGCAGAAGCTACGTGCACAGGGTCAGGGAAAATGGTCTTGACTTCTGAGTACATGTGCCCACACTTTTACAGAATTGTCAAAACCTAAGGGTAATGTGTGAGAAAAACTGTGGTCTTCTTATCTGCTCCTTGTGGAAATACTTAGTTTGTACTGAAATCCCTGATAAGTTCTTCTGGATGCATTCTGAAACAAAAGTCTGGCAGCAGTAACTGGAACCACCTTGTCCAAAGCACATACATCCCGACTCTCTCCAACATGGAATCATAACACAGCCGCATTTCGAGAGTTTCAAGTTTCAATCAGAAGTAGTCTACAGACATGTGCATGTGTCTTTATAGCAGCATGATTTATAATCCTTTGGGTGTATACCCAGTAACGGGATGGCTGGGTCAAATGCTATTTCTAGTTCTAGATCCCTGAGGAATCGCCACACTGACTTCCACAATGGTTGAACTAGTTTACAGTCCCACCAACAGTGTAAAAGTGTTCCTATTTCTCCACATCCTCTCCAGCACCTGTTGTTTCCTGACGTTTTAATGATTGCCATTCTAACTGGTGTGAGATGGTATCTCACTGTGGTTTTGATTTGCATTTCTCTGATGGCCAGTGATGATGAGCATTTTTTCATGTGTTTTTTGGCTGCATAAATGTCTTCTTTTGAGAAGTGTCTGTTCATATCCTTTGCCCACTTTTTGATGGGGTTGTTTGTTTTTTTCTTGTAAATTTGTTTGAGCTCTTTGTAGATTCTGGATATTAGCCCTTTGTCAGATGAGTAAGTTGCAAAAATTTTCTCCCATTCCGTAGGTTGCCTGTTCACTCTGATGGTAGTTTCTTTTGCTGTGCAGAAGCTCTTTAGTTTAATTAGATCCCATGTGTCAATTTTGGCTTTTGTTGCCATTGCTTTTGGTGTTTTAGACATGAAGTCCTTGCCCATGCCTATGTCCTGAATGGTATTGCCTAGGTTTTCTTTTAGGGTTTTTATGGTTTTAGGTCTAACATGTAAGTCTTTAATCCATCTTGAATTAATTTTTGTATAAGATGTAAGGAAGGGATCCAGTTTCAGCTTTCTACATATGGCTAGCCAGTTTTCCCAGCACCATTTATTAAATAGGGAATCCTTTCCCCATTGCTTGTTTTTCTCAGGTTTGTCAAAGATCGATAGTTGTAGACATGCAGCATTATTTCTGATGGCTCTGTTCTGTTCCATTGGTCTATATCTCCATTTCGGTACCAGTACCATGCTGTTTTGGTTACTCTAGCCTTGTAGTATAGTTTGAAGTCAGGTAGCGTGATGCCTCCAGCTTTATTCTTTTGGCTTAGGATTGACTTGGTGATGTGGGCTCTTTTTTGGTTCCATATGAACTTTAAAGTAGTTTTTTCCAATTCTGTGAAGAAAGTCATTGATAGCTTGATGGGGATGGCATTGAATCTATAAATTACCTTGGGCAGTATGGCCATTTTCATGATATTGATTCTTCCTATCCATGAGCATGGAATGTTCTTCCATTTGTTTGTATCCTCTTTTATTTCATTGAGCAGTGGTTTGTAGCTATTCACAATAGCAAAGACATGGAACCAACCCAAATGTCCAACAATGATAGACTGGATTAAGAAAATGTGGCACATATACACCATGGAATACTATGCAGCCATAAGAAATGATGAGTTCATGTCCTTTGTAGGGACATGGATGAAGCTGGAAACCATCATTCTCAGCAAATTATGGCAAGGACAAAAAACGAAACACCGCATGTTGTCACTCATAGCTGGGAATTGAACAATGAGAACACATGGACACAGGAAGGGGAACATCACCCACCGGGGACTGTTGTGGGGTGGGGGGAGTGGGGAGGGATAGCATTAGGAGATCTACCTAATGCTAAATGATGAGTTAATGGGTGCAGCACACCAATATGGCACATGTATACATATGTAACAAACCTGCACTTTGTGCACATGTACTCTAAAAGTATAAAAAAAAAAAAAAAGAAGTAGCCTACAGACGAGCAGTTTGGAGAAGCTGACGTCTTTTATATAATGTCATGGAGAAAAATATAAGGTGACATGCTAAGTATACCAAGTCTCTGTGTTCTGGGACACTTTGTTTTAGTGCAATTCCCTTTTCATGACCTCTTGTAATATCTCTGCTTTTACTGTTTTTTTTTTTAATTTCGTCCCTAAAGAAAATATTATTAGAACACATTTCTAACACAGGTATTTTTGACAACTATATAGGATTTTCTTTTAAGAGAATTAGCTACCTATTCTAAAGTATATCTGGTATTCTATTAATCTTTAATGCTAAACTTCTTTATATCTTTAGCACAGTGACAGTGTAAGTGATGCTGCTCCTTTAAGATTTTAAGTTTCTTTTAAATTTTCAAACTTTAAATGTCTTTTAAATTTTCAAATTAAGTTAAGACACTTAAGGTGTCTTTTAAATTTTTTTAAATTTTAAATTTTAAATTCTAAATTTTCAAACGACATAGTTTTAATGTAAAACACTTTTCTGGTATTATATTTCTTCAAATATTGGTAATCTGTTACTTAGCTGGAATATTTGGTCAGTTGGATTACCACACCTTTAACCATCTATATATAAGTTTCTTGATTTTTTTTTTTTTTTGAGATTGAGTCTTTTGCTGTTTCCCAGGCTGGAGTACAATAGTGTGATCATAGCTCACTGCAGCCTCAAACTTCTGGGTTCAGGTGGTCCTCCTACCTCGGCCTCCTAAGTCATTGAGACTGCTACAAGTATATGCCACCATACCAAGCTAACTTTTTTATTTTTTATTTTTTAAAGACAAAGGTCTCTCTCTTTTGCCCAGGCCAGTCTCAAACTTTTGGCTTCAAGTGATCCTCCTGCCTCAGCCTCCCAAAGTGCTGGAATTATGGTCATGAGCCATCGTGCTGGTCTATAACTTCCTTTATTCTCCAAAGGGAGTTTAAAGTCCTATTGGCCCTTAATAAGAAAAACCCACTGTTTGGGAGGAGAAGTGGATAACTCATCCTACATTTTAAATGCAGTTTTTGACTTTTTGACCTGTTCTATGAAGAACGGCCCTTAACAGATGATTTTTAGTTTTTATAGATATTTTTAGTTTTATAAGAACTTAAGAAAAAAGATTAGAAACAAATTAAATGAGCTCTATGATTGATAGTAAGTATTATATCCAATGGCTACATATATTTCTATAATTATCACAATGACCTGAATGATGCAAATTATTTTACTTATGTTTTTATTAATAGATTTTTTTTTGAGACTGAGTCTCGCTCTGTTGCCCAGGCTGGAGTGCAGTGGCGCAATCTCGGCTCACTGCAAACTCTGCCTCCTGGGTTCAAACGCTTCTCCTGCCTCAGCCTCCCAGGTAGCTGGGACTACAGGCATGCACCACCACGCCCAGCTAATTTTTATATTTTTAGTAGAGATGCGGTTTCACTGTGTTAGCCAGGATGGTCTCCATCTCCTGACCTTGTGATCCGCCCGCCCCAGCCTCCCAAAGTGTTTGGATTATAGGTGTAAGGCACCGCCCCCAGCCTACTAATGCATTTTAGAGACAGGGTCTCACTCTGTTTCCCAGGCTGGAGTGCAATGGTTGTTCACAGGCACAATCTCCACTGCAGCCTCAAACTTTTGATCTCAAGCAATCTTCCTGCCTCAGCCGTTGGAGTAGTTGGGACTACAGGTGCGTGTCATTGCACCTGGCCTGATCCCCAATTATTATAAAAGAAACCTTGGTGAGTTGAAGACAATTGGCTGTGATCTTTTTGTTTCTCTTCTAGAAGCTTTCATACTATGGGATATATTTTTAATCATCCATATTCTCAAATTTTTATTCTGGTTAAAATAGGATTGCTGCTTGTTTTTCATCATTTTTTGGCATAATTATTTCTGTTCCCTTATGGATTTATTCATGCAGAAATACAGGAATCTCAAAGGCAACTGTTAAGGAAAACAGATGAGGGAAAGGTGTTTTATAAACAGCCTTCTGATCGTAGTCACAGGTCACATCACCTTAAAGAAAACTAATTTCATATAATGCCACTATGTCAGAGTTTCCAAGACCACCTCTGTGTTTGGTGATTCACTTGGAAGGACTCAGCAAACAGTCCTACTCTGGGCTTTGATTTGTTACAGTGAAAGAATACAAAGTAAAATTGGCTCAGGGCAAAGGGGCATGTGGCAAGTCTTGGGGAAGCCAAGCACAAGCTTCCGGGAGCCCTCTCCTGTGGAGTTACCAGGATGTGCTGAATTCCTGTAGCTTCAAATTTTGACAGCACATGGGCAATATTGTCTACCAGTATGAGTCTGACTAGAGACTTACACAGTATCCAAGGTTCTTATGGAAGCTAGTTACATAGGCATGCTGTCTCACACATATACAAAAATTCCACACTTCCAGAAGAAAAGCAGCTGTTCAGAGTCAACCACATTGTTTATGCAAACAGTTTAGGTACAGTGAGCTACTTTTCTCAGGAAATGGTGACAAACCTTTAAAATGCAAATTTCCAAACACCAGCAAATGGCCAGTTTTGCATGTAGGCCTTTCTAAGAATGACAGTCTTATGACTGTTATATGAATTATTTTCTTCACAGCAGTTACAGCCCCAACTTAATTTTAGGTGTCTTAAAAATTCTATTTGATAGTGAATAACATGGTAATATAACATAGCATGGTGCTTATTTCATTTGAGTCAGTTGCAACTTAATATGAAATACTAAGTTTCTGTGCTGTTAGATTTTGGAATTTTGGTGAATATTTAACAGGTCTCTGTACAGAAGTTACTATGGCAATATTAGGTAATTATAATCTGTTCTTATTCGATTAACCTTTCAGTAAAATGGTTAGATAAAATAAGTAATGATTTCTCATTTAAAATTGAAATAAAAAATTTGTTTCATTTTAATTATGTAGATGGTTCAGTTTTGTTTTATATTTTGTTAAATTTCTGTTTATAATTATGAAATTAAAAAAATCAATCATTTATCAGTTATTTTCTTGCCTGTTAATACAGTTAAGTTATTTGCTTTATGTGCTTTTATATACTATAATTCTGGAGAGAATATTTATATTGTGTTTCAAATTGAGTACGTCTTGCTATAATATATGGTAATATAATATAGCAATATATTAGTAATAGAAGATTCAGTGAAAATCTTTTTAAAAAATTAACAACTTTATTTTAAGAGCAGTTTAATATTCTCAGCAATATTGAAAAGAACCTAAAGAGATTTTTCACATACGCCATCCCCCCTCACGTTCATAGCTCCCCCCATTTTCAACATCTCCCACCTGAGTGGTACATTTGTTACAACTGAGAAGCTTACATTGATGCATCATAATCATCCAAAGTCCATAGTTTATATTTAAGTTCCCTCTTGGTATTGTACCTTCTATAAAGCTGGACAAATGTATAATAAATGTACCCGCCATTAGAATACTTACACTGCCCTGAAATTTGTCTCTTTTTTTATTCCTCCCTCACAATTAACCCCTGTCAACTACTAATATTTTTGCTGTCCCCATAGTTTTGATATGTCCAGCATAGTCATATATTAAGGATAACATAGTGGATATCTTTTTCAATATTACAAAACATAATTTCCAAGATAATTGAATGTATTCAATTAAGCTATCCATTGTGCTTTTTTGCTTTTAGTTTATTAATGTAGGATTTAATGGCATATGCTTTACATGTTGAAAAAGCATAATTTATATAGACATTTGCCACATAATGGGGAGGGTTGAGGAAAATGACTTCATGCTGTGTACTACACAGCACTAACTGGATCATCCTTTTCTGTGAGATGGGTCCAGATAGACTAGCAGTGGAAAGGGACAATCTCAAGAGGTTGTACTTTATAAAACTGGAGTCAGAAAGTCTTTCCTATTTACCTTGCAGTTGGAAATAGACCAGCTAGTGAATACTATAGGCATACAAATATGTTTCTTATTCACCTTCTTTCTTTGAGCGATCACTTTGAAAACAGTCTATATTATTATAACATGACTCACTTATAACTAGGTTCTCCATCATGAAAAATGCCAAGAGAGTCATACTATTTTTGTTTACATATAGTGACAAAGATTTGTTGTTGTTGTTGTTGTTTTTCCCACTAGGTAGTGAGACAACTGTTGGCACATCTTGGTAGCTCCAGTGAGTTTATGGTTCCTTTATATATATTTTATATATTAGAAAGTACTCCCTGGCAACTTGCCATACCATTCCCAGTATTTCTTTATAAGCTTCTCTCTGACAAGGAAACAACACTCAGATTGGATAAGCTGTTAAGGGAGTGATATTTTCTCTGTTTGTGTTTTTTTGAAGGAGCTAAAAATGAAAGCTGAATTTAAGGATTGTTTGTACCTTACATAGGGTGAATGAATAGCTAGAACTAAGCAAACTTACCAGAATCTTCCCTAGGAGAGGATTAGTGAGAGTAAGGACACTGATCTCTCTTAGGCTCTTCTGCATTGGCAGCTGAAAAGTCTTTGCAGGGATCCTTGACCCTACTCTGTATCCTGTGTTTTGCCATAGAATAGAGTACAGTTTTCATAGACCTAGATTTTTTGAATTAGAGTGCTTTATCCTAAATAGTTTAAACTGAAGAGGTGGAGAAACTGTTGTGTTTCAACAAAATAAGTACAGTAATTTCCTCTTACACATGGGGGATACATTTCAAGACCCTTAGTGAATGCCTGAAAACATGAATAGTGCTGAACTCTATGTGTACAATAATTTTTAAAAATACATATATATCTATAATAAAATTTAATGCATAAATTAGGCACAATAAGAGATTAATAATATCTAATGGTAAAGTAGATCAATTGTAACAATATACTGTAATAAAAGTTATGTGAATGTGAGCTCACAAAATATCATGTACTATAGTCACCCTACTTTCTGCACTGATGTGAGATGATAAAATGGCTATGTGATAAGTGAGGCAAATGCAGTAGGCATTGCCATGTAGTCTTAGGCTACTATTGACCTTCTATTTGACTATATATCAGAAAGAAGATCATCTGCTTCACGTGATCTTGGATCCGTGAACCATGATGATATTGTTGGTTGGATGTTAGGTACAGATTTATGTCAATGACTAGTGAGCAGATATCATATATAATGTGTATGCACTTGACAAAGGGACGATTCACATCTTGGGCAGACTGGGATGTAAGGGCTCAAATTTTGTCATACTACTCAGAATCTTAGGCAATTTAAACCTTATGATGTGTATACATAAATTTTATTTATGGACCATGGTTGACCATGGGTAACTGAATCTGCAGTCAATAAAACCACCAATGTCATATTATGAAATATATATTTGGTCTTCAACCCCATTTTCTGTCATACAACTCCTAAAATCCTCAGAATTTCCAACATGATATCATTTGTATGCTAATGATTGACTTATGACAGGCAGCCTCCAGATGGCTTCAGGGTGGGGCTCATCATCATAGTGATCAGGGTGTGATTAGAGGGTTGGGACTTCCAGCCCCACCCCTCACCTCCTGGGATGTGAGAGGGGCTGAATGTTCAATTAATCAGTCATGCCTATGTAATGAAGCTTTCATAAAATCCCAAAAGGATTGGATTTGGAGAGCATCCAGGTAGCTGTATTCAGCTACCTGGATGCTCTCCAATACATGAAGGCATATGGAGAATACATGGATGTTCCCAGAGGGTGAGTGCCCTGGGAGGACATGGAAGCATGTTACTTTCCCCCCGTATCTTGCACTATGCATCTCTTTATCTGTATCCTTTAATATTCTTTATAAAAAACTGGTAAATGTGTTTCCATGAGTTCTCTGAGCCACTCTAGTAAATTAATCAAACCAAAGAGGGGGTCCTGGGAAACCCAACTTGAAGTCCAACTGGAAGTTGATTAGAAGTTCTGGAGGCCCAGACTTGTAACTGCTGTGGGGGAATAGCCTGTGGTACTGAGCCCTCAACCTGTGGGATCTGACACAATCCCCAAGTAGATAGTGCCAGAATTACAGGGCACCCATAGGAATTGATTGTTTGCTTGTTGCTGGGGAAAAATACATATTTGGTCACAGAAATCTTCTGTGCTGATGATTGTTGTTGCGGTGTGAGAGAAGAGGAACATCATGTTGAATATGTGTTTTCTACACATACAGCAGATAAGGGGGACTGCTGTTCTAGCTGCACCTGGTTCATTTGTCCAGAAATCATGTTCTTTGACAATGCCTACTCATTATATTGATTCTACTAATGATGCCATTTTCTGTCAGTCTGATATAATTCTGTTAGAATTATGACTATTTTATACTGCAATTCACATGTAAGATAAACCAAATTTTGATAATATATTCTTCTTTGCATTTGATAAGTACATGCTAAGCACGTAAGAAAGGAAATAAGAGTTCTTAATTCATTAGTTGCCTACAAATAGTATAAATAATAATTTTAGTATAGCCTCCAAGTATGTTTCTAAAGAACTGCTTTGTAACAAATCATGAGAGTCTCTGTAATAAAGCATCAAAGTCTTATACTTTTTTTCCTATAAGGTCTAAGGCATGTACAAAAGTTCATGATTTTTTTTTCTTTTGAGATGAAGTCTCACTTTGTCACCCAGGCTGGAGTGGAATGGCACAATCTCGGCTCACTGCAACCTCTGCCTCCTGAGTTTGAGCGATTCTCCTGTCTCAGCCTCCCGAGTAGCTGGGATTACATACGTGTGCCACCGCACTCAGCTAATTTTTTTTTTTTGTATTTTTGTTGAGATGGGGTTTCACCATGTTTGGCCAGGCTGGTCTCAAACTTTTGACCTCGTGTGATCCACCCGCCTTGGCCTCCCAAAATGCTGAGATCACAGCCATGAGCCACTGTGCCCAGCCTGTATGATTTTTTTTTAATAAAGAGTCTTGCTATGTTGCCCAGTCTGTTCTCAAACTCCTGGGCTTCTCAAGTGATACTTCTGCCTCAGCCTTCTGAGTAGCTGAGATTATAGGAACAAGCCACTGTACATATATATATATACACACACACACACACACACACACACCCCGAGTATATGCCCAGTAATGAGATTACTGGCTCAAATGGTATTTCCGGTTCTAGATCCTTGAGGAATCACCACACTGTCTTCCACAATGGTTGAACTAATTGACACTCCCACCAACAGTGTAAAAGCATTCCTATTTCTCCACATCTGCTCCAGCATCTGTTGTTTCCTGACCTTTTAACGATTGCCTTTCTAAATGGCATGAGATGTTATCTCATTGTGGTTTTGATTTGCATTTCTCTAATGATCAGTGATGATGAGCTTTTTTTCAGATGTTTGTTGGCTGCATAAATGTATTCTTTTGAGAAGTGTCTGTTCATATCCTTTGCCCACTTTTTGATGAGATTGTTTGTTCTTTTCTTGTAAATTTATTTAAGTTCCTTGTAGATTCTAGATATTAGGCCTTTTTCAGGTGGACAGATTGCAAACATTTCCTCCCATTCTGTAGGTTGCCTGTTCACTCTGATCATAGTATTGGAAGTTCTGGCCAGGGTAATCAGGCAAGAGAAAGAAATAAACGGTATTCAAATAGGAAGAAAGGAAGTCAAATTGTCTCTGTTTGCAGATGACATAATTGTATATTTAGAAAACCAAATTGTCTCAGCCCCAAATCTCCTTCAGCTGATAAGCAACTTCCTCATAGTCTCAGGATACAAAGTCAATGTGCAAAATTCACAAGCATTCCTATACACCAGTAATAGAGTGCTAAATCATGAGTGAAATCCGATACACAATTGCTACAAAGAGAATAAAATAACAAGGAATACAACTCACAAGGGATTTGAAGGACCTCTTTAAGGAGAACTACAAACCACCACTCAAGGAAATAAGAGACAAACAAATGGAAAAACATTCCATGCTCATGGTTAGGAAGAATCAATATCTTGAAAATGGCCATACTGCCCAAAGTAATTTGTAGGTTCAATGCTATACCCATCAAGCTACCATTGACTTTCTTCACAGAATTAGAAAAAACTACTTTAAATTTCATATGGAACCAAAAAAAGAGCCCATATAGCCAAGACAATCCTAAGCAAAAAGAACAAAGCTGGAGGCATCATGCTACCTGATTCAAACTATACTACAAGGCTACAGTAATGAAAACAGCATGGTACTGGTACCAAAAGAGATATATAGACCAATGGAACAGAACAGAGGCCTCAGAAATAATGCCATACACCTACACCATCTGATCTTTGACAAACCTGACAAAAGCAATGGGGAAAGGATTCCCTATTTAATAAATGGTGTTGGGAAAACTGGCTAGCCTTATGCAGGAAACTGAGACTGGACCCCTTCCTTACACTTTATACAAAAATTAACTCAAGGTGCATTAAAGACTTAAAATTAAGTTCTCAATGTATAAAAACCCTGGATGAAAACCTAGGCAGTACCATTCAGGACATAGGCATGGGCAAATACTTCATGACTAAAACACCAAAAGCAATGTCAACAAAAGCCAAAATTGACAAATGGGATCTAATTAAACTAAAGAACTTGTGTGCAGTTTTATTTGGGAGTGTGTGTGGGGTACCTCTGAGTTTTAAAAATGAAGAAAGTAAGTAGTCATGCTATCCTGACTCTTTGGTAGACATAGCCTTTAAGACAGTCATTCTGAGCTGTTATGGTCTTAGGGTTCTCTATACTACTAAAACTTATTGACGACATGTAACCAAGAACTTGAATTAAATTTTTTTTTAAAAAAAGCAAAAGAAATCACCCAAATGCACATTAAAAACCTCTTACAACATATGTGCATATTCCTAGATAACATGTAGAACTTGATTTTGTGTATTAAAACCTTGTAGAAAAGTTCAGACAGTGCACAAAATGACTGCAACTTGGTCTTTGTAAAATCAGTGATATATATTTCAGATCTATCCATGTTGACCCAGTGAGGTATTTGATTTATTGTATGATCTAATGATATGCCATGTGATGATGGCAGCATATTTAATTATGCTCTCTTCATGTTGATACCATATGGACATAAATATGGTGACATACCAGCATGGATATGCTTATGTGGTTGCTTTTATTGATTTGTATTATATTAGAAATGAAACAGAAGTATTGGAAATCCTAGCAAGCATAGCTGCATCTCTCCCATGGCTATGTTGATTGCAACTGTTTCCCCCTTAAAGCATGTCTTTTTGACATGTCATGACCCTGAGAAAATCCAGTGTGTGCTTTTCAGAGAATGACAGTAAGGAGAGGAAATGGCCGATGGTCAAAGTGTTACTTGTCCTCTTGGCTCCCCTTCATGAATGTTAAACTCTAAACTACTCAGATCACAATTTAGAACCCCTTTGTTGATCCCTATAGAGTGTTCCCAGATGTCAAATGGCAAATAGGACTTTGATGAAGAAACACCCCGTAAAGCCATATTGCTCTGGTTTTTGTGTGTGAATGTGTGTGTGTGTGTGTGTGTGTATTTTTTTCTCTTCTGAAAACTGTAAATAGAGGAATTTTCATTACAAGTGAAAATATTTGTGTTCCATATTTATTTCCTGTCTAACGTACTTTGCTCTTCTTGGATCTAGTAAGGATCTCAGCTTGTCTTTTTTATACCTGCAAAAAATTATGTCAGTGCTTCATTTTTCATGTCAATTACTGACATGTTTTCAAGTCTTCACAAGTTATTTCTGAAGATTTTGGTGCATCAAGGAGAGACTGTCATTGTAGTTAAATAAGTTTTTAAATAGGTTATATTCAATAAAATTTCAGAGCTTATTTCTCTGGAAAGCATAAACATAGTGGTGCTATGGGTAGTTAAACATAAAATAGCTCCACAAAGTGTTGTGTACATAAAAGTGTTCATATCCTGGAAAATCCTAGTTTATTGCTCAGTACTGTCTGCTGGAGAGGAAAACAGGTAAGATAGGCTGCTGAGCCTATGATAATAACTCATAATATGAGGTGAAAGCATAGCGACAAAATAAGAGATGATAGATACTCAAACCGATGTGAGTGAAGAACAGCTGTGAAAGAGTGTCTATGGGAGAGAGGAGGCCATGGGGCTGCTTTTGTGAAGAAGGAATTTGTACACATTAGTCAAGTGTCTGACACATTTAACATTTTAATAAAGCAAAACCTTATCTTCACATGTGTCAGAATGGGACTGTACAGATGTCACATACAGTGGTGGTGAAAATAATGAAGAAATGAATGTGGAGGTCAAAGAATCAAGTCCACCAATATGGATATTAGATTTATGAACGAAAAAAATGTATGTCAAATTGGGCAGGTGTAAACAAAGAAAGCAGCTAGTGAGGTAATTTGGAAGTTTCTGATGAGGAGACTTGTGGGAAGTCACTTAATGGAAAGCAGAAGCAGAAGTTACAAGGATGAGGGTAACCCACAGGGTCTCATTTCTTCTCCCTAGAAGTTTTGGACATCAATGATACATGCTTCGTTCACATCAGATTTTTGTTTTTTGTTTTTGTTTTTGGAAAGCTGTGTTTGCTGAGGTAGTTATTTTGTAAAAGAACCTGAGAGACCCTGATGGTATATCATGTGAAACTAGATTTTAAAAAAAAGGAATCAAAGAATGCATTTTTAGAGTACTAAACAGATAACTGCCAATAATCATGACAATCATGACATATGTATATATATGTATTATGTCATATTGGTTGGTTATTTATAAGAAAAGAAGTCTCTAGTGATTTAGAAACTTTGTTTAGTTTATTTTCATAGGAATCTGATTACACAGTATTTCATTGATGTGTATGTTTTTGCAAAAGTGGACGAAGAGACAGTGAGAAGGTAGAACTGCTGAATCCAGGAAATGTAAAAACATCAGGAGTCTTCATGAGTATAAATAAAATGATTTTTTAAATTATAACTCTTAGATTAAGTGAACTCACTTCAGATGCATTTAGAATATTTGCATGAGGGATGATTTGATTTTTGGCTGCTCCAGGAACTACTGGAAGCAGGAAAGAGTGATAGAATTGGGATAAGCCACAGTGACTCATTGCTCCTCTTTGTTACCATTGGGCACCAGAGGTATATGTTTTGTTGATATTGGTTATTCAAATGAGATAAATGTGAATATGCATACATTGGCTTTGTTTTTCAAGGAGCTATTGGATAAAATAGCAACTTAATAAAAATTCTCTAGAGAATAACATGATACTTTAACCAGACTATTTTAGAAGTGAAAATAATGTTGAATTCATTACTTGACTCCCAAATGGTTATTTTCAAGGAATATTGGAGTGATTTCCAGATGTAAAAGCTTATTCATATCTAATGCTTGTAGAAACTTTATTTTGTAAAAGTATGTCAAATTTGGTAATTTATTACACTTTTTGATGAAGTTTATATATTATACCTTGTTGCAATGAGTGGATGAAGGAACTTTTGGAAGGCTAAACTAGAAGATACAAGAGATGTAGGCACATTATTACACCATATGGGTGTGAGAAATAATGAATATTACATACTAGAATTCACCAAACATATATCCAAGCTGATTAAGTTAGGACACTTCCACTGAAGAGATTTCAACTAAAGTGTCATTATAATTGTGTACCTTCTCACTGATCAATCAAGTTAAAAAGCATGATGAATGTTTGCAGTAAAATATTCCAAATCATTCTGATATCTTGCATGAAAGACATGTGGGTGCATGTATCACCTGCTTTGACGCTGATTCCCAGGTGTATGAGTTGGACTCTGATTTTAGATCACATTTGTCCTCATCACTCAGCATATCCACATTGATATTGACATGGTTTTATTTTAGTTTTAGACATATGGAGAAAGTCATATCACATTTGAAATTGTCAGTGTATATTTCTTGAAGCCTGTATTCCTATTTTCTTCAGTGTATTTCCTTCATGTTTAGTCCCAAGAAACAAAGTATAAAATATCAAAGCCTACAGTAATACAGGCAGGAGTACAAAACTTGATGCTAACATGCTATCCATGCATTAATGTATGGATAACATTATCATATTTACATATGATTGATTATGTATCCCTTTTGCTTTTCAGTGTCTCCTCAGAAACAACGAGCTGAGAAGGTAATTAAAGTCTCATTTATATGTTGAACTATTAACTGTATAGTCTATGAAACCTACTTTACATATTGATTATTTTGTTTCAAATCCCATTCAGGCTACAAGTGACGACAAAGATTCTGTTTCAAATATAGCCACAGAAATAAAGGAGGGACCTATATCTGGGACAGGTAATTTTGCAAAACACATCTAATGTCATGTTCAATCAAGATAGAAGAGAAATTCCCTTCCCCAAATAAATCAGTGGGGAGTTCATATAAGCTGCACGTTCTGATTCAGTACACCTGAGATTCTTCATTTGTAGTGAGTTCTCAGGTGACTCTGATACTGCTGGTCCTTGGTCATGATCTGAGTAGTAAGATTGTAGGCTTCCTTACATTGAAATTGGGAAGAAGAAACATTGGAGAGCAGTTCAACACATACCAGGCTAAGGGAGCAGCATAATTTTACTTTAATTTTACAGCATGTTTCCATCAAGAGGGGAAAGAGAATGAGATGAAGTAATAGATATTATAGGCATCATATCATATTGTTATCAACAGAGGGAAAAGTGATCCTAATAACTCCATAAACACTGTAGAATGAGAGCTAAGAAGACCACTGATGCAGCAATTATTTTCCTCAAGGAAGAGGGATTGTGAGGCAGGAAGGAGGAAAAAGAAGAAGGTATTTATGTAATTTTGGGTTTTCTGCTGAGGAAACCTGAGTGAACTCATTTCAGATGCATTTGGAATATTTGCATAAAAGAAGATTTGATTTTGGCTGCTCTGAGAACTACTGGAAGCAGGAAACAGTGCTAGAATTGGGATAAACCACAGTGACTCATTACTCCTCTTTGTTACTATTAGGCATCAGAGATACATGTTTTGTTGACTTTACTTATAAAAATGAGATAAACTTGCATATGAATACATTGGCTTCCTTGTTCAAGGAGCTTACTCTTGGATAAAATAGCTACTTAATGAAACTTCCTTAGAGACTAACATGATACTCCCAGCAAGGCTATTTTAGAAACAAAAATGATGTTGAATTCTAATTAACTCCTAAAGTGGTGATTTTCAATGAATATTGGAGTGATTTCTGAATGTAAAACTTATTAATATCTAATGCTTGTAGCAGTTTTACTTTGTAGAAGTATGTTAACATTGGTAATTGATATTTTTATTGAGGCTAATACATTATCGTTTGTTGCCATGAGTGGATGAAGAAACTTTCAGAAAGCTAAACTAGTGGATACAAGAAACTTAGGCAAATTATTATACCACATGGGTGTGAGAAATAATGAATATTATCTACTAGATCTCAGGAAACATATATCCAAGGTGATCAATTTAGGACATTTCCACCGAAGAGACGTGAAGTGTACATTTAACTGAATTGTCATCGTAATTGTGTACCTTCTAGTTATTGGGCAAGTTAAAGGGCATAATGAACATCTGTAGTATAATGGTGTAAATCCTTCTGATTTCTTGCAAGAAAGACATGAGGGATCATGTACCACCTGCTTTGACATTGATTCTCAGGTGTGTGAGTTACTCCTCTGATTTGTCCTCATCACTCGGCATATCCACATTGATATTGACACGGTTTTATTTTAGTTTTAGATGTATCACGAATCATACCATGTTTGAAATTGTAAGGGTATATTTTGTGAAGCCTGTATTCCTTTTTTTTCAGTGTATTTCTGTCATGTTCCAGTCTCCAGACAAAAAGTAGAAAACATCAAAGCCTACACTAGTACAGGCAGGAAGATACAGCTTGATGCTAACACTGCATGGAATGTATGGATAAATTTATCATATGTACATGTGAGTGATTATGTTTCCCTTTTGCTTTTCAGTGTCTTCTCAGAAACAACCAGCTGAGAAGGTAATTAAAGTCTCATTTATATGTTGAACTATTAACCGTATAGTCTATGAAACCTACTTTACATATTGATTATTTTGTTTCAAATCCCATTCAGGCTACAAGTGACGAGAAAGATTCTGTTTCAAATATAGCCACAGAAATAAAGGAGGGACAACAATCTGGGACAGGTAATTTTGCAAAACACATTTAATGTCATGTTCAGTCAAGATAGAAAAGTACTTCTCTTCCCCGAATAAATCAGCGGGGGATTCATTGAAGCTGCACATTCTGATTCAGCAGGCCTGAGATTCCTCAGTTCTCAGGTGACACTGATGCTGCTGGTCTTCGACATGATCTTTGCAGTAAGATTATAGACTTCCTCACATTGAAATTGGGAAGAAGAAACGTTGGAGAGCCATTAAAGACATAAGGAGTCAGGGGACAGCATAATTTTGCATTAATTCTACAGCATGTTTTCACCAAGGGAGGAAGGAGAAAGAGATGAAGTATAGATTTTACAGACATCACATCGTATTGCTAAAAACAGATGGAGAAATTATGGTAATAGCCCATAAACACTGTAGAACGAGAGCTAAGGAGACCACTGATGTAGCAATGACTTTCCTCAAGGAAGAGGATTATCAGGCAGGAAGGAGGGAAAATAAGAAGTTATTTATGTAATTTTGGGGTTTCTTCTGAGGAAACCTGAGTTCAGTTGCATATTCGAACATTTTTGTAAAAGAAGCTTTGATTTTGGCTGCTTTAGGAAACAGTGGAAGCAGGAAGGAGTACTAGAACTGGGATAAACCACAGTGACTCATTACTCCTCTTTGTTACTGTTGGGCATCAGAGATATACGTTTTGTTGATATTAGTTATTCAAATGAGATAAACATGAATATGCGTATATTGGCTTTGCTTTTCAATTAGCTAACTTTTGGATAAAAATAGCAATTTAATGAAAATGCTTTAGAGAATAACATGATATTTTATACCAGACTATTTTAGAAAAAAAAATAATGGTGAATTCATTAATTGACTTTTAAAATTCTTATTTTCAATGAATATTGGAGGGATTTCCAAATGTCAAAGGTTATTCATATCTAATGCTTGTAGCAACTTTATTTTGTATAAGTATGTCAAATTTGATCATTTATTATACTTTTTGATAAGGTTTATGTATTATATTTGTTGCCACGAGTGGATGAAGAACCTTTCTGTAGCCTAAACTAGAGGACACAACAAATGTAGGCACATTATTACACCACATGGGTTTGAGAAATAAAGAATATTATATACAGGATTATCCCAACCTATATCCAAGCTGTTGAAGCTGGGCCACTTCCACCGAGGACTTGTGAAGTGTACATTCTACTAAAGTGTCATTGTCATTGTGTACCTGCTCAATTACCAGGCAAGTTAAAGAGCGTGATGAATACTTGCAGCATAATGGTATAAATCCCTCTGATGTCTTGCATGAAAAACATGCAGTAGCATTTAGTACCTTCTTTGACATTGATTCCTGGGTGTATGAGTTGCTCCTCTGATTTTAGATCACATTTCTTTTCATCATTCAGCATATCCACATTGATATTGACACTTTTTATTTCAGTAATACACACATGATGCATAATACCTCTTTGTAATTTCTGACTGTATATTTTCTGGAAGCGTGTATTCCTATTTTCTTCAGTGTATTTCCTCATGTTCCCGTCCCAAAGACACAAACTGTAAAACATCAAATCCTACACTAGTGCAGGCGGGAGGATACAGCTTGATGCTAACACTGCATGAATGTATGGACGACTTTGTCATATTTACATATGATGAATTATATATTTCTTTTACTTTTCAGTGTCTCCTCAGAAACAATCGGCCCAGAAGGTAGTTACTCTTTCATTTATATTTTGAATTATTTATTGCATAGCCTATGAAATATATATTATGTATTGACTATTTTGTTTCTCTTTCCATTCAGGTTATATTTAAAAAGAAAGTTTCTCTTTTGAATATTGCCACAAGAATAATGGGCGGTGGGAAATCTGGAACAGGTAATTTGGCAATACACATTTAATGTCATGTGCACTCAAGACAGAAGAGAACGTCCCACCCCTGAATAGATCAGTGGGGTGTCATTGAAAATGCACTTTCTGATTCAGCAGGCCTGAGATTGTGCATTTCTAGTAAGTTGTCAGGTGGTGCTGATGCTGCTGGTCCTTGGTCATGATCTTAGTAACAAGCTTATAGAGTTCCCTACATTGAAATTGGATAGAAGAACCATTGGAAAACAGTTGAAGACATAAGAGGATCAGGGGACAGCATAATTTTTCTCTTATTTCAGAGCATGTTTCTATGGAGAGGGGAAGGAGAAAGAGAAGAAGTAACAGAAATTATAGATGTCAGATGGTACTGCTAAAACCAGAGGGAGGAAGTTGTCATAATAACCCGTAGACACTGGAGAATGAGAAACAAAGTGACCACTGATGTAGTAACTATTTTCATCAAGAAAGAGGGATTGCAAGGCAAGAAAGAGGGGAAGGAAGAAGTTATTTCTGTAATTTTGGGGTTTCTGCTGAGGAAACCTGAGTGAACTCACCTCAGATGCATTTAGAATGTTTGCATACCAGAAGATTTGATTTCTGACTGCTCCGATGACTACCGGAATCAGGAAGGAGTGCTAGAGTTGGGATAAACCACAGTGCCTCATTCCTGTTTATTAGTATCAGACATCAGACATATATTTTTTATTAGTTATTCAAATGAGTTAAAATTTAATATGACTATATTAGCTTTTTTCCAAAGCTTTTTTCCAAAGCATTTTCCGAATGCTTTTTCATTAAAATAGCTATTTAGTGAAAATTCTTTATAATACAATGATATTCCAGAGTAGACTAATTTTGCAGACAAAAATAATGTTAAATGTATTAATTGAATCCTAAAATGGTTATTTTCAATGAATATTGGACTGATAGCCAAATGTAAAAGCTTATTAATATCTAATGCCAGGAGCCATTGCATTTTGTATAAATATGTGTAATTTATTGTACTTTTAGATGAGGTTTATATATTATACCTTCCTGCCATTAGTGGATGAAGAAAATTTCTGAAGGCTAAACTAGAGGATACAAGAAATGTAGGCAGATTATTACACCACATGGGTATTATAAATAATGAATACTATCTACTAGGATTCACCAACCATATATCCAAGCTGATCAATTTAGGTCCCTTCCACTTAAGAGACGTGAAGTGTACATTCATCTGAAGTGTCATTGTAATTGTGTACTTTCTCAGTTATCAGGCAAGCTAAAGAGCATGATGAATGTTTGTAGTATACTAGTGTAAATCCTTTTGATACCTTGCATGAAAGACATGGAGGATCATGTAGCACCTGCTTTGACATTGATTCTCAGGTGTATGAGTTGCTCCTCTGATTTTAGATCACATTTGTCCTCATCATTCGGCATATTCACATTGATACTAACACTGTTTCATTTTAGTTTTAGACATATGAAAAATCATACCATGATTGACATTGTAAGGGTTTGTTTTGTGAAACCTGTATTTCTTTTTTTTCAGTGTATTTCTGTCATGTTCCAGTCCCCAGACACAAAAATCAAAGCCTATACTAATACAGGCAGGAAGATACAGCTTGATGCTAACATTTCATGAATGTATGGATAACTTTATCATATTTACATATGAGTGATTATGTATCCCTTTTGCTTTTCAGTGTCTTCTCAGAAACAACCAGCCTCAAAGGTAATTAAATTCTCATTTATATTTTGTATTAGTAACTGTATAGTCCATGAAACATACTTTCTTTATTGATAATTTGCTTCAAATTACTTTCAGACTGCAAGTGACAAGACAGATTCTGCTTTGAATACAGCTACAGAAATAAAGGATGGACTACAATGTGGGACAGGTAATTTTGCAAAACACATTTAATGTCATGTTCAGTCCAGATAGAAAAGAACTTCTCTTCCCCAAATAAATCAGTGGGGGGGCTCATCAAAGCTGCACATTCTGATTCAGCAGGCCAGAGATTCTTCATCTGTAATAAGTTCTCGGGTGATGCTGATGCTGCTGGTCTTGGACATGATCTTCACAGTAAGATTATAGACTTCCCCACATTGAAATTGGGAAGAAGAAACATTGGAGAGCAGATCAAGACATAAGGGGCTCAGGGGACAGCATAATTTTGCTTTAATTCTACAGCATGTTTTCACCAAGGGTGGAAGGAGAATGAGTTGAAGTATAGATTTTACAAACGTCACATCGTATTGATAAAAACAGACGGAAAACTGATCGTAATAACCAGTAAAAATTGTAGAACGAGAACTAACGAGACCACTGATGTAGCAATTATTTTCCTCAAGGAAGAGGGTTGTGAGGCAGGAAGGAGGGAAAAGATGAAGTTATTTATGTAATTTTGGGGTTTCTGCTGAGGAGACCTGAGTGAACTCACTTCGGATGCATTTAGCATATTTACACAAAAAAGATTTGATTTTGGCAGCTCCAGGAACTACTGGATGAAGCAAAGAAAGCTAGAATTGGGATAAACCACATTGACAAATTACTTCTCTTTGCTACTATTAGGCATAAGATATATATCTTTTGTTGATTTTTGTTATAAAAATTAGATAAACTTGAATATCAATACATTGGCTTCTTTCATCAAAGAGCTATCTCATGGATAAAATAGCTATTTAATGAATATTATTTAGAGAATAGTATGATCCTCCTAACAAGACAATTTTAAAAACAAATATAATGTTGAGTTCATCAACTGACTCTTAAAATGGTCATTTTCAATGAATATTGGAGTGATTTCCAAATATAAAAGCTTATTAATATCCAATGCTTTTAGCAGTTTTATTTAGTAGAAGTATGTCAAAATTGATAATTGATGATGCTTTTTATTGAGGTTTATATATTATACTTTGTTGCCATGAGTGGATGAAGAAATGTCCGGGAAGGCTAAACTAGAGAATACAGGAAACTTAGGCAAATTGTTGCACCACATGGATATGAGAAATAATGAATATTATTTACTCGGATTCAGGAAACATATATCCAAGCTGATCAATTTAGGACACTTCACTGAAGAGACAGAGACATGACGTGTACATTCAACTGAAGTGTCACTGTAATTGTGTACCTTCTCAGTTACTGGGCAAGTTAATGAAGATGATGAATGTTTGCAGTATAATGGTGTAAATCATTTGGATATCTTGCATAAAAGACATGTGGGTGCATGTGCCACCTGCTTTGACATTTTCCCAGGTGATTGAGTTTCCTCTCTGATTTTTGATCGCATTTGTCATGATCACTTGGCATACCCTTTTTGATATTGACACTGATTTATTTTTCTTTTAGATATACGAGAAATCATATTATGTTTGAAATAGTTAGGAATGTATCGTGACACATCTATTTCTGTTTTCTTTAGTATATTTGTGTCATGCTCCTGGCTTAAGACATAAAGTAGAAAACATCAAAGCCTACACTAATACAGGCAGGCGGATACAGCTTGATGCTAACACCGCATGAATGTATGGAAAATGTATCATATTTACATATGAGTGATTATGTATCCCTTTTGCTTTTCAGTGTCTTCTCAGAAACAACAAGCCTTGAAGGTAATTGAACTCTCATTTATGTTGTGAACTAGTAAATCTATAGTCTATGAAACATACTTCATTTATTTATTTATTTATTATTTTCTTTCAAATTCCATTCAGGCTACAACTGACGAGGAAGGTTCTGTTTCTAATATAGCCACAGAAATAAAGGATGGAGAAAAATCTGGGACAGGTAATTTTGCAAAACACATTCAATGTCATGTTCAATCCAGATAGAAACGAACTTCTCTACCCCTAATAAATCAGCGCAGGGCGGGTGGGGGGCTCGCTGAAGCTGCACATTCTGATCCAGCAGGTCTGAGAGTCTTCATTTGTAATAAATTATTGGGTGACGCTAATGCTGCTGGCTTGGAACGTGATCTTCGCAGTAAGATTATACACTTCCCCACATTGAAATTGGGAAGAAGAAATATTGGAGAGAGGTTCAAGACATAAGGGGCTCTGGGGAGCAGCATAGTTTTGCTTTAATTCTACAGCATGGTTTCACTAAGGGTGGAAGGAGAAAGAGAGGAAGTATAGATTTTACAGACGTCACATCGTACTGCGAAGAAAAGACAGAAAACTGATAGTAATAACCCATAAACACTGTAGAATGAGAACTAAGGAGACCCCTGATGTAGCAATTATTTTCCCAAGGACGAGGGATTGTCAGGCAGGAAGGAGGGAAGAGAAGTTATTTATATAATTTAGGGTTTTCTGCTGAGGAAATCTGAGTGAACTCACTTCACATGCATTTGGAATATGTCCTTAAAAAATATTAGATTTTGGCAGCTCCAGGAACTATTGGAAGCAGGAAACAATGCTAGAATTGGGATAAAGCACACTGACTCATTACTCCTTTTTGTTACTATTAGGCATCAGAGATACATGTTTTGTTGATTTTAGTTATAGAAATGAGATAAACTTGAATATGAATACATTGGCTTCCTTGTTGAAGGAGCTACCTCTTGGATAAAATAGCTATTTCACGAAACATCTTTACAGACTAACATGATACTCCCAAGAAGGCTATTTTAGAAACAAAAATTATGTTGAATTCTAACTAACTCCTAAAATGGTCATTTTCAATGAATATTGCAGTGATTTCTGAATGAAAAAGTGATTAATATCTAATGCTTGTAGCAGATTTATTTGTAGAAGTATGTCAAAATTGATAATAGATGATATTTTTATTGAGGCTAGTATATTATCCTTTGGTGTCACGACTGGATGAAGAAATTTTCAGAGGGATAAACTAGTGGATACAAGATACTTAGGCAAATTATTACACCACATGGGTGTGAGAGATAATGAATATTATCTACTAGGTATCAGCAACCAGATATCCAAGGTGATTAATTTAGGACATTACCAGTGAAGAGATGTGAAGTGTACGTTCAACTGAAGTGTCATCATAATTGTGTGCTTTCTTAGATATTGGGCAAGTTAAAGAGCATGATGCATGTTTGTATTATAATGGTGTAAATCCTTTTGATTTGTTGCATGAAAGACATGTGGGATCATGTAGCACCTGCTTTGACATTCATTCTCAGGTGTATGAGTTTCTCCTCTGATTTTAGATCACATTTGTCCTCATCACTCGGCATATGGACATTGATGTTGACAACCTTTGATTTTAGTTTTCGACGTATGAGAAATCATACCATGTTTGAAATTGCAGGGGTATATTTCACGGAGCCTGTGTTTCCTTTTCTCAGTGTATTTCTGTCATGTTCTAATCCCCAGACACAAAGTAGAAGCCATCAAAACCTACGCTAATACAGGCAGGAGGACAGAGGTTGATACAAACACTGCATGAATGTATGGATAACTTTGTCATAGTTACATATGAGTGATTATGTATCCCTTTTGCTTTTCAGTGTCTTCTCAGAAAAAACCAGCCTTGAAGGTAATGAAACTCTCATTTATATTGTGAGCTAGTAAACGTATAGCCTATGAAACATACCTTATTTATTATTTTGTTTCAAATTCCATTCAGGCCACAAGTGATGAGAAAGATTCTTTTTCGAATATAACCAGAGAAAAAAAGGATGGAGAAATATCTAGGACAGGTAATTTTGCGAAACACATTTAATGTCATGTTCAGTCCAGATAAGAAGTTCTCTTCCCCGAATAAATCAGTGGGGGGCTGGTCGAAGCTGCACATTCTGACTCAGCAGGCCTGAGATTCTTCATTTCTAATAAGTTCTTGGGTTATGCTGATACTGCTGGTCTGGAATATGATCTTGGCTGTAAGATTATACACATCCCCACATTGCAACTGGGAGGAAGAAATATAGAGAGCAGTTGAAGACATAAGGGGCTCTGGGGCACAGCATAATTTTGCTTTAATTCTGTAGCATCTTTTCATTAAGGGTGTAAGGAGAAAGAGAGGAAGTACAGATTTTACAGACGTCACATCGTAGTGCTAAAAACAGACAGAAAACTGTTCATAATAACCCATAGACACTGTAGAAGGAGAACTGAGGAGACCCCTGATGTAGCAATTATTTTCTGAATGAAGACGGATTGTGAGGCAGGAATGTGGGAAAAGAGGAAGTCATTTATATAATTTTGGGGTTACTGCTGAGGAAACCTGAGTGAACTCACTTCAGATGCATTTGGAACATTTTCATAAACAATATTTGATTTTGGCAACTCCAGCAAGTGCTGGAAGCAGGAAACAGTGCTTGAATTGGCATAAAAACACAATGACTCATTACTCCTCTTTGTTACTATTAGGCATCAGAGATACATGTTTTGTTGATTTTAGTTATAGAAATGAGATAAACTTGAATATGAACACATTGGCTTCCTTGTTCAAGGAGCTACCTCTTGTATAAAATAGCTGTTTAATGAAACTTCTTTAGAAAATAACATGATACTCCCAACAAAGCTATTTTAGAGGCATAAATTATGTTGCATTCTAATTAAGTCCTAGAGTGATCATTGTCAAAGAATATTGGAATGATTTCTGAATGTAAAACATCAATATCTAATGCTTGTAGCAGTTTTACTTTGTAGAAATATGTCAAAATTGATAATTGATGATATTTTTATTGAGGCTAATATATTATCCTTTGGTGCCACGACTGGATGAAGAAACATTTGGAAGGCTAAACTAGTGGATACAAGAAACTTAGGCAGATTATTACACCATATGGGTGTGAGAGATAATGAATATTATCTACTTGGTATCAGCAAACAGGTGTCCAAGGTGATCAATTCAGGACTCTTCCACTGAAGAGATGTGAAGTGTAAGTTTAACTGAAGTATCATTGCAATTGTGTGCCTTCTCAGTTATTGGGCAATTTAAAGAGCATGATGAATGTTTGTAGTATAATGGTGTAAATCCTTTTGATTTGTTGCATGAAAGACATGTGGGATCATGTAGCACCTGCTTTGACATTGATTCTCAGGAGTGTGAGTTGCTCCTCTGATTTTAGATCACATTTGTTCTCATCACTTGGCCTATGCACATTGATATTGACACGGTTTTAGTTTAGTTTTTGACATATGAGAAATCATACCATGTTTGAAATTGTAAGGGTATATTTCATGGAGCCTGTATTCCCTTTTCTCAGTGCATTTCTGTCACGTTCTAGTCCGCAGACACAAAGTAGAAGCCATCAAAGCCTACGCTAATACAGGCAGGAGGACAGAGTTTGATGCTAACACTGCATGAATGTGTGGATATCTTTGTCATATTTACATATGAGTGATTATGAATCCCTTTTGCTTTTCAGTGTCTTCTCAGAAACCACCAGCCTTGAAGGTAATGAAACTCTCATTTATATTGTGAACTAGTTAATGTATGGTCTATGAAACATACTTTATTTATTTATTATTTCATTTCAAATTCCATTCAGGCTACAAGTGTCAAGGAAGATTCTGTTTTGAATATAGCCAGAGAAAAAAAGGATGGAGAAAAATCTAGGACAGGTAATTTTGAAAACAGATTTAATGTCATGTTCAGTCCAGATAGATAAGAAGTTCTCTTCCCCAAATAAATCAGCGGGGGGCTCGTCGAAGCTGCACTTTCTGATTCAGCAGGCCAGAGATTCTTCATTTGTAGTAAGTTCTTGAGTGATGCTGATGCTGATGCTGATGCTGCTGGTCTGGAACATGACCTTCGCTGTAAGATTATACACTTCCCCACATTGAAGTTGGGAAGAAGATATATGGAGAGCAGTTGAAGACATAAGGGGCTCTGGGGAAGAGCATAGTTTTGCTTTAATTCTACAGCTTGTTTTCAGTAAGGGTGGAAGGAGAAAGAGAGGAAGTATCGATTTTACAGACATCACATCATACTGCTAAAAACAGACAGCAAACTTGTTGTAATAACCCGTACACACTGTAGGAGAACTAAGGAGACCCCTGGTGTAGCAATCATTTTCCCAAGGAAGACGGATTGTGAGGCAGGAAGGTGTGAAAAGAGGAAGTCATTTATATAATTTTGGGGTTTGTGCTGAGGAAACCTGAGTGAACTCACTTCAGATGCATTTGGAATATTTTAATAAAAAATACTTGATTTTGGCTGCTGCAGGAACTGCTGGAAGAAGGAAACAATCCTAGAATTGGCATAAAAACACACTGAGTCATTACTCCTCTTTGTTACTATTAGGCATCAGAGATACATGTTTTGTTGATTTTAGTTATAGAAATGAGACAAACTTGAATATGAACACATTGGCTTCCTTGTTGAAGGAGCTACCTCTTGGATACAATAGCTATTTCATGAAACTTCTTTAGAGAACAACATGATACTCCCAACAAAGCTATTTTAGAAACAAAAATTATGCTGGATTCTAATTAACTCCTAAAATGGTCATTTTCAATGAATATTGCAGTGATTTCTGAAAGAGAAACTGATCAGTATCTAATGCTTGTAGCAGTTTTACTTTGTATAGGTATGTCAAAATTGATAATTGATGATATTTTTATTGAGGCTAATATATTATCCTTTGGTGCCACGACTGGATGAAGAAACTTTTGGAAGGCTAAACTAGTGGATACAAGAAACTTAGGCAGATTATTACACCATATGGGTGTGAGAGATAATGAATATTATCTACTTGGTATCAGCAAACAGGTGTCCAAGGTGATCAATTCAGGACTCTTCCACTGAAGAGATGTGAAGTGTAAGTTTAACTGAAGTATCATTGCAATTGTGTGCCTTCTCAGTTATTGGGCAATTTAAAGAGCATGATGAATGTTTGTAGTATAATGGTGTAAATCCTTTTGATTTGTTGCATGAAAGACATGTGGGATCATGTAGCACCTGCTTTCACGTTGATTCTCAGGTGTATGAGTTTCTCCTCTGATTTTAGATCACTTTGTCCTCATCACTCAGCATATCCACGTTGATATTGACACGGTTTTATTTTAGTTTTTGGCATATAACAAATCATACCCTGTTTGAAATTATAAGAGTATTTTTCATGGAGCCTGTATTCCCTTTTCTCAGCGTATTTCTGTCATGTTCTAGTCCCCAGACACAAAGTAGAAGCCATCAAAGCCTATGCTAATACAGGCAGGAAGACAGAGGTTGATGCTAACACTGCGTGAATGTGTGGATAATTTTGTCATTTTTACATATGAGTGATTATGAATCCCTTTTACTTTTCAGTGTCTTTTGAGCAACCACCAGGCTTGAAGGTAATGAAACTGTCATTTATATTGTGAACTAGTAAATGTATAGTCTATGAAACATACTTTATTAATTTATTATTTCATTTCAAATTCCATTCAGGCTACAAGAGACGAGAAAGATTCTCTTTTGAATATAGCCAGAGGAAAAAAAGATGGAGAAAAAACTAGGAGAGGTAATTTTGAAAAGAGATTTAATGTCATGTTCAGTCCGGGTAGATAAGAAATTCTCTTCCCTGAATAAATCTGCGGGGGGCTCGTTGAAGCTGCACATTCTGATTCAGCAGTCCTGAGATTCTTCATTTCAAATAAGTTCGTGGGTGATAGTGTTGCTGCTGGTCTGGAACATGATCTTCGCAGTAAGGTTATACACTTCCCCACATTGAAATTGGGAAGAAGAAATATGGTGAGCAGTTCAAGGCATAAGGGGCTCTGGGGAACAACATAATTTTGCTTTAATTCTCCAGCTTGTTTTCAGTAAGGGTGGAAGGAGAAAGAGAGGAAGTATAGAATTTACACACTTCAGATCATACTGCCAAGAAAAGACAGAAAGCTTGTTGTAACAACCCGTAGACACTGTAGGAGAACTAAGGAGACCCCTGGTGTAGCAACTATTTTCCTAAAGAAGATGGATTGTGAGGCAGGAAGGCTGAAAAAGAGGAATTCTTTTATATAATTTTCTGGTTTCTTCTGAGGAAACCTGAGTGAACTCACTTCAGATGCATTTGGAATATTTTCATAAAAGTTATTTGATTTTGGCTGCTCCAGGAACTACTGGAAGCAGGAAACAATGGTGTAATTGGAATACACCACACTGACTCATTACTCCTCTTTGTTACTAGGAGGCATCAGAGATACATATTTTGTTGATTATAGTTATAAAAATGCGATAATCTTGAATATGAATAAATTTGCTTCCTTGTTCAAGGGGCTACCTCTTGGATGAAATAGCTATTTCATGAAACTTCTTTCGAGAATAACATGGTCCTCCCAAAAAGTCTATTTTAGAAACAAAAATGATGTTGAATTCTAACTAACTCCTAAAATTATAATTTTCAATGAATATTGCAGTGATTTCTGAATGAAAAACTGATTAATATCTAATGCTTGTAGCAGTTTTACTTTGAAGAAATATGTCATAGTTGATAATTGATGATATCTTTATTGAGGCTAATATATTATCCTTTGGTGCCAAGAGTGGATGAAGAAATTTTCAGAAGTCTAAACTAGTGGATACAAGAAACTTAGGCAAATTATTGCACCACGTGCGTGTGAGAGATAATGAATGTTATCTACTAGGTATCAGCAAGCAGATATCCAAGGTGATCAATTTAGGACACTTCCACTGAAGGGATGTGAAGTGTACGTTCAACTGAAATGTCGTCGTAATTCTGTGCCTTCTCAGTTATCGGGCAAATTAAAGAGCATGATGAATGTTTGTAGTATAATGGTGTAAATCCTTTTGATTTCTTACATGAAAGACATGTGGGATCATGTAGCACCTGCTTTGACATTGATTCTCACGTGTATGAGTTGCTCCTCTGATTTTAGATCACTTTGTCCTCATCACTCGGCATATCGACATTGATATTGACAGGGCTTTATTTTAGTTTTCGACATATGACAAATCATACCATGTTTGAAATTGTAAGGATATATTTCATGGAGCCTGTATTCCCTTTTTTCAGTGTATTTCTGTCATGTTCTTGTCCCCAGACACAAAGTAGAAGCCATCAAAGCCTACACTATTACAGGCAGGAGGACAGAGGTTGATGCTAACACTGTATGAATGTATGGATAACTTTATCATATTTATGTATGAGTGATTATGTATCCCTTTTGCTTTTCAGTGTCTTCTCATAAACAACCATCCTTGAAGGTAATTAAACTCTCTTTTGTATTTTGAACTATTAACTGTATAGTCTATGAAATATACTTTATTTATTGACTGTTCTGTTTCAAATTCCATTCAGGCTACAAGTGACAAGGAAGATTCTGTTCCGAATATGGCCACAGAAACAAAGGATGAACAAATATCTGGGACAGGTAATTTTGCAAACACATTTAATATGATGTTCGTTCAAGATAGAAGAGATCTTCTCTTCACCAAATAAAGCAGCGGGGGGTTCGTCAAATCTTCATGTTCTGATTTAGTATTCCTGAGATTATTCATTTGTAATAAGTTCTCGGGTGACCCTGATGCTGTGGTCCTTGTCCATGCTGAAAGTACTAAGATTTTAGATGTCTGTACTTTGAAATTGGGAAAAAGAACCATCTGACAGCAATTCAACACATAACAGGCTCAGGGGACAGCATCATTTTGCTTTAATTCTACAGCATGTTTCCATCAAGAGGGGAAAGAGAAAGAGATGAAATAATAGATATTAGAGGTGTCAGATTGTATTGGGATAAACAGAGGGAAAAGTGATCCTAATACCACAAAAACACTGTAGAATGACAAGTAACAAGACCAGTGATGTAGCAATTATTTTCCTCAAGGAATAGGGATTGTGAGTCAGGAAGGAGAGAAAAGAAGAAGTTATTTATGTAATTTGGGATTTCTGCTGAGGAAACCTCAGTGAACTCACTTCAATACATTTGGAACATTTGCATAAAAGAAGACTTGATTTTGGCAGCTCCAGGCACTACTGGAAGCAGGAAACTATGCTAGAATTGGGATAAACCACAGTGACTCATTACTCCTCTTTAGGAGTAATTTACTATTAGGCATCAGAGATACATGTTTTGTTGATTTTAGTTATAAAACTGAGATAAATGAATATGAATACATTGGCTTCAAAGTTCAAGGAGCTAAGTCTTGGATAAAATAGCTATTGAATGAAACTTCTTTAGAGAATAGCATGATACTCCAAAAAAGACTTTTTAGAAACAAAAATTATGTTGAATTCTAATTAACTCCTAAAGTGGTCCTTTCAATGAATATTTGATTGATTTCTGAATGTTAAACTTATTAATATCTAATGCTTGTAGCAGTTTTACTTTGTAGAAGTACGTCAACATTGGTAATTGATGATATTTTTATTGAGGCTAATATATTATCCTTTGGTGCCATGAGTGGATGAAGAAACTTTCAGAAGGCTAAATGAGTGGATACAAGAAACTTAGGCAAATTATTACACCACAGGGGTGTGAGAAATAATGAATATTAGCTACTAGGTTTCAGCAAACATAATCCAAGCTGATCAATTTAGGACACTTCCACTGAAGAGACGTGAAGTGTACGTTCAACTGAAGTGTCATTGTAATTGTGTGCCTTCTCAGTTATTGGGCAAGTTAAAGAGCATGATGAATGTTTGTACTATAATGGTGTAAATCCTTGTGATTTCTTGCATGAAAGACATGTGGCATCATGTAGAACCTGCTTTGACATTGATTCTCAATTGTATGAGTTGCTCCTCTGATTTTAGATCACATTTGTCCTCATCACTTGGCATATCCACATTGATATTGACACGGTTTTATTTTAGTTTTAGACATATGACAAATCATGCCATGTTTGAAATTGTAAGTATATTTTGTGAAGCCTGTATTCACCTTTTTCAGTGTATTTCTGTCATATTCCAGTCCCGAGTCACAAAGTAGAAAACATCAAAGCCTATACTAATACAGGCAGGAAGATACATCTTGATGCCAACAGTGCAGGAATGTATGGATAACTTTATCATATTTACATATGAGTGATTATGTATCCCTTTTGCTTTTCAGTGTCTTGTCAGAAACAACCAGCCTTGAAGGTAATTAAACTCTCATTTATATTGTGAACTATTAACTGTGTGGTCTATGAAACATAGTTTATGTATTGATTATTTTGTTTCAAATTCCATTCAGGCTACAAGTGACAAGAAAGATTCTGTTTCGAATATACCCACAGAAATAAAGGATGGACAACAATCTGGAACAGGTAATTTTGCAAAACACATTTAATGTCATGTTCAGTCCAGATAGAAAAGTACTTCTCTTCCCCGAACAAATCAGTGTGGGGCTCATCAAAACTGCACATTCTGATTCAGCAGGCCTGACATTCTTCATTTTTAATAAGTTCTTGGGTGACGCTGATGCTGCTGGTCTTGGACATGATCTTTGCAGTAAGATTATATAGACTTCCCCACATTGAAATTGGGAAGAAGAAATATGGAGAGCAGTTCAAGACATAAGGGGCTCAGGGGAACAGCATAATTTTGCTTTAATTCTACAGCATGTTTTCAATAAGGGTAGAAGGAGAAAGACATGAAGTATATATTTTACAGATGTCACATCATACTGCTATAAAAAAGACAGAATAGTGATCCTAATAACCTGTAGACACTGTAGAATGAGAACTAAGGAGACCACTGATATAGCAATGATTTTTCCCAAGGAAGAGGGATTGTGAGGCAGGAAGGAGGGAAAAGAAGAAGTTATTTATGTAATTTTGGGGTTTCTGCTGAGGAAACCTGAGTGGACTCACTTCAGAGGCATTTAGCATATTTGCATAAAGAAGATTTGATTTTGGCAGCTGCTGGAACTACTGGGTGCAGGAGATAATGCTAGAATTGGGATAAACTTCATTTACTAATTACTCTTCTTTGTTACTGTTAGGTATCAGACTTACACGTTTTGTTGATTTTAGTTATAGAAATTAGATAAACTTGAATATGAATACATTGGCTTCATTGATCAAAGAGCTGACTCTTGGATAAAATAGGTATTTAATGAATATTCTTTAGAGAATAGCATGATACTCCTAACAAGACTATTTTAGAAACAAAAATAATGTTGAATTCAACAACTGACTCCTAAAATGGTAATTTTCAATGAATATTGGAGTGATTTCCAAGTGTAAAAGCTTATTAATATCCAATACTTGTAGCAGTTTTATTTAGTAGAATTATGTCAAAATTGATAATTGATGATGCTTTTTATTGAGGTTATATATTATACTTTGTTGCCACGAGTGGATGAAGAAATGTTCAAAAGGCTAAACTAGAGAATACAAGAAGCTTAGGCAAATTATTACAGCACATGGGTGTGAGAAATAATGAATTATTTACTTGGATTCAGGAAACATACATCCACGTTGATCGATTTAGGTCCCTTCCACTTAAGAGATGTGAAGTGTACGTTCAAGTGAAGTGTCATTGTAATTGTGTACCTTCTCAGTTATTGGGCAAGTTAAAGAGCATGTTGAATGTTTGCAGTATAATGGTTTAATCATTCGGATATCTTGCATGAAAGTCATGCGGGTGCATGTACCACCTGCTTTGACATTGATTCCCAGGTGATTAGTTTCTTCTGTGATTTTAGACCACATTTGTCCTCATCACTCGGCATATCCTTATTGAAATTGACACTTTTATTTTAGTTTTAGTCATATGACAAATCATACTACGTTTGAAATGCTTAGTGTATATTTCTTGAAACCTGTATTCCTGTTTTCTTCAGTGTATTTCTGTCATGTTCCCATCCCAAAACACAAAGTATAAAGCATCAAAGCCTACACTAATAACTGCAGACAGATGCAGCTTGATGCTAACACTGCATGAATGTTTGAATAACTTTATCATATGCACATATGAGTGATTATGTATCTGTTTTGCTTTTCAGTGTCTTCTCAGAAACAACCGGCCTGGAAGGTAATTAAACACTCATATATATTTTGAACTATTAACTGTATAGTCTATGAATATATACTTTATGTATTGATTATTTTGTTTCAAATCCCATTCAGGCTACAAGTGTCAAGAAAGATTCTGTTTCGAATATAGCCACAGAAATAAAGGATGGACAAATACGTGGGACAGGTATTTTGGAATACACCTTTAATGTAATGTTCGATCAAATAGAAGAGAAATTCACTTCCCCAAATAAATCAGCGGGGGTTTCATTGAAGCTTTATGTTTGGATTCAGCATGCCTGAGATTCTTCATTTGTAATAAGTCCTCGGGTGACCCTGATGGTGCTGGTCCTTGACCATGATCTGAGTAGTAAGATTGTAGACTTCCCTACATTGAAATTAGGAAGAATAACCATAGGAGAGTGGTTTAGCACATAACAGCCTCAGGGGACAGCATCATTTTGCTTTAATTCTACAGCAAGTTTCCATCAAGAGGGGAAGGAGAAAGAGATGAAGTAATAGATATTATAGGCGTCAGATTATATTGTTATAAACAGAGGGAAACGTCATCCTAATACCTCAAAAACAGCATAGAATGAGAACGAACAAGATCACTGAAGTAGCAATTATTTTCCACAAGGAAGAGGGATTGTGAGGCAGGAAGGAGAGAAAAGAAGAAGTTATTTATGTAATTTTGGGGTTTCTGTTGAGGAAAGCTGAGTGAACTCACTTCAGATAAATTTGGAATATTTGCATAAAAGAACACTAAATTTTGGCTTCTCCAAGAACTACTGGAAGCAGGAAACAATGCTAGAATTGGGATAAAGCACACTGACTCATTACTCTTCTTTGCTACTATTAGGCATCAGAGATACATGTTTTGTTGATTTTAGTTATAAAAATGAGATAAACTTGAATATGAATACATTGGCTTCGTTGTTCAAGGAGCTAACTCTTGGGTAAAATAGCTATTGGATGAAACTTCTTTAGAGAATAGCATGATACTCCCAACAAGACTATTTTAGAAACAAAAAGTATGTGGAATTCTAATTAACTCCTAAAGTGGTCATTTTCAATGAATATTGGAGTGATTTGTGAATGTAAAACATATTAATATCTAACGCTTGTAGCAGTTTTACTTTGTAGAAGTATGTCAAAATTGATAATTGATGATATTTTTATTGAGGCTAATATATTATCCTTTGGTGCCATGAATGGATGAAGAAACTTTTGGAAAGCTAAACGAGTGGATACAAGAAACTTAGGCAAATTATTACACCACGTGGGTTTGAGGAATAATAAATATTATCTACTCAGTTTCAGCAAACAGATATCCAAGGTGATCAATTTAGGACACTTCTACTGAAGAGACGTGAAGTGTACATTCAACTGAAGTGTCATTGTAATTGTGTACCTTCTCTGTTATCGGGCAAGTTAAAGAGCATGATGAATGTCTGTAGTATAATGGTGTAAATCCTTTTGATTTCTTGCATGAAAGACCTGTGGGATCAAGTACCACCTACTTTGACATTGATTCTCAGGTGTATGAGTTGATCCTCTGATTTTAGATCACATTTGTCCTCATCACTCAGCATATCCACGTTGATATTGACACGGTTTTATTTTAGTTTTAGACATATGACAAATCATACCATGCTTGAAATTGTAAGTATATTTTTCATGAAGGCTGTATTACTTTTTTTCAGTGTATTTCTGTCATGTTCCAATCCCCAGACACAAAGTAGGAAACATCAAATCCTACCCTAGTACAGGCAGAAGGATACAGCTTGATGCTAACACTGCATGAATGTATGAATAACTTTATCATACGTGCATGTGGGTGATTATGTATCCCTTTTGCTTTTCAGTGTCTTCTCAGAGACGACCAGCCTTGAAGGTAATTAAACTCTTATTTATATTGTGAACTAGTAATTGTATAGTCTATGAAACATACTTTATTTATTTATTATTTTGTTTCAAATTCCATTCAGACTACAGGTGATGAGAAAGATTCTGTTTCGAATATAGCCAGAGAAATAAAGGATGGAGAAAAATCTGGGACAGGTAATTTTACAAAACACATTTAATGTCATGTTCAGTCCAGATAGAAAAGAACTTCTCTTCCCCAAATAAATCAGCGGGGGGGTTCGTCGCAGCTGCACATTCCGATTCTGCAGACCTGAGATTCTTCATTTGTAATAAGTTCTCGGGTGACGCTGATGCTGCTGGTCTTGGACGTGATCTTCGAAGTAAGATTATAGACTTCCCCACATTGAAATTGGGAAGAAGAAACATTGGAGACCATGTCAAGACATAAGGGGCTCAGGGGACAGCATAATTTTGCTTTAATTCTACAGCATGTTTTCACCAAGGGTGGTAGGAGATAGAGATGAAGTATAGATTTTACAGATATCACATCGCGTTCCTAAAAACAGATGGAAAAGTGATCACAATAACCCATAAACACTGTAGAATGAGAACTAACGAGACCGCTGATGTAGCAATTACTTTCCTCAAGGAAGAGGGATTGTCAGGCAGAAAGGAGGGAAAATAAGAAGTTATTTAGGTAATTTTGTTGTTTCTTCTGAGGAAACTTGTGTTCAGATGCATATTCGAATATTTTCCTAAAAGAAGATTTGATTTTGACTGCTTTAGGAACCAGTGGAAGCAGGAAGGACTCCTAGAATTGGGATAAACCACAGTGACTCATTGCTCCTCTTTGTTACTCTTGGGTGTCAGAGATATATGTTTTGTTGATATTAGTTATTCAAATGAAATAAACATGAATATGCATATATTGGCTTTTCAATTAGCTAACTTTGGATAAAATAGCAATTTAATGAAAATGCTTTAGAGAGTAACATGATACTTCAAACCAGACTATTTTAGAAACAAAATTAATTTGAATTCATTAATTGACTTTTAAAATTGTTATTTTCAATGAATATTGTAGTGATTTCCAAATGTAAAAGGTTATTCATATCTAATGCTTGTAGCAACTTTATTTTGTATAAGTTTGTCATTTGATCATTTATTATACTTTTTGATATGGTTTATATATTATACTTTGTTGCCATGAGTGGATGAAGAACCTTTCTGTAGCCTAAACTAGAGGACACAACAAATGTAGGCACATTATTACACCACATGGGTTTGAGAAATAAAGAATATTGTATACAGGATTATCCCAACCTATATCCAAGCTGATGAAGCTGCGACACTTCCACTGAGGACTTGTGAAGTGTACATTCTATTAAAGTGTCATTGTCATTGTGTACCTGCTCAATTACCAGGCAAGTTAAAGAGCATGATGAATACTTGCAGTACAGTGGTATAAATCCTTCTGATGTCTTGCATGAAAAACATGCAGTAGCATTTAGTACCTTCTTTGACATTGGTTCCTGGGTGTATGAGTTGCTCCTCTGATTTTAGATCACATTTCTTTTCATCATTCAGCATATCCACATTGATATTGACACTTTTTATTTCAGTAATACACACATGACGCAAAATACCTCTTTGTAATTTCTGACTGAATATTTTCTGGAAGCGTGTATTCCTATTTTCTTCAGCATATTTCCTCATGTTCCTGTCCCAAAGACACAAACTGTAAAACATCAAATCCTACACTAGTACAGGCAGGAGGATACAGCTTGATGCTAACACTGCATGAATGTGTGGATAACTTTATCATATTTACATATGATGGATTATATATTTCTTTTACTTTTCAGTGTCTCCTCAGAAACAATCGGCCCAGAAGGTAGTTACTCTTTCATTTATATTTTGAATTATTTATTGCATAGCCTATGAAATATATATTATGTATTGACTATTTTGTTTCTCTTTCCATTCAGGTTATATTTAAAAAGAAAGTTTCTCTTTTGAATATTGCCACAAGAATAACGGGCGGTGGGAAATCTGGAACAGGTAATTTGGCAATATACATTTAATGTCATGTGCACTCAAGATAGAAGACAACGTCCCACCCCTGAATAGATCAGCAGGGGGCTCATTGAAAATGCACTTTCTGATTCAGCAGGCCTGAGATTGTGCATTTCTACTGAGTTGTCAGGTGTTGTTGATGCTGCTGGTCCTTGGCCATGATCTTAGTAACAAGCTTATAGACTTCCCTACATTGAAATTGTGTAGAAGAACCGTTGGAAAACAGTTCAAGACATAAGAGATAAGAGGATCCGGGGACAGCATAATTTTGCTCTTATTTCAGAGCATGTTTCTATGGAAAGGGGAAGGAGAAAGAGAAAAAAGTAATAGAAATTATAGATGTCAGATGGTACTGCTTAAACCAGAGGGAGGAAGTTGTCATAATAACCCATAAACACTGGAGAATGAGGAGCAAGGTGACCACTGATGTAGTAATTATTTTCATCAAGAGAGGGATTGCAAGGCAAGAAAGAGGGGAAGGAAGAAGTTATTTAGGTAATTTTGGGGTTTCTGCTGAGGAAGCCTGAGTGAACTCACTTCACATGCATTTAGAATATTTGCATACCAGAAGATCTGATTTCTGGCTGCTCCAATGACTACTGTAATCAGGAAGGAGTGCTAGAATTGGGATAAATCACAGTGCCTCATTATTCATGTTTATTAGTATCAGACATCAGACATATATTCTTTATTAGTTATTCAAATGAGTTGAAATTTAATATGAATATTTAGTTTTTTCCAAAGTGCTGGCTGTCTTGTTAAAATAGCTATTTAATGAAAATTCTTTATAGTAAAGTGATATTCCAGAGCAGACTAATTTTACAGACAAAAATAATGTTGAATGCATTAATTGAATCTTAAAGTGATTATTTTCAATGAATATTGGACTGATTTCCAAATGTGTAAGTTTATTAATATCTAATGCCTGGAGCAATTCCATTTTGTATAAATATGTATAATTTATTATACTTTTCGATGGGGTTTATATATTAGACCTTCTTGCCATTAGTGGATGAAGAAACTTTCTGAAGGCTAAACTAGAGGATATAAGAAATGTAGGCAGACTATTACACCACATGGGCATGATAAATAATGAATATTAACTACTAGGATTCACCAAACATATATCCAAGCAGATCAATTCAGGACACTTACACTGAAGATACGTGAAGTGTACGTTCAACTGAAGTGTCATTGTAATTGTGTACCTTCTCAGTTATCAGACAAGCTAAAGAGCATGATGAATGTTTATGTTATACTGGTATAAAGCCTTCTGATGTCTTGTATGAAAGTCATGTAGTCGCAGTTAGCACCAGCTTTTACACTTATTTCTAGGGTTATGACTTGCTCCTCTGATTTTAGATCACATTTCTCCTTGTTAATCAGTATATCCACATTGATATTAACACTTTTTTTTAGCAATAGATGTGGTGCATAATCTCACTTTTTAACTTGTAACTGTATGTTTTTGAAGCTTGTATTCCTATTTTCTTTATTGCATTTCTATCATGTTACTGTCCCAAAGAAACAAACTAGAAAAACATGAAACCCTACACTAATACAGGCAAGAGTATTCAGTTTGATGCTAACACTCCACGAATGTATGGTTGGCCTTACCATATTTACATATGATTATATATTTCTCTTGCTTGTTAGAGTATCCTGAGAATCTGCGCACCTTGAAGGTAATTACTCTTACATTTATATTTTTAATTATTAACTGCATAACCTATACCAATATACATCATGTGCTAATCACTTTGTTTTAAAACCCATTCAGGCTACAATTGAAAATAAAGATTCTGTTCTGAATACAGCCACCAAAATGAAGGAGGTACAAACATCCACACCAGGTAAACTTTGCATTGTAGATTTAACTCTGGAAAGAAGTACATTAATCTGTTTGTAATGCTCATAGTCTTTCTATTCTCAATTATTTCACTTTTTATATTTTATTTCAGGATTTCATCTAAATAATGCAGCTGTTATCATTTTTATTTATATTTTCAAAAATGAGATTTACATGCATAAGGAAAATACATTTTTAAAACATAAGGTTTTTTTTTTTGTTTTGTTTTTTGTTTTTGGAGACAGAGCTTTGCTCTTGTTGCCCAGGCTGGAGTGCAATGGCTCAATTGTAGCTCACCACAACCTCCACCTTCCTGGTTCAAGCAATTCTCCTGCCTCAGCCTCCCGAGTAGCTGGGATTACAGGTATGCCCCACCATGCCCGGCTAATTTTGTATTTTTAGTAGAGACAGGCTTTCTCCATGTTGGTCAGGCTGGTCTTGAGCTCTCGACCTCAGGTGATCCTCCCGCCTCGCCCTCCCAAAGTGCTGGGATTACAGGTGTGAACCACCATGCCTGGCCTAAAAATATAAGGTTTTATTCAGATGTTTCTACTTTTACATTTTGATACTCTGAAGTTTCCAATTTGGAATTCAATAGTTTTTAGCGAATTAAAGAGATCAATTTTGATACTGTAAAATATTTGTTTTGCTTTAAAAGTCAATTAAAATTATGGCTTTTAGCTAATGAAATGTTTTATTTTGTAACATATTTTGTTTTAACTTTTATTGGTTCTGGTCAATTTTGTTACACTTATTATATTAAGCCAATCGGATGTTCTGATTAGCACACTGTGTGTGTGTGTGTGTGTGTGTGTGTTTTATTTTTTTGTTTTTAATTTTAATGAGTAAATTGTAGGTGTTTATGTTTATGGAGTAGATGAGATAGTTTGATACAGGCATACAATGTGTAATAATGACATCATGGTTAATGGGTTATCCATCACCTCAAGCATTAACCATTTCTTTGTGCTATCTTTTCATTTGTACTTCCTCAGTAATCCTAAAATGTACAACAAGTTATTTCTGACTGTAGTCATGTTTTTGTGCTATAAAATGCTACATTTTATTCATTGTTTCTAACTATAGTTTGTACTTATTAAGCATCCTCTTTTCCTACCACCCCCACACCCTTCCTAGACTGTGGTAATGGTGATTTTTCTCTTCATCTCCATGAGCTCTATTTTTTAAATTTCTCACACCCACAAAGGACTGACAACATGTGAAGGCTTCCTTTCTTTGCCTGGATTATTTTACTTGACATAATGTCCTCCTGTTCCATCCATGTCATTGCGAATGAGAGGATCTTATTCTTTCACATGGCTGAGCCGTATATGTATCACATTTTTAGAACCCATTTTTCTGTTGATGTACATTTAGGTTGATTCCAAATCATGGCTATTGTGAAAAGTGCTGCAATAAACATGTCAGGACAGATTTCTCTTTTATAATACTGATTTTCTTGCTTTTGAATCGTTACCTAGCAATGGGATTGCTGGATCATGTGGGTAGCTGTATTTTTAATTTTTTGAGGACTCTATAGTGTTCTCCATAGTGACTGTACTAATTCACAATGCCACCAATGGTGTACGAGGGTTCTGCTTTCTCCACATCCTCACCAGCATTTCTTAATGCCTGCCATTTGGATAAAAGCCATTTTAACTGAGGTGAGATGATACCTCATTGTAGCTTTGATTTGCATTTCTGTGATGATCAGTGATGTCGAGCACCTTTCCGTATACCTGTTTGCCATCTGATAGCAGTTTGAAACATAACAGTGTCATTTTGCTACTATTTCTGAGCATGTTTCTAGCCAGAGGGAAAGGAACACAAATTTAGGAAATAGAAATTATACATGTAAGGTACTACTGCTAAATTAAGAGGCTTTCCTCTTCATTTGTGGTGGGAATAATTTATAAGAGCTATATAGAAGTGTTGATATTAGTTAATCAAATGAAATTTATTTGAACTAAGAAACTTTGACTGATTTTACTAAGAAACCTATTTTTTTAATAAGATCACAGTTCCATGAAAGTGCCTTAGAGATTAGCATGGTATATCAAATCGAACTAATTTTAGAAACAAAAAGTTATAGCATTCATTCTTTGAATAACAAAACCAAAATAATCAGTGAACGTTGTACTGATTTTGAAGTATAAAATGTTATTAATGTCTGTGGAAATTTAATTTTTTCATTTTTGACAATTATTTACATATTGAAAGCTTATTATACACTTTTTTTTTTTTTTTTGAGATGGAGTCTCGCTCTGTCTCCCAGCCTGGAGTGCAATGGCACAATCTCGGCTCATTGCAACCTCTACCTCCCGGGTTAAAGCGATTCTCCTGCCTCAGCCTCCTGAGTAGCTGGGATTACAGGCACATGACACCATGCCTGGCTAATTTTTGTATTTTGAGTAGAGATGGGGTTTCACCATGTTAGTCAGGCTGGTCTCGACCTCCTGACCTTGTAATCCACCCACTTCAGCCTCCCAAAGTGCTGTGATTACAGGCGTGAGCCACCACACCCAGCCTATACACTATTTTTGATGTGGTTTACATATCTTCTTGCATGAGTGGATTCAGAAAGTTCTTGACAGGGCCAAACTGCAGGATACAAGCAATGTAGACATAGCAGTAGCCTACCTAGGAATGAAAAAAATGAATAGTTTTATTAATTTTTATTCTACAACTGTCTATCTAAGCTGATTAATTTTAAACAGTTTCTCTGATGAGAAATAAATTGTATATTTATTGGAAGTGTCCTCACAACTTTGTACTTCCTAAATAATAGGAAAAATAGTTGGACATGATAAATGCTTGTAGTATAATGGTGTAATTGAATCTGAAGTATTGCATTAAAGATAGGCCATAGCATCCTCCCATCAGCTTTGACACTTACTGTCTTAGGATCATGATTTGCTATTCTTTATAAGGATCATTTTTCTCATTATCAGTCAACATGTTTACATTGAAATAGATACACTCTTCTATTTCAGTTATAGTTAGTTGAGACATAATCTCACTTTTGAAACCTTAACTACATATGTTATAAAACCTGTATTAAATAAAATCATTTATCTGAGGAAAGATAGCCGGAATCAAGGAAGACTTCACATAGCTGTCTGAGTCTTAAATTATGAAAGAAATCTGTCAGAATAGTTGAGGAAAATATTTTAGATATAAAGAAGAGACTGTACATTGATGAAAGTGTAAACAGTAGCAGTCATTTTGGAAATGATTAATAATGAACAGCAGGCTCAATGTGCTGTTCTAAAGGTACTATTGTGAAGTAAAGAACAGTGTGCTGTTACTTTTTCTGTTTCTATTGGATTTTTACATTTTGTCTTATTTCTGATGGTTTTGTTCATTGATGTTGGGTGGATGAATTTGTGAGTGAATCTTTGACCACGTTTGCATGGCTTGAACCTGGTGACATCTAGTGCCTCCCCAAGTGGTTTGCTGAAGTTTTGGAGGATTAAAAGCCTTTCTTAAAGAAGTACATATTATACTAAAGATTAAGCTTCGTTGAAACACTTTTATTTTCTGGTTTTAGAAAGAATATGGCTTTTTTTTTTTTTTTTTGAGACACAGTCTCGCTCTGCCACCCAGGCTGGAGGTGCAGTGGTGAGATCTTCAGCTCACTGCAAGCTCCACCTCCCGGGCTGACGCCATTCTCCTGCCCCAGCCTCCCGACTAGCTGGGACTACAGGCACCTGCCACCACGCCCAGTTAATTTTTTGTATTTTTTAGTAGAGACGAGGTTTCACCTTGTTAGCCAGGATGGTCTCTATCTCCTGACCTCGTGATCCACCCGCCTCAGCCTCCCAAAGTGCTGGGATTACAGGCGTGAGCCACCGCTGACCATGGCTTTTATCTAACTGTTCTGTGTAGCTCATTTTAACTAAATATATAATTTTTTTAGCAGAACAAGACTTAGAAATGGCATCAGAGGGAGAGCAAAAGAGGCTTGAAGAATATGAAAATAACCAGCCACAGGTATGTAAAAATTTAAAATCAAATTTCTGGTTTAATCTTGTTTTCCTAGCTTTGGTAATACAGCATATTTGAAATGAATTTACCTTTGGATTTGCCTTTTAGTATCAGTTGATTATAATTTAATATTTCATTTTAAAAACATTTAGTTATAAAACTTAAAATAGTGTTGGAATCTATAGCAACTTGTATCTAATCTTTACTCTTGGAATTGAGTTAAAAAGTTCCTGATATTGTTTGCACTTCTATTTTTATAACTTCCTATTATAATAAAGAAGGTAACATCAAATATTGAATTACAATTTTAAGCAATAGAAATTATGAACAATTTAACAGTGATGACCACCGTACTGGATTCAGATTAAAGGAGTAATTATTGCTAGTGGTTCAAACTTTGCAGTTTTTTTATTGCCAGTCACTAATACCAAGGTTAAGAATTTATTTTCCCTTTTGATCTCTGACTTCAGTTTCTATGTTGAGGGAGAGAATGGGTCATAAAATCAACCCAACTGGCTATCAAGAGAATTATACCTTGCAAAATGGCACCTTTGGTATTAGTGTACAAACAATAACTGCCTAATGAATTTCAATATAGAAAATCTCTAAATATTGTTAAATTTATTAAATCCACTGTCATTAGTAGACCTTAGAACTTAAGCCTATAATCTATATAAATATATAACACTGTCAATCATATTACAATATGTAATTTGCATTAAAATGTAAGAATTTGCTTTTCTTTTTTTATTTTATTATTATTGTACTTTAAATTTTAGGGAACATGTGCACAATGTGCAGGTTAGTTACATATGTATATATGTGCCATGCTGGTACGCTGCACCCATTAACTCGTCATTTAGCATTAGGTATACCTCCTAATGCTATCCCTCCCCCCTCCCCCCACCCCACAACAGTCCCCAGAGTGTGATGTTCCCCTTCCTGTGTCCACGTGTTCTCGTTGTTCAATTCCCACCTATGAGTGAGAGCATGCAGTGTTTGGTTTTTTGTCCTTGCGATAGTTTACTGAGAATGATGATTTCCAATTTCATCCATGTCCCTACAAAGGACATGAACTCATCATTTTTTATGGCTGCATAGTATTCCATGGTGTATATGTGCCACATTTTCTTAATCCAGGCTATCATTGTTGGACATTTGGGTTGGTTCCAAGTCTTTGCTATTGTGAATAGTGCCACAATAAACATACGTGTGCATGTGTCTTTATAGCAGCATGATTTATAGTCCTTTGGGTATATACCCAGTAATGGGATGGCAGGGTCAAATGGTATTTCTAGTTCTAGATCCCTGAGGAATCACCACACTGACTTCCACAATGGTTGAACTAGTTTACAGTCCCACCAACAGTGTAAAAGTGTTGCTATTTCTCCACATCCTCTCCAGCATCTGTTGTTTCCTGACTTTTTAATGATTGCCATCCTAACTGGTGTGGGATGGTATCTCATTGTGGTTTTGATTTGCATTTCTCTGATGGCCAGTGATGATGAGCATTTTTTCATGTGTTTTTTGGCTGCATAAATGTCTTCTTTTGAGAAGTGTCTGTTGATATCCTTTGCCCACTTTTTGATGGGGTTGTTTGTTTTTTTCTTGTAAATTTGTTTGAGTTCTTTGTAGATTCTGGATATTAGCCCTTTGTCAGATGAGTAGGTTGTGAAAATTTTCTCCCATTTTGTAGGTTGCCTGTTCACTCTGATGGTAGTTTCTTTTGCTGTGCAGAAGCTCTTTAGCTTAATTAGATCCCATCTGTCAATTTTGGCTTTTGTTGCCATTGCTTTTGGTGTTTTAGACATGAAGTCCTTGCCCATGCCTATGTCCTGAATGGTAATGCCTAGGTTTTCTTCTAGGGTTTTTATGGTTTTAGGTCTAACGTTTAAGCCTTTAATCCATCTTGAATTAATTTTTGTATAAGGTGTAAGGAAGGGATCCAGTTGCAGCGTTCTACATATGGCTAGCCAGTTTTCCCAGCACCATTTATTAAATAGGGAATCCTTTCCCCGTTGCTTGTTTTTCTCAGGGTTGTCAAAGATCAGATAGTTGTAGATATGTGGCATTATTTCTGATGGCTCTGTTCTGTTCCATTGGTCTATATCTCTGTTTTGGTACCAGTACCATGCTGTTTTGGTTACTGTAGCCTTGTAGTATAGTTTGAAGTCAGGTAGTGTGATGCCTCCAGCTTTGTTCTTTTGGCTTAGGATTGATGTGGTGATGCGGGCTCTTTTTTGGTTCCATATGAACTTTAAAGTAGTTTTTTCCAATTCAGTGAAGAAAGTCATTGGGAGCTTGATGGGGATGGCACTGATTCTATAAATTACCTCGGGCAGTATGGCCATTTTAACGATACTGATTCTTCCTACCCATGAGCATGGAATGTTCTTCCATTTGTTTGTATCCTCTTTTATTTCCTTGAGCAGTGATTTGTAGTTCTCCTTGAAGAGGTCCTTCACGTCCCTTGTAAGTTGGATTCCTAGGTATTTTATTCTCTTTGAAGCAATTGTGAATGGGAATTCACTCATGATTTGGCTCTCTGTTTGTCTGTTATTGTTGTATAAGAATGCTTGTGATTTTTGTACATTGATTTTGTATCCTGAGACTTTGCTGAAGTTGCTGATCAGCTTAAGGAGATTTTGGGCTGAGACAATGGGGTTTTCTAGATATACAATCATGTCGTCTGCAAACAGGGACATTTTGACTTCCTCTTTTCCTAATTGAATACCCTTTATTTCCTTCTCCTGCCTAATGGGCCTGGCCAGAACTTCCAACACTATGTTGAATAGGAGTGGTGAGAGAGGGCATCCCTGTCTTGTGCCAGTTTTCAAAGGGAATGCTTCCAGTTTTTGCCCATTCAGTATGATATTGGCTGTGGGTTTGTCATAGATAGCTCTTATTATTTTGAGATACGTCCCATCAATACCTAATTTATTGAGAGTTTTTAGCATGAAGGGTTGTTGAATTTTATCAAAGGCCTTTTCTGCATCTATTGAGATAATCATGTGGTTTTTGTCTTTGGTTCTGTTTATAAGCTGGATTACATTTATTGATTTGCGTATATTGAACCAGCCTTGCATCCCAGGGATGAAGCCCACTTGATCATGGTGGATAAGCTTTTTGATGTGCTGCTGGATTCGGTTTGCCAGTATTTTATTGAGGATTTTTGCATCAATGTTCACTAAGGATATTGGTCTAAAATTCTCTTTTTTGGTTGTGTCTCTGCCCAGCTTTGGTATCAGGATGATGCTGGCCTCATAAAATGAGTTAGGGAGGATTCCCTCTTTTCTATTGATTGGAATAGTTTCAGAAGGAATGGTACCAGTTCCTCCTTGTACCTCTGGTAGAATGCGACTGTGAATCCATCTGGTCCTGGACTCTTTTTGGTTGGTAAGCTATTGATTATTGCCACAATTTCAGAGCCTGTTATTGGTCTATTCAGAGATTCAACTTCTTCCTGGTTTAGTCTTGGGAGGGTGTATGTGTCCAGGAATTTATCCATTTCTTCTAGATTTTCTAGTTTATTTGCATAGAGGTGTTTGTAGTATTCTCTGATGGTAGTTTGTATTTCTGTGGGATTGGTGGTGATACCCCCTTTATCATTTTGTATTGCATCTATTTGATTCTTCTCTCTTTTCTTCTTTATTAGTCTTGCTAGCGGTCTATCAATTTTGTTGATCCTTTCAAAAAACCGGCTCCTGGATTCATTAATTTTTTGAAGGGTTTTTTGTGTCTCTATTTCCTTCAGTTCTGCTCTGATTTTAGTTATTTCTTGCCTTCTGCTAGCTTTTGAATGTGTTTGCTCTTGCTTTTCTAGTTCTTTTAATTGTGATGTTAGGGTGTCAATTTTGGATCTTTCCTGCTTTCTCTTGTGGGCATTTAGTGCTATAAATTTCCCACTGTACACTGCTTTGAATGTGTCCCAGAGATTCTGGTATGTTGTGTCTTTGTTCTCGTTGGTTTCAAAGAACATCTTTATTTCTGCCTTCATTTCGTTATGTACCCAGTAGTCATTCAGGAGCAGGTTGTTCAGTTTCCATGTAGTTGAGCGGTTTTTAGTGAGTTTCTTAATCCTGAGTTCTAGTTTGATTGCACTGTGGTCTGACAGACAGTTTGTTATACTTTCTGTACTTTTACATTTGCTGAGGAGAGCTTTACTTCCAACTATGTGGTCAATTTTGGAATAGGTGTGGTGTGGTGCTGAAAAAAATGTATATTCTGTTGATTTGGGGTGGAGAGTTCTGTAGATGTCTATTAGGTCCACTTGGTGCAGAGTTGAGTTCAATTTCTGGGTCTCCTTGTTAACTTTGTGTCTCGTTGATCTGTCTAATGTTGACAGTGGGATGTTAAAGTCTCCCATTATTATTGTGTGGGAGTCTAAGTCTCTTTGTAGGTCACTCAGGACTTGCCTTATGAATCTGGGTGCTCCTGTATTGGGTGCATATATATTTAGGATAGTTAGCTCTTCTTTTTGAATTGATCCCTTTACCATTATGTAATGGCCTTCTTTGTCTCTTTGATCTTTGTTGGTTTAAAGTCTGTTTTATCAGAGATAGGATTGCAACCCCTGCCTTTTTTTGTTTTCCATTTGCTTGGTAGATCTTCCTCCATCCTTTTATTTTGAACCTATGTGTGTCTCTGCATGTGAGATGGGTTTCCTGAATACAGCACACTGATGGGTCTTGACTCTTTATCCAATTTGCCAGTCTGTGTCTTTTAATTGGAGCATTTAGTCCATTTACATTTAAAGTTAATATTGTTATGTGTGAATTTCATCCTGGCATTATGATGTTAGCTAGTTATTTTGCTCGTTAGTTAATGCAGTTTCTTCCTAGTCTCGATGGTCTTTATATTTTGTCATGATTTTGCAGTGGCTGGTACCGGTTGTTCCTTTCCATGTTTAGTGCTTTCTTCAGGAGCTCTTTTAGGGCAGGCCTCATGGTGACAAAATCTCTCATCATTTGCTTGTCTATAAAGTATTTTATTTCTCCTTCACTTATGAAGCTTAGTTTGGCTGGGTACAAAATTCTGGGTTGAAAATTCTTTTCTTTAAGAATGTTGAATATTGGCCCCCACTCTCTTCTGGTTTGTAGAGTTTCTGCCGAGAGATCCACTGTTAGTCTGATGGGCTTCCCTTTGTGGGTAACCCGACCTTTCTCTCTGGTTGCCCTTAACATTTTTTCCTTCATTTCAACTTTGGTGAATCTGACAATTATGTGTCTTGGAGTTGCTCTTCTCGAGGGGTATCTTTGTGGCGTTGTCTGTATTTCCTGAATCTGAATGTTGGCCTGCCTTGCTAGATTGGGGAAGTTCTCCTGGATAATATCCTGAAGAGTGTTTTCCAACTTGGTTCCATTCTCCCCGTGACTTTCAGGTACACCAATCAGATGTAGATTTGGTCTTTTCACATAGTCCCATATTTTTTGGAGACTTTGTTCATTTCTTTTTATTCTTTCTTCTCTCAACTTCCCTTCTCGCTTCATTTCATTCATTTCATGTTCCATCACTGATACCCTTTCTTCCAGTTGATCGCATCGGCCTCTGAGGCTTCTGCATTCTTCACGTAGTTCTCGAGCCTCCGCTTTCAGCTCCATCAGCTCCTTTAAGCACTTCTCTGTATTGGTTATTCTAGGTATACATTCATCTAAATTTTTTTCAAAGTTTTTAACTTCTTTGCCTTTGGTTTGAATTTCCTCCTGTAGCTCAGAGTAGTTTGATCATCTGAAGCCTTCTTCTCTCAACTTGTCAAAGTCATTCTCCGTCCAGCTTTGTTCCATTGCTGGTGAGGAACTGTGTTCCTTTGGAAGAGGAGAGGCACTCTGCTTTTTAGAGTTTCCAGTTTTTCTGCTCTGTTTTTTCCCCATCTTTGTGGTTTTATCTACTTGTGGTCTTTGATGATGGTGATGTACAGATGGGTTTTTGGTGTGGATGTCCTTTCTGTTTGTTAGTTTTCCTTCTACCAGACAGGACCCTCAGCTGCAGGTCTGTTGGAGTTTGCTAGAGGTCCACTCCAGACCCTGTCTGCCTGGGTATCAGCAGCGGTGGCTGCAGAACAGTGGATTTTCATGAACAGCGAATGCTGCTGTGTGATCTTTCCTCTGGGAGTTTTGTCTCAGAGGAGTACCCAGCCATGTGAGGTTCAGTCTGCCCCTACTGGGGGGTGCCTCCCAGTTAGGCTGCTTGGGGTCAGTGGTCAGGGACCCACTTGAGGAGGCAGTCTGCCCATTCTCAGATCTCCAGCTGCAGGCTGGGGGAACCACTGCTGTCTTCAAAGCTGTCAGACAGGGACATTTAAGTCTGCAGAGGTTACTGCTGTCTTTTTGTTTCTCTGTGCCCTGCCCCCAGAGGTGGAGCCTACAGAGGCAGGAAGGCCTCCTTGAGCTGTGGTGGGTTCCACCCAGTTTGAGATTCCCAGCTGCTTTGTTTACCTAAGCAAGCCTGGGCAATGGCAGGCGCCCCTCCCCCAGCCTCACTGCTGCCTTGCAGTTTGATCTCAGACTGCTGTGCTAGCAATCAGTGAGACTCAATGGGCATAGGACTGTCTGAGCCAGGTGCAGGATATAATCTCCTGGTGCGCCATTTTTTAAGCCCATTGGAAAAGTGCAGTATTAGGGTGGGAGTAACCCAATTTTCCAGGTGCTGTCTGTCACCCCTTTCTTTGACTAGGAAAGGGAACTCCCTGACCCCTTCCACTTCCTGAGTGAGGCAATGCCTCACCCTCCCTCAGGTCATGCACAGTGCACTGCACCCACTATCCTGCACCCACTGTCTGGCACTCCCTAGTGAGATGAACCTGGTACCTCAGATGGAAATGCAGAAATCACCCATCTTCTGCGTCGCTCACACTGGGAGCTGTAGACCAGAGCTGTTCCTATTTGGCCATCTTGGCTGCCAGACAAAGAATTTGCTTTTCTTACTGACTGGTGGTGATTTTGGCTCCTAATAATTTAAAGTTTGCCTAATCATTAGTTAGTAATATTAGGAAAAAGCACTCAAGTGTACACTGTTCATATAGTGATAAAATCTTTTAAAGTGACAGTGCCTTTATAGTACCACAAGTCATCTCCTAATTCATTTTTGGGAAATTTAACACATAATGAATTAGTCAAGTTTAGTTCAAACAAACAGTGGCAAATTAAAGTTTCATGATTTGTGTTTTTCACTGATTTTAGGCTAATGCAAATTATTTTTCACTTCTTAGTTACAATCCAGTGATTTGGCAGTAGGTAAACATAGATTAAGAAGTTTGATATTAAACTTTAATTATTTTAAAATTTTTCTCTTTTTACACTTGATTATTTAAAGATAGAGTTATTTCTAAAACATGTACTCTGACAGAAAAGACATCTGAGAAAGAAAACTAGCAAATTTATCTTCCACTTTTGCATGTGCAAAAATTGTCTCAACAACTAGTAGTGAAAAAGTGTTGTGATAGAAAGGACCTCTTTATATATTCAGGACTTACTTGTGCACAAAAGTATGAGAGAATGTGGATCAAACAAGACAAATTAGGGTAAAAAAACTTTAAAATTCATCACAAATAAGTTAAAGTAGAGTTTCAGTGAAATTTGTGAAAATTACAAAACTGCTTGTATTGAGGAAGAGCAACTACATAATAACTCTACAGGAAGAACAAACTTAAGTAAATACCCTCTAATTTGACAAATGATTCACCTGATTGTTAGGAAAGTGATGCATCTGGCATGTCTGTCTCTGTAGTAGTCCAGATATTTCCTGAACAAAAATAACCCAGTCTCAAAAATGCCTTTCTTTCTCATTCATACTCTGGGTCTCCAGAATATGCTTGCCAGTCACCTTCGGAGCTTTATTTAAATAGAAATAAAGTAGACTGTGAAAATGACAACAAACCAGATACTGAACATGTTTTTAACTCAGACAAGGAAAATTTTTATAATGATACTGAAAGTACAAAAGCAAGAAACCCAGAAGTAGTTATGGATGAAATAAAAGAAGTCAAATAGGTTGTGAGGCAAATGACAAAAAACCAAAACACCGCTAACTGGAAATTAAACATCGGACATATGCCTCAATTTAGTGATTCAAAAAGCCTTTTAGGTATGTGGCTTACCTGCTCCAAAGAAATGAAGCATGTGATTTAAAAAAAAAAAAAAAGATGATGGTGTTTCTGTTGTTACAAACACAACAGTACAAAACCAATACAGAATGTGTTCCAGAAGCCGTTATGTGACAACTGTAGTGCAAATAAATATGAAAGCATAAAACTTGAATTAGAAAATGTGCATTATTCTCCACCACATGGTGACAGAACATCAGCAGTATGTCTAGAAGTGGAATTAAGTGATATATGCAAAGATTTAAGAATGAGGTAAGCATATTACAAGTAAAGTAGAGTTCCTGGCTTTGGAGAAAGTTCAACTTCCAAAAGACTTAGAGGGTCACTTGCTGCTACTCTGGTTTTTCTCTTCACCAATTATTTGATCCATTTGAATTTTTTTACTTATGAAAATCTCTTGTGTAAAATGGGGTAATCTAAATACCTAATTGTATGTATAAATAGATTGTTTTTGCAATTAAAATAACTCAAGCTCAGGAAGACATTCTCTTAATCTTTGTTCCTTAATTAACCCAAGTCTCTCTGTCAGTTTTCTAAATAGCATAGGAACTGGGAAACTAATTTATCCATAGACCATGTGGTCTTCTGAACTAGAGTCAACATAAAGGAAATTGCTTAAAAAAAAAGTATGGAACAGGTACCTGTGTTTGTGCTCATAGAAACAGATGGGCAATTCCCACTTCTGTACATTTAGTATATGCTATAAATATTTTGGGGACATTTTGAAACAGTGTTATTTATTTTGTAGGTGAAAAACCAAATACATTCTAGGGATGACCTTGATGACATAATTCAGTCATCTCAAACAGTCTCAGAGGACGGTGACTCGCTTTGCTGTAATTGTAAGAATGTCATATTACTCATTGATCAACATGAAATGAAGTGTAAAGGTAGGACCAATGCATAAATATAAGGCTTTTTAAAAATCCTATAGCAATGTATGCACACATTGCTTAACACTGTACCATAGAGTACTGATATGTTACAAGAATGTTCATCTCAGAAATATGCCTTATGTTAAAATAGAATGAAAGCAACTGTATCTTGTACCTTCTCAGCCAAAGAGCTATGATCATTTCACTGTACTTTTCTCAGTGTGAATGATACACACAGTGTGTTTGTTTACTCTGCTTCTCTTCTATGCCATTACCCATTTACCCATGGTCATGTTACCATTTCCTCCCACCTGAAATACTGTGATAACCCTCTAACTGTCTTTCCTACTATTCCACCTTCCAAAACCATGGCCTGTTCTGCAATCATAATTATATAGTTGTAAAAAATCACACCTGATCATGTTACCTGCTTGCTGAAAACCCAGCTGCCATTTATTGCTATAAGATATGGATCTCAGTCCTCGAGCTTTATACTGCATCATTGCATACCCTTCTCTGTGTCACAGCCAGTGCCTTAGGTGTTTGCTCCTACAATCAGTAGCTTTAGTGTGGTAAAATTGATATGCGATACAGTGCACACATGTAAAAGGTACCATTTGATAAGTTTTAACAGATGTATACACATGTGAAACTATTACCATCATCGAGATAGTCAACATATATCCATCACCCACTAACGTCTCCTCATGGCCCTTCATATTCCTGTTTTTAAAAGCTGCTAAATGGTTTTCCAAAATATTTGTACTATTTTCTATTCTCATCAGCAGTAAATGACCATTCCAGTTGCTATGTTGTCACACTACTGCTGTATTTATTTTTTTAAATTTTAGTTATTCTGATGGGTGTATTATGTATATTCTTATGGGTTTAATGTACATGATCCTAATGACTAAAATGTTGAGCATCTTTCCATGTGTTTATTTGCCATCTGTACATCTTCTTTGTTGAACTGTCTTTTCACATCTTTTGCATATAAAAAAGTAGGTTGATGTTTTCTTACGTGTTGAATTTTAATAATTCTGTATGTATTTGGATACTATTACTTTTAGCTACTTTTTTACAAGGGTATTTTTGCCAGTTTTTGGGTTGACTTTTCACTTGCTTTGTAGTATCTTTTGAAGAGCAGAAGATTTTAATTGTAATGAAATCCAATTTAATTGTTGAATTACAGATTTTGCATTTTGTGTCATATGTAAAAATGTTTGCCTAGCACAAGGTCACAAAGATTTTTCCTGTGTTTGTTCTAGAAATTTTATAGATTTGGATCTTCCATTTAAATCTGTGCTCCATTTTGAGTTTCCTTTTGTCTATGGAGTGAGGTGAGGTATGGATTCAAGTTCACTTTATGGATATGGACAGCCAGTTGTTCCAACACCGCATGTTGAAAAGGCTATCCTTTCTCCACTGCATTGCCATCCTGCCTTTGTCAGTCATAAGCTGGTTGCTTATGTGTTATCTATTTCTGGACTGTCTGTTGAATTTTATTAATTTGCAGGTGCTCCCCAAATTGTGGGAAACCCAGTGTTTGAGTCAAAAGCAATTTAATACTTCAGTAAACCCACTGTAAAGTCAGTAAGTCAAACCACCTTAAGTTGGGGATTGTCTGAATTTGACTTTCTTTATACAGGTTGAGCATTGCTGATTTAAATATCCCAAATCTGAAATGCTCTAAAACCCCAGACTTTTTGATTGCCAACATAGACAGCACAGTGGAAAAATTCTACATCCGACCTCATGTATACAAACATTGTTTCATGCCCCAAATTATTAAAAGTATTATTTAAAATTACCTTCAGTCTTTGTGTACAAGGTAAATATGAAAAACAAATGTATTTTGTGTTTAGACTTGGGTCCTATCCCCAAGATATTTCATCATGTATATGCAAATATTCCAAAATCCAAAATCTGAAAAACTTCTAGTCTGAAGCATTTTGAATAAGGGATATTCAGCCTGTACCTGTGGCACACTGTTTTTGTTACTATTGATTTATAGTAATTCTTGAAATGAATCCTCCAATTTTGTTCTTTGTTCTGTTTTGACTATGCTAGATCCTTTGCATTTTCACATGAACTTTAGAATCAGCTTATCAATAAAATAAAGACTGCTCGCTTGTTGGAAATTAAGTTGGGATTGGGTCATATTTATAGATTAATTTGGGGAGAATTGACATCTTAACAATAGCGAATCTACTCCTCAATAAAGTGTATGTCTGCTTTTATAGAGGTAATATTTAATTTTCTCAGTAGTATTTTGTAGTTTTTAGTTTATAGGTCTTTTCATATTTTATCAGATTTATCTGTATTTCATTTTTGATGAAGTTGTAAATGATAGTTTAATTAGTGTAGATGTATTTGACTTTCTTTATACAGGTTGAGCATTGCTAATCCAAATATACACTTTTATAAAACTATAGAAAATGATAGTTTTAAAATTTTCATTTGATTGTTTATCGCTAGCATATAGAAATACAGTTAATTTTTCTGTATTGAATTTGTATCCTTCATTCTTGTTAAACTCACTTATTAGTTCTGGCACATTGTTGGTAGATTTGATCAGATTTTCTTCATAGACCAAAGGTTGTTAAACCTTTCTTTCTCAAACTACCCTCTTACTAAGGATAGTGAATATTTTAGGCTTGTGGCAAAAGGGTCTCTTTTGCAGCTGATAAACTCTGCCATTTTAGTATGAGAGCAGCCATAGATCATCCATAAATTAATGAACACAGCTGTGTTCCAATAAAAGCTTATCGGACAAGAAGCTGGCCCACAGGTTGGGGTTTACCCATACCTATTTTATGGTCATGGTTGTGTATAAAGACAATTTTATTTCTTTTTTTTAAACTTGGATGCCTCTTATTTCTTTTTCTTGCCTGACTGCATTAACTAGAATCTTCAGAACAATGCTACAAACAAGTAGTGAAAGCAGACATTCCCATGTTCTTCCTCATCTTATGGGAAATGCATTCAGTTTTTCACTATGATGCACGTTAGCTGTAGGTTCATCATAGACGTTGTTTATCATGCTGAAGAACTTCCCTTGGATTCTTATGTTACTGAGAGTGTTTCTTCTTTGAGACATCAGGAGTAAATTTTATCAGATGCCTGTGTCTGTTGGGATGATCCTATGGGTCTTCTCTTTCAGTTTGTTTTGTGGTAAATAATGATGATGTTTCAATGTTAAGCCAACCTTCCATTTCTGGAATAAACCCCATTTGTTTATGATGTATTACCTTTTCATTATACTGTCGGATACAGTTTACTAAAGTCTCATTTAGAATTTATTATAAAGACTTTTATTTTTTAGACCAGTTTTATGTTCCTGTCAAAATTGAGAGGGGGGTTCAGATATTTTTTTGTATACCCCCAATCCAATACATGTTTAGCCTCCTTCATTACCAGTATCCTTCACCATAGTGGTAGTTGCTATGATAGATGAGCCTAAATTGACACATCACAATCACCCCAAGCCCATAATTTGCATTGGGGTTCACTCTTGGTACTTTACATGTATGGATTTGGACAAATGTACAATGATGTGTATCCATGTTACATAAATTATTTTGACTTCCCTAAAAATCCTCTGTGCTCTGCCTATGTATCTTTTCCTGCTGTCTCTTACCCTTAGGCACCCTTTTACTTTATCCATAGTTTTGCCTCTTCCTGATCATATAGTTGGAACCATACAGTAAGTAGCCTTTTCAGATGAGCTTATGTCACTTGGTAATATGCATTTAAGGTTCCTTCACATATTTTCATGAATTGATTGCTCATTTCTTTATGTGTAGAGTGATATTCCACTGTATGGCTGTGTAACCACAGTTTATTCACTCCACTATGGGAGGATGTCTTCGTTGCATCACAAATTGGTTGAATTTTTACATTCGTGCTCATGAGGGAATTTTCTTGTTGGTAATATTTTCTGGTTTTGGTTCAGGGTAAAGCTAACATTACAGACTGAGTTGAGATATACTCCTTCTTTCTGTTTCTTTTGGGAGAGTTTATGTATAATTGTATTAATTTCTTCCGGAAATGTTTTGTAGAATCACCAGCATAGCCAGCTGGGTCTGGAGTTTTCTTTTAGGAAGGTTTTTAACTATAACTTAACTTTCTTCTATAGATATAGGGCAATTCACGTTATCTATTGCTTCTTGATTGAGATTTGCTAATTTTCATTTTTAAAGGAATTTGTTAATTTTATCTAAGTTGTCCTGTTTACTTACATAGAAATTATAATATCTTGTTATATTTTTAGTATCTGTAGAATCTATAATTATGTCACATTGTTTATTTCTGAAATTAGTAATTTGTATTGTTTCTTTTATTCTGAGCAGCCTGGCTAAATGGAGCTTTATCACATTTATTGATCTCCTCAAGGTGTTTTGTGTTGTTGATTTTTTTCTATTGTTTCTTCTGGAACCAACAGTATAACAAAATACCATAGACTGGTTCAAACAACAGAAGTTGATTTCTCGCAGTTGTGGGTTCAGCAAAGTCCAAGATCCAGATGCTGTCATGTTTGGTGTATGGTTAGGGAACACGTCCTAGTTCATGAATGCTTTTTCTCTGTGCCCTCACTTGGCAGAAGGGGTGAAGGAGATCTGGGGTCTGTTGTATAGAGCACTAAGCACTAATCCCATTCATTAGGGCTTCGCTCTCATGACCAACTACCTGTAAAAATCCCCCCTCCTAATACCGTCACATCTGTGATTGGCTTTCAGCATATAAATTTTGGGGAAGACAAACATTCAGACCACAGCAGATGTTTATTATTTCCTTTCCTCTGCTTGCTTTGGGTTTATGTCACTCTTCTTTTATCTAGTTGCTTAAGGTAGAAGTCAAAGTCATTGATTTAAGACTCTTCTAATGTAGACATTCAGCAGTGCTAAAAATTTGTATTCAAGTACAGCTGTAGCTGCATTCCACAAATTCTGGTTGATGAATTTTTATTCAGTTCAGAATATTTTCTATTTTCTATTTCTATTTTCATTACCTGTTTGACCCAGGGTTATTTAGATGTGTGTTACTTAGTTTCCAAATATTTGTGTATTTCCCAGAGTTATTTTTGTTATCGGTCTTTAATCTGATTGATTTGTGGTCAGGGCACATACTTTGTATGAGTTAAATCCTTCTGACTCAATCCTTTAATTGAGAGTTGTTGTATGGCCTAAAATATGGTCTATTTTGGTAAGTGTTCCGTGGGTACTTGGAAAGCATAGTGTTGTTCAAGTCTATTCTCGCTGATTTTCTGCCTTCTTGTTCTATCACTTATTGAGTAAAGGGTATTGAAACCTCAGATTACCTAGAAATTGTCTGTCACTTTTTGTAGTTCTATCCACTTTGGTCTCATATATTGTGAGGCTGGTTTGTTATTAGGGGCATAAAGACTGAGGATTGTTATGTTTTGTTGATTAACTGAACCTTTTACTATTGTGACATGACCTTTGTTATTTATTGCTGGAATGTTTTTTTTTTTTTGCTATGAAATCTACTTTGGTATTAATACAGCCACACCTGCTCAGCTGCCTTTGCCAACTGTTAGCATGTATCTTTTTCCATCCTTACAACCAATTTGTGTCTTTACATTTAAAGTGCATTTCTTATAGGCAGCCTGTAGTTGGGTCTTGCTTTCTTGCTGAGCCTGACAGTCTGTATTATAGTTGAGGTTCTTAGACAAGTGTCATTTGTAATGTGATTACTGATATAGTTATGTTTGTCTGGTAGCTGTGTGATTGCTATTAGTCCCAACTGTTCTCTGTTCCCCTTCTTTTCCTGCTTTCCTTTAGATTAGTCAACTGTTTTTTATGATTCAATTTTATATATATTTTTGGGTTTATTAGCGATAACTGTTTTGCTATCTTAGTGTTTAGGATTTTTAGTATATAATTTTAACTTATCACAGTTCACCTTCAGTAATATTATACATCCTAGATGGTATAAAAAATGACAATGATACATTTTCATTTTTTTCTGTCCCAGACACTTCCTTCCTGAATCTGTGGGATTATGGTTTGTGTTAAGGTTAGAATATTTTTGGTCATTTTTTCTTTAATTTTTTTTCTGTCTCTTCTTTTTTATTTGAGGAGTTATCTATTAGCTGCTTGAAAGTTTCTTGCAGTTTATCGTGTCAAATTTAGGAATTTTTCCTTTGTTATCTCTAATTTGTGTTTATTTCCATCCACTATAGTTTTTACTTATGACAATGTAATTTGTGTCTCTACAAGTATGGTTTGTGTTTTTTTAAAAAAAAACCTTCCCTGCCTCCACTTATTATCTTGAGTTTTATTTGGAGTACAGAGATTTACTTATAATCTTTCCATTCTTGCTTTTAGATTTGGGGTAATTCCTCACTCCTGAGGCAAGACCTTTCGGAGTATTCATTGTCCTGTGAAGTATGCGGTATTTTGGCCTGGCTCATGGGAATGGACCCTCTTCCAGTCATTGTGTGAACCCCAGACATCGTTTCTGCTAATGTTCTTTAACTGTTGTTTTTTTTTATTTTATTTTTCATTGTTCTTAGGAAGTTTCCTAGTACACAAGCACTTTTCATTACTCCACTAAATACCCAAGAGGGAATCTCTGCACATCTCCAGGATTTGTTTCCTGTACTGCTTTTTTCTCTCCAGTTTTCTGTCCTGTGATCTCTATCTGCTTTGGTTTTACTGGCCTCTCAGCGTCATCACCCCAGCTCTATGTCAGATTTTCTCCCTTTGTGATGGCCTCGAACCTCCGTCAAAACTCTGTCAAAAGAGCTGGGATATTTGTAAGGCCTGCTGTATTTGTTTTCTGTCTTTCAGTGATCACCTACCATCTTCATTGCCTGAAGTCCACTGTGTTGAAAATCAGTTTAATGTATTGTGTCTGTTTTGTTTTTTATTCATTCAGATAAGATGAAAAATCAGTATCTGTTACTCCATCAGAGCTAGTAACAGATTGCAGCAGAGCTTCAGCACAGCACATGCTGCAAACTAGCCAGAGTGCTTTGCTTTCTTCTTTGCTTAACTGCTTCTTTCTCATCCTTCATTTCTCAGTGTAGCATCTCTTCCTCAGGGAAATCTTCCCTGGGTGAAGTATAGATCAAATTATCTTATGCAATCACATAACTATGTTTTTTTTTTTTTTTTTTTTTTACAGGACCTATCTGAGTTTATAACTGTCACCTTTTTATCTTGGTTCTTCACTATACTTTAAGCTAAAACAATAGCAGAGGTGTTGTCTTATCTGCAGACCTTACTATAATATCTTCCACCTTGTAGGCACTCAATATGTACATACTTGTTCAACGTATGAATGAATACATGTTAAAAATGCACAGTCCTTTATATCCAAAAATCTACTCATGTATTTTATCTCTAGTTTGTTTTTTCCTGGTTACAGATTGTGTTCACCTATTGAAAATTAAAAATACATTTTGTTTATGGAAAAGATTAATAAAACTTAAAGATAACCACTGTGAGCAACTTAGAGTAAAAATTCGAAAACTGAAAAATAAGGCTAGTGTACTACAAAAGAGAATATCTGAAAAAGAAGAAATAAAATCGCAGTTAAAGCATGAAATACTTGAATTGGAAAAAGAACTCTGTAGTTTGAGGTATGACCTAGTTTTAAATAAATGTTTGAACTGTTTGTTTTATATTAAAGACGTATAAGGAGAAGTTTTGTAATTGCGAACTTTCCTTCTAGGATTTAACAGGGAAGAAAGCTTCTTAATCTTATGGAGTGTGAAATTATTGGATATAATATCACAAGTTCTTAATTGTGAATACTTCTCTAATAATTAAATGCATATTCTTTTAAATCATAGTTTTAATGGCTGTATAGAATTTTACCTTTTGGAAATCTCATTATTTAATTGATGAATTGAATTTCAGGTTTTAAAAAGTTTTTGTAATAATGCTACAAGGAACATCTTTTATATACACATAGTTTTCTACATTTCTAATTATTTACATTGGATAAATTCTTCTGGTTAAAGTATAGAAACTTTTTTAGATCTGTTTTAGATCTGTGATCAATATTTCTAAATTGTTCTTAAGGATGTTCATATTAATTTATAATTCAACCAACAGAGTATAAAACAGATATTTTTCTTTACCCAGAATAATTATTTTAAAAATTATCAGCCGGGTGCAGTGGCTCATGCCTGTAATCCCAGCACTTTGGTAGGCCGAGGTGGGCAGATCACGAGGTCAGGAGTTCGAGACCAGTCTGCCCAACACAGTGAAATGCTATCTCTACTAAAAATACAAAAAATTAGCCAGGTATGGTGGTTGTACCTGTAATCCCAGCTACGCAGGAGGCTGAGGCAGGAGAATCACATGAAACTGGGAGGCAGAGGTTGCAGTGAGCAGAGATTGCACCAGTGCACTCCAGCCCAGTGATAGTAGGAGACTCCCTCTCAAAAAAAAAAAAAAAAAAATGTATCCAGTTTTATTCTTAATATGCAGGGAATAAAAAGTAAAATGTAAAGTGATTACTGATTAGCTTATTCAACATCTCTCTGCTATGTAGATAAAATTAATTCAGTTTTATGCTGAAGACATGTATTATTCTTTATTGTTTAATTAAATATTAGATCTTGTGTTGTTCCAAAACAGATTTTACAATTGGTTATAAAGTACATACTAATCAGCAGGATAGACTGAAAGTGTTACCCAAAAAACAATCTTAAAAAGTGTAGGGTAACATATTACATTCTTAACCTAGTCTTGGATTACAGTAATCTGCTGATATATGTTTCATAAAGACATCGAAAATGCTATCTTGCAATGTAAATTATGTTTAGGGATACTTGCAATGAATGTTTCATGAAGATGAAAATGTATTTCTAGTGAATGTACCAACTTGTTTATAAAAAGTAACTTTATGTTAATTAACTCTAAATGATTCATCCTAATTGAGGAGTAATTACTGTGAAGAAAAGATAATTTTTATCTTGTAACTTTACTGAATAATTTTCAACGTCCTTTTTCATAATATTTGCTAGAGTTACTAGTAATAGAAACTTATGCAGGATGTTCTTTTATCAATACATTTCAACTTATACATGCCCTTTGGATGAGATTGAGGTGAGAAATTAAAAACATGAGAACTAGAAAGAAAAATAGTATTTAAGAACATAGAAACTTTATTAGGATAATAAACCAACATATGAATGTTTTATTTTCTAATATCAACAAAGAGAGTCAAACTCTGTAAGATATTTGAAGACATTTATTCTGAGCCAAATATGAGTGACCGTGGCCCCCGACACAGCCCTCAGGAGGTCCTGAGAACATGTGCCCGAAGTGGTCGGGGTGCAGCTTGGTTTTATACATTTTAGAGAAGCATGAGACAGCAATCAAATACATGTAAGAAATACATTGATTTGGTTCAGAAAGGCAGGCCAACTCAAAGCTGGGGCTTCCAGGCTGTAGGTAAATTTAAACATTTTCTGGTTGACAATTGCTTGAGTTTATTTGAAGACCTGGGATTAATGGAAAGAAATGTTCAGGTTAAGATAAATGATTGTGGGGACCAAGTTTTACTGTGCAGAGGAATCTCTCAGCAGACTTCAGAGAGAGCAGATTGTAAAATGTTTCTTATCGGACCCAAAAGGGTGCCTGGCTCTCAGCTGAATATCCCCTGGATCTGCATAGAAAGGAAGGAAAACAAAGGGGAAAGGGGGTTCTCTATAGAATGTGGATTTTTCCCACAAGAGACTTTGCAGGGCAATTTCAAGGCATGGCAAGGAAATATATTTTGGATTAAATATTTTCTTCCTTGTCTCGTAAGGTTATGCCAGAGTCAGATTGAAAAGCAAGTCACAATATACAGGGTCAAATAAAACCCATCTGATGAGAATCCATGGTTTGTAGGGCACGACTCCCTGGACCCCTTAGGTAGGAATTTGGGCAAGATAAAAAATTAGAGCTTAGTCCTCACTGATAAGATAAATTCTAAGATAAGTATATTTACAGATTTGCCATACAGCAAGAAAAAAAGAAAAGAAGAAATGTTGAAGAGTTGCACCAAAAAGTTAGGGAAAAGTTAAGAATAACAGAAGAGCAATATAGGATAGAAGCTGATGTGACAAAACCAATTAAACCGGCTCTCAAATCAGCAGAGGTGGAATTGAAGACAGGAGGAAATAATTCAAATCAGGTAAATTAATGTTTGGTAAAACTTCATATTTCTACTCTTATTAATATTACTTATACCATCTCTTTCATTTAACATATATTATTTAGGCCTGAACAATCCCCAAATTTTATTTCATCTTAAAAATGAATCATGGCATTTATAGCTATAATTATTTATAATAAATCTTGAAATATTTTATTTTAGTTCAAAGGCCTTTTGAAAACAATGCTATTCTACAATATATACTTAATGATATTGTAAGTATTTTGTTCCTAGTGACATAGTTCAGCATATTTCCCCTATTTCATGTTAATTACATTTCAAATGTTATGGAAAAGGAATAAAAGTTATCACAATAGCAAATAATGTCATGATTTTCTAAGAAGAGTTTTATAGATCTAATTTTCTTGACTTTTGGTGTCTTGAAATAAAAGATTATTTTTGTATGTATATATCTACCTCACAGAAGTTACTGATTTGGTGGAAGAGCACTAGGAATAGAGTCAGAAAAGCTGGGAAAAATCCTGCAGCTTGCTTATATTTTTAACCTTTTGCTATAGAATTATAACTAAATGAGTTCATTGATTTGTGCACGTAAAAGTGCTTAGTATAATGCCTAGCTTTATCATTTATCAATAAATGTCATTCTTAAAACTGACCATAACAATATTAGAAAAGTAGAATATCTATACAATATTTTAGAAAAAGGGAACTTAAAGAATTTGGAAAATGTCATTCATCTGTCCAAATATCTGCCAAGCTAAGGCTCTCACTATAGGGAGAGGTATAGTTTAGATGTTAGAGTGTAAACCCAATTTTTTAATGTGGTCATAGTTATTAATTCTTTATGCCTTGCAATTTGTTGTAATTCAGTAAAAGCCTTTTTTTATCCTGAAATTTAAAAAAATTATCTAGTGGCTTCTTTTTTGCTTTCATGGATTCACTGTCTTCAAATAAACTTTTGAACTTTGGGGAATTTATGCTGTATGAGGTTTGAGGTTTTGACTTAACTTCTTTTTTCCCAGTTAGATATCCAGTTATGGCAACCTCTCATTGTATAAATGTACGGGTTATTATTTAATTTCAGAAGCAATCACAATATGTTATCCTATTGGATACTAGTTACAAGTTTGCTTTGTTTTACTTAGGTTTCTGAAACTGATGAAAAAGAAGACCTGCTGCATGAAAACCGCTTGATGCAAGATGAAATTGCCAGGCTCAGGCTGGAAAAAGACACAATAAAAAACCAAAACCTGGAAAAGAAATACTTAAAAGACTTTGAAATTGTGAAAAGAAAGCATGAAGACCTTCAAAAGGCTCTAAAACGGAATGGGGAAACATTAGCAAAAACGATAGCCTGTTATAGTGGACAGCTTGCTGCTCTGACAGATGAAAACACAACGCTCCGTTCCAAACTGGAGAAGCAAAGAGAGAGCAGGCAAAGACTGGAAACAGAAATGCAATCATACCGTTGTAGACTGAATGCTGCTCGATGTGATCATGATCAAAGTCACTCATCAAAAAGAGACCAAGAGCTTGCTTTCCAGGGCACAGTAGATAAATGTCGTCACTTACAGGAAAATTTGAATTCTCATGTTCTGATTCTTTCTCTGCAACTTTCTAAAGCTGAGAGTAAGTCCAGAGTCCTCAAAACTGAGCTCCATTACACAGGAGAGGCTCTGAAAGAAAAGGCTTTGGTTTTTGAACACGTGCAAAGTGAGCTAAAGCAAAAACAGAGTCAAATGAAGGACATTGAAAAAATGTACAAAAGTGGATACAATACAATGGAAAAATGCATAGAAAAACAGGAAAGATTTTGTCAACTAAAAAAACAAAATATGTTGCTTCAACAGCAACTGGATGATGCTCGCAACAAAGCTGACAATCAAGAAAAAGCAATACTTAATATTCAAGCCAGATGTGATGCTAGAGTACAAAACCTTCAAGCTGAGTGCAGAAAGCACCGTCTTTTACTAGAAGAAGACAATAAAATGTTGGTCAATGAACTGAATCATTCGAAAGAAAAAGAATGCCAATATGAAAAAGAGAAAGCAGAAAGAGAAGTAAGTATCAAGAAAAATAAGTATTTTTCAAACTTCCTGAAGTAAAATTTAAAGTAATATTTGGTTACAGCTGAATGTTGGATCTAGTTGAATATAAAAAAGGATACATATGATAAATATATCTGCTTAGAAACATTCCTTGTCTCCAGCAAGTCAAAGTTAGAACTGAGAGATGCTTTCCTCTGATTAAAGTCAATGTGTCGCTTATAAAATTTTAAGTTATAAAATGTTAACATAGACTAACATTAATAATGTAGTCTTATACTGCTGAAGTAATAATTTTAATGTATTTATGTTGCAACATTTTAAGACCATGATAAATCAGGTATATGGAAATGCTCATACCTAAAATGGTATTTTGAAATTGATTCAATTAAGTGGGGTACTTTGACAGTGAATTTCAGATTTCCTAGATGAACTGAAGTGTATTCCCTATTTCATAATTACTTTTCTTCAGTAGCTTTAAATATGTCTTAGTTGGTAAAATTTTGTTTTTCTTCATGTCAATTTGACTTAAATCTGAAACTATTTCAATCTCAAATTATGTATAGATATGACCATTCTATTCTTTCAAGGCATCTAATTTTACTTCTATTATAATATGGGGCAAATGCAGTAAATTTTAGCCAAATCATGTTTGATTTAATCTTCCCACTGGCATTTATAATTTACTTTCAGTTTTTAAATAAAAAATTTGTTCATAATTTTTATTTCAAGGCTCAATTACTATCATTTGGATATAACTTTGTCCAGGACAAAGAGAGGCATAGCTATCTGTGATTTATTAGTTTGACACTGGATCCCCATTTTCAGACTAAGGAGGATTTCAGACTAACGAGGAGTGGCAGGATTCACGTAGAGTAGGAATGGAGTGAGTACGGAGGAGAGATATAGCAGCTGAGTCAGGGCGGGAGGTGGAGGGCGGGTTACTTAGAGCATCTAAGGCCACTGGAATTTTACTTTTCTTCTGAGATAGACATCTATTGGAAGGATTTAAGCAGATGATTTAATGTGAGGAACTCTGAGGTTGATTTGAGTTTCTAATTTAAAAAAAGAGGGAAATCATTCCACAATGTATAATTTACTACCATCAGTCTCACCCACATACTCATTTCTTTTTGAGACTTCAGAAGGTTTTTAAGCATTGCAGATTCATCAAGGGAGGAATGACTAGTGGGCTGAATATGTTGTGTGAATAACAATACCAGTTTGGCAGGAAGATAACACCTTCTGTATCCTTAACTGGATTCAGTAATACACAGGAATGTGTACACATGAGGAAAAGAAGGTGAATCGGTCTGTGTGGTGATATTTTTCAAAGAGTATGCTTTAGAGTTAAATATTATTAATGGTTTAATAATAAGGTGATTTGTAAAATCAGTAACAAAAATAACATCTTATCAGGTAGCTGTGAGACAGCTTCAACAAAAACGAGATGATGTCTTAAACAAAGGATCAGCAACAAAAGCTCTGCTGGATGCTTCATCGCGTCACTGCACCTATTTAGAAAATGGGATGCAGGATTCAAGGAAGAAATTAGACCAGATGAGAAGTCAAGTATGTATGCAACTTTGCACACCAACAACTGTTAATCTGTAGCTAGTTAACTAATATAAAGTGTTTTGGGGTACTAATTTTAGTGGATGGCTTTCTTTTGTATTTTTATGATAATTAATGTTATTAAAATTTTATAGTGGATGGCTTTCTTCTGTATTTTCCTTATTATTAATTTTATTAAGATTTTATTATAATGCACCTATATCTTAATCTCTGGCTTTCATTCTGCCATTTTTTATACATATATTTTTTTCTTAAATATTTAACCTTAGGAAAGTTGAGAATTATGCATCATTTCTCACAGAAGTTGAGAGAGTTTTTTTTTCCTGTTAAACAGTCTATTTTTAATGATTTCTCTATTGGCATGGTGAGGCAAGCCAGGTTAATTCAGAGGATAATGTCTAATGGAATGTTTCAGAAAATTATCTTCTTTTTAGTCTCTACTTTTCTGAATGTATAAAGAACCTGTGTATACGTATTTCTTAGATTTCAGGTTAACTTGTTCAGAAAGGCCATTTTACTGAATAAATTTTTATTTCGATGAAAATCCTTACTTCCTTTGTATTGGGCTCAGAGAGCACACTCTGTCTCTATATGAATATGGACAGTTAGCATTTGCCAACATGTATCTATTTTCTCTTATTTGTAGAAAAAGCTAAACTAAAAAGGGGGTTATAGAAGGTCAGCAAAGGATGGGTTTGAGATGTTTGGGTTGGTTAAGTGGGCATTTAGACAACAGGGCTTCTCCTTTGGCATGTTTAATGGACATCTTTGCAGTTTAAGATGACGCTTTTAAATTACTTCTCTCCTAATGATGACCTGAGTCCTGCTATTCAATGGGAGAGTCAATAAGATCCTGTAGGATCTTATTTGGAACTGACTTTGTCGATTTTAATTTTGTTCCTGCTTGTTTTTAAATTTTCTTGTTGTTTCCCTAGAAAGGAAAGATGATGCTTAGTTTTAAATATTTAAAAATGTGCAAGTTGCTTTGCTATAATAAAACTAAATGCATACATACAAAAAATAAAATTATAGTTGATGTGGTAGTGTTTGGAATTCAAAATATAAATGCTTAGCGTGAGGTAATCCTTTATCTTTCCACATTTTACCAGTTTGTAAGTTTGAGTATTTAATTGATAAAATGTAATTCAAAAGCAAGAAGAATGTTGTGTTTTAGTCCTAGAGCAGGGGTCTGTGAACTTTTCTGTAAAGGGCCAGATAGTATTATGTAAGGCTTTGTGAGCCATAAGATCCTTGTTGCAATAACTCGGCCCTGCAATTACAGCACAAAAGTAGCCATGAACAATATGCAGACTGAAGGGGTGTAGCAGTGTCCCACTAAAATTACTTACAAAAAACAGGTAATGGGATGATTTCTCCTAGATTATGACCTTTTATAAATAAAAAAGATTGTGATAGTCTAAAATATTTCATATATATTTTGTTGATTCATTCATCTACTGATGGACATTTAGGTCATTTCCAAATGTAATTTTTTAAAATTCTTTGTTTCAGTTTCAAGAAATACAGGATCAACTTACAGCTACTATAAGATGTACTAAGGAGATGGAAGGCGACACACAAAAGTAAAATTTGAAGCAGCACACAAAATAACTTGAGTATTTATAAAGCAAAAGAGCACTGTAGTATGAAAATTGTATCAGTTATGATAATTAGTATGTCTTTGTGAAGCCAAAAAAGTTTCATTTGTAAGCTATATCGAAATACATCATTTTTCTACATTATTCCTAAATTTTGCATATTATCACCAAAACACAGGTAGAAAATGACACAGTAGCCCAATCGTCTACTTTTGTGATTGCTAAGAATTTGTGTAATTATACCTTCAGAAGTTTGTTTAGAATTTACATGATTTAAAAAAAATTACGTGTGAGAGTAATTATTTTAAAATGCACATTTTAGGCTTGAAGTAGAACATGTGATGATGAGAAAAATTATTAAAAAACAGGATGACCAAATTGAGCGGCTTGAGAAAATCCTGCAGCATTCAAGTTTGGTAAGCTGATCTCTTAATTTCTGTCATACTGAAAAGGAATTTTATTTTTCCAGTAGGATGGGTTAAATATCCCTTGTCCAAAATGCTTGGGACCAAAAGTAGATTTTTTTCAGATTTTGGAATATTTGTATATACCTAATGAAATATCTTGCGGATGGTACCTGAGTCTAAACATGAAATTCATTTGTGTTTCATATATACCTTATGCACATAGCCTGAAGGTAATTCTCTACAATGTTTTACAGTAATTTTTTGCAGGTAAGAAAGTTTTTACTGTTTTCCCCAGAGCCTGTCACATGAGGTCAGGTGTGGAACGTTGCAGTTGTGGTGTCATGTCCGTGCTCAAAAAGTTTCAGATTGTAGAGCATTTTGGATTTCAGATTTTTAGATTAGGGATGATCAATCTACAGTACAGATGCTCCTTGACTTACAGTGGGTTTACATGATAATGTCTCTTGTTTGACTGAAACATTATAAGTAATATTTGATTTATTTCAGATGCTGCAGGTGTTTGAGAGCTAGATGAAGGTATGTTGCCAAAATTTATGAATTAAATTCAAATCATTGATTTCTGAAATAAACTCTAAGTAGTGAACGGTATTCCCTCTCAATTGCTTGGTTAATAAATGCTACATTAAATATTTTTTCTTACACACATCTAGTGAAAGATGTGAAAACATAAACATTCATAGTGAAGGGTGTACTTATGCTTTGTTAATTCATCATGTTTCATAGCTTTAAAAAAATCGCAAGAAATCTGTGTATCCCTTTTTTTCTGGCCCTACACTTTTCTTCTGCCACCCCTATAGACTATCAGCCTGCACACTGAAACTGTTCTCACAAAACAAAGGCATTATCAACTTCTCAAGGTTAAGGTAGTGATTTAAGGCTAAGAGACCCCACACTCGTGTGATAATAATTAGTTAAGCAATTACAGGTCACAAGCAGTCACTTGACCAGTGACATTTTAAATCTCTAGTCATTGACTTTGTCATTGGTTTACTTTTGCCCCTGGGAAAAGTTGAAAATTCCTTAGCATGGAATCAAAACTCTCACATCAGTGTGGTTCTTGTCAAGTTATTCAGCCTTATCTTTCGCCACTTACCATACTCTACACCTTTGTTCTAGCATCCAGCCAAACTAGACTACATGGAGCTCCACAGTGATCGTCTTCACCTCCAGCTGTTTGCATTTACTTCTTCCCTCTATCCTACATGTGTTTTCCTTCCCCTTCAGATATCAACCTATGAATTGCCTCTACCAAAAAGCCTACAATATTGACACAAACCTGGGCTAGTATCCCTTCTATGTCTTCCAATAAGTGCTGTCTTATGCTTGTCATTGTATGTATGACTCTGTATGGGAATTGCCTGTTTGTTTTTTCAGATTATAGCATACAGTTGTTGAGGGGCGGACCGTATCATCTTTATCTTGTAATTCCAGTGCTTGTCCTAGTACCTTAGCACATGGTTGCTGAATACATGAACGAAGAGTGAGAAACCAGAAGCTCTGATACTTAACTGCCATGATAATGAATTCGGTGTGCAACTATGGGCAAATTATATTTAATAGTAATTGCATATTGTACATATTTTTCATTCTTATTAACACTGATAAGCTTTTCAGCATATACTGACTTTCTCTTAGTTAACTGTGAAATCATTTAGATAAAGAATATAATTCTTTTTCATTCTAACTTCTGAATTTAAATCTGAATCCTCTATAGCAGGGGTCCCCAACTCCCAGGCCACACACAGTTCCATGACCTGTTAGGAAGCAGGCTGCACAGCAGGAGGTGAGTGGCAGGCAAGCGAGTGAAGCTTCATCTGTATTTCCAGCCACTCCCTGTTGCTCACATTATCACCTGAGCTCTGCCTCCTGTCAGATCAGCAAAGCCATTAGATTCTCACAGGAGTGAAAATCCTACTGTGAACTGCTCGTTCAAGGGATCTAGGTCACATGCTCCTTATGAGACTCTAATGCCTGATGATATGTCATTGTCTCCTATCTCTTCACGATGGGACCATCTAGTTACAGAAAAACAAGCTCAGGACTCCCATTGATTCTCCATTATGATGAGTTGTGTAATTATTTCATTATGTATTACAATGTAGTCATAATAGGAATAAAGTGCACAATAGATGTAATACGCTTGAATCACCATCCTGAAACCATCCCCCAAACCCCCATCTGTGGAAAAATTATCTTTCACAAAACTGCTGCCTGGTGCCAAAAAGGCTGGGGACTGCTGCTCTATAGCTTCTGCACTAGAATCTACTAATGAGTAAAATTTAAATCAATAACTAGTTTTAAAAGCATAACAAGAATATGTGCTGTCTGGCTGCAGTGGCTCATGCCTGTATTCTCAGCACTTTGGGAGGCCAGTGCAGGTGGATCACTTGAGGTCAGGAGTTCAAGACCAGCCTGGCCAATATGGTGAAATCCTGTCTCTACTAAAAATACAAAAATTAGCTGGGTGTGGTGGTGCATGCCTGTAGTCTCAGCTACTCGGGAGGCTGAGGTGGGAGAATCACTTGAACCCGGGAGGCAGAGGTTTCAGTGAGCCAAGATCGTGCCACTGCACTCCAGCCTGAGCAACAGAGTGACTCCATCTCAAATGCAAAACAAAACAGAAAGAATACATGCTGACGAAAAAAATCTAAGACAATAAAATTGTATTACTAGGCTGTTAACATGATATTTTGTTTCCCGTTAAATGTGTGACATGCAAAAGTATTTATTAAATGAAAATATTTTTTATCTTTTATGTCTGATGAAAATTTATATCGTGTTTTAAATGATGTTTCTTGGCCTCTTTAACTTTTTATTTTTTTATTATTTTTTTTTTGAGACGGAGTCTGGCTCTGTCACCCAGGCTGCAGTGCAGTGGCGAGATCTTGGCTCACTGCAAGCTCCGCCTTCTGGGTTCACGCGGTTCTCCTGCCTCAACCTCCCGAGTAGCTGCGACTACAGGTGCCCAGCTAGTTTTTTTTTGTATTTTTAGTAGAGATGGAGTTTCTCCCTGTTAGCCAGGATGGTCTCCATCTCCTGACCTTGTGATCTGCCCGCCTCGGCCACCCAAAGTGCTGGGATTACAGGTGTGAGCCACTGCACCGAGCCTGAAAATCTTACTACCTAAATAACTTCCCACTCCACTCACACCCACAATCTTTCTATAATCCACATTCTCTCCTGAGACAAGAGCTTGGGAAGTTCCGTCTTGCTGAGGGAACTTTATATTGTTCAGGAATTCTTTAATAAGGTTTTACATAGTTGGGGAAACCAGGGAAAAGCAGGTTTGTCACTGCTTTGCTGAGGAGCAGACTCACGTGCCTTGGAAGAATTTAGTAAACCTTCAATAGATGGCCTAAGATACTAACAGGGGCCATCTCATTAAGCTACACAGTTATTTATAAATGAAAGTATAATCTAGAACTTACATGTCAAAGTCTTCCACTAGAAAGATGGCAATATTTGACTAAAACTGCAAAGTTTGTCCCAGTTGACAAAACTCTAATCAAGCCCCTGCCCTTCTCATTCTGTTTTTCCTTTTAAACTTTTTCTTATATTTTAATTTTTCATTTGACAAATGCATATTTCCTCTTTATACCATGCTTCCAAGTGTCACTCTGATACATACCTTCAATGAGCAGACACAGGATTGTGGAGTTTGTTGTGGACACTCATCCCATGAATAGGGAGACTCCGATAACCTGAACAGACGGCTCTAGAAAAGAAAGGAAACTTTCTTTTCCTTCCATACAGAGCTTCCCCCCATTATTTCAGTGTACACAAACCAACATCAGTTCTTTAACACAAAAATAAAAATACTCAAGATCAAGCAATTGTGAGGGGAATCATCTTTCCAGAAGTCAATTCTTCTAGCGGCTACCTTCAGCATATACAACTTGAATAAAAAGAAGTTGGTCAAACGAGTAAAACTTTCCCACCTCATTCCAGTTCTATCTACCCATTGACAACACCTTCGGTCTTCTCACAAATATTGAGTAGAAACACTGCCAACTCTTCACCTTTATCTGGCTCATTCCCAGAGCCAGGAGAAGATGTGACTTATTTGGTGGATGGGAAATCTTATCCATTGGTCCCATCAAATCCATTGGTCCACGTTTGCCTATTAGTAAGGCAAACTTACTCAGTGATCAATGAGTACATCTAGTCTCTCTTTCTCCTCTGGATTCTGAACAGGAGACTTGGAAGGCAGGTGAAGACCCTCCCTGCACTGGGTGGGTAACTGACTGTTCTTCAGATGAACTTTTTTTTGTTCAGGTTCTAAAGTCAAGGCTAGGGGGCAATATTAGAAGTCTTTTTTGGTCAACATTAAGCCATAGTTTCTAAATCAGCTTTAGGAGGAATAATGTATTTGGATATTGATCTGACCTTTTGTTTTTATTTCTAAGTTGGTTTGGCACTGAAAAAGGAGAGGTTTGTTATCAGTCCACACCCCTAATGCCCTGACATCCATGAATCCGTTTTAGTGGAATCCAGATCTCTAAGAAAGAGATATAAAATATTTGTTCCTATCCAACTGTGATTACTGTATTTCCAACTATGTTGCTGTCGGTAAGTAGAGTCTGCATACATGTTTCTGGTTCATATATGCCTAGGGTTCCAGAGCATTACATTTCCATCAAAATGTAGATCCCGAGAATGCCAGAGAGGGTCAGGCCGAGGATAGAACAGACAGTGATTTTCAGATACTGCAGTAGGAAGGTGGATCCATGTCTTGGCTGGTACTTGTAACCATGAAGTGTGGGAAAGTAATGACCAGATTGAGTAAATGACCAGAAATTCAAAACTAAGCCACAAGAAATTTGTCTATTTCTGCTTTTGTTGACTGCTATCAGGGTTGCATCAAAAACAGTATTGCTGAGACCAGTGTTGTGGAGCTTTAACTCTATGTTTTCTTCTAGTAATTTTACAGTTCAGGCCTTCTATTTAAATCTTCATTTGGAGTTGATATTAGTATGTGGTGTAAGTTAAGGGACTAACTTTATTTTTCCTGTGGATATTCAGTTTTCTCAACACCATTTGTAGAACAGACTATCCTTTAACCATTGTATGTCCTTGGCACCTTTGTCAAAGATAAGTTGACGTGTGTGGATTTATTTCTGGGTTTTCCATTTTGTTTAGCAAATTTGTCCATTTATATGCCACTACCATGATTACAATTGTTTTACAGTATGTAATAAAATTAGGTAGCATGCTGTCTCTAGCTTTGTTCTTTTTGCTCAAGATTATTTTGTCTATTTTAGGTCTGTTCAATACAAATGTCAAGATTTTTTTCCATTTCTGTAAAAGAATGGCATTGGAATTTTGATAGTGATTGCATCAAATATGTTGCTTTTGGTATTTTGTTCATTTTCACAATATTAATTCATCCCATCCACAAGCATGAATTTTTTTTTCATTTACTTGTGTTTTTAAATTTTTGTTCATTGGTGTTTTATAGTTTTTCATATACAGGACCTTTAATTTTTTGCTTAAATTTACACCTAAGTATTTAATTTCTGTTGCTATCATACTTGGGATTTTTAAAAAATTTCTTCAGGTAGTTTGTTATTTGTATACAGAAACACTTCTGATCTTTGTTAGATTATTTTGTATCCTGAAACCTTATCGAATTCATGCATCAGTTCTAACAGTTTTTGGTGGAATATTTAGGGTTTTCTGTATACAGGATCATGTTGTCTGCAATTAGAGATAATTTCACTTTTTTCTGAGTAGGATGCTTTTCTTTTCTTGTCTAATTGTTCTGCCTAGGAATTCCACTGTTAACGATGAAAAGAAGTGGTGAGACTGGTCATCCTTGTCTTGTCTCTGAACATGGAGGAAAAGCTTTCCACTTTTCACTGTTGAGAATAATGTTAGCTAAGAGCTTGTCATACACGGTTCTTTTTTGTGTCGAGATACATTTTCTCTACACTTAATTTGTTGAGAGCTTTCATCATGAAAGGGTTTTAAATTTTGTCATGTGCTTTTTCTGCATGTATTGAGAGAATCGTATGATTTTTGTCTTTGACTTTGTTCATGCATTTTATCACATGTATTCATATGCATATGTTGAAACCAACTTGCATCCAAAGGATAAATCCCACTTTATCATGGTGAATGATTCCATTCATATATTCTTAAATTTGGTTGCTAATGTTTTGTTGAAGATTTTTGAATCAGGGTTCGTTACTGACATTGGCCTAGTATTTTCGTCTCTTGTAGTGTCCTTGTCTGTCTTTGGTATCGGAATGATGGTACCCTAATAAAATGAGTTTGGAAGTATTTCCTCTATTTCACTTTTTTGAAAGAGTTTGAGAGTAATTAGTATTAGTTCTTTAAAGGTTTGTCAGAATTTAGCAGTGAAGCCTTCTGGTCCTATGCTTTTCTTTCATGGGAGGCTTTTAATTTCTGCTTCAGGCCAGGCTTGGTGGCTCACACCTGTAATCCTAGCACTTTGGGAGGCTGAGGTGGGTGGATTGCTTGAGGTCTGGAGTTCGAGACCAGCCTAGCCAAAGTAGTGAAACCCTGTCTCTACTAAAAATACAAAAAATCAGATGGGTGTGGTGGTGGGCGCCTGTAACCCCAGCTACTTGGAAGGCTGAGGTAGGAGAATTGCTTGAACCTGGGAGGCGGAGGCTGCAGTTAGCTGAGACTGTGCCATTGCACTCTACCCTGGGCAACAAAAGCAAAACTCCGCTTCAAAAAAAAAAAAATTCTGCTTCAATTTCCTTATTATTTATTAGTCCATTCAGATTTTCTGTTTCTTCTTGATTCAGTCTTGGTAAGTTGTATGTTTGTGGAAATGTTTTTATTTCTTCCATGTTATCCAAATTGTTGGCATACAAATGTTCATTATATGAACAATTGTAATCCTTTGTATTTTAGAGTTAAAAGTTGTAATTTCTCCTATTTCATTTCTGATCTTATTTGTTGGAATAGTCCTTTTTCTAGTTAGTCTAGATACGGATTGGTTGATTTTGTTTATCGCCTTAAAAAGAAGTTCAGTATTAATTCTTTCCATTGGGTTTCTCATATCTATTTTATTTATTTCCACTTTAATCTTTGCTATTTTCTTATTTCTGCTAATTCTTGGCTTTGTTTCTCATCTAGTTCATTGAGGTATAATGATTGATTTAACTACATTCTGTAAGTTTTGGTATGTTGTGTTTTCATTTTTGTGTGTCTTAAAATATGTTTTTAAATTTTTTCTGTAACTCATGGGCCATTTATGAATATGTTAAATTTTGCTATTTTATGTATTTTTCAAGATTTCTTCTGTTACGGATTTCTAGCTTTATGCCATTGGGATGCAAAAATTTTCTTTCTATAATTCAATTCTCTAATATTTGTTAAGATCTGTTTTGTGGCCTAACATATGACATATACTGGAGAATGTTCCACCCACATTTCAGAAGAACAGGTACACTTCTGCTGTTGGATAGGATGTTCTGGGTATATCTGTTAGATCCAGTTGCTCCAAAGTGTGATTCAAATCTAATGTTTCTTAATTTATTATCTTTCTAAATGATCTTTCCATGGTTGAAATTGGAGTATTGAGGTCTCCTACTATTATAGTATTGCAGTATATTTTTCTCATGAGATTATTTAATAATTGCTTTATGAATTTAGGTCTTGTGACCTTGAGTGCATATATATTTACATGTATTATGTCTTCATGATGAATTAACTCCTTTATCGTTATGCAGTGAACCCTATCTCTTTTATAGGTTTTGACTTAGTTTATTTCTTTTAATAGTAAGTATAGCTCCCCTGCTCTATTTTAGTTTGCATTTGCATGGAATATCTTTTTTCATCTTTTCAGTTTCAGCCTATATATGTCTTGACTGGTAAAGTGAGTCTCTTGTAGGCAGCACATGATTGAATCTTGTTTTTTATTCTATCCATTGAGATGCTCTATGTCCTTTTATTTGACAATGTAATGCACTTACTATCAAGGTAATTATTTATAGGGAAGGACTTGCTACTGCCACTTTGTAATTTTTTTTCTGATTGTTTTATGAGTTCTTTGTTCCCTTTTTCTCTCTTGCTGAACTATTTTATAGCTTGATGGCTTTCTGTGGTGGTATGCTTTAAAATTTTGGATAAATTGCAAAATAAACTTTTTTATTTTGTGCAGTTATGATAGGTTTTGTTTTGTGGTTATCATGAAACTTACCTAAAATATCATATTCTTATAACAAACTACTCTAACAACTTCTGATAGCAACTTCTCTTTAATTGCATCCAAAAGTCTACATTTTCATTCTCTCTCCCTTACAATTGTACAATTTTATGTCAAAACTTACCCTTTTAGTTCATACTTATATACCTTAGCAATTTATTGTAGCTACAGTTATTTTCAATACCTTTGTCTGCTAACCCTACTAGTAGGGATAAAATTGCTTTACAAACCACCCTTAGAATATTAGAGCATTTGGAACATGACTGTGTATTACTGATAGCATTGACGCTTTTTACTTTTATGTGTTTTTTCTTACTATTTAGCCTTTTATTTCAATGCAAGGCTCTTCCTTTAGTAATTCTGATCAATCAGGGATATTGATTATAAATTTTATTAGTTTTTTTTTGTATAGAAAGGTTTTTATATCTCCCTCTCCCTCATTTCTACAGGACAGCTTTGCTAGGCACAGCATTTTTTTTTCAAGATGGAGTCTTGCTCTGTCACCCAGGTTGGAGTGCAGCGGTGTGATCTCGCCTCCCAGGTTCAAGCTTGCTCACTGCCATCTCTGCCTACCAGGTTCAAGCAATTCTCCTGCCTCAGCCTCCCGAGTAGTTGGGATTACAGGCCCATGCCACCATGCCCAGCTAATTTTTGTATTTTTAGTAGAGATGGGGTTTCATCATGTTGGCCAGGCTGGTCTTGAACTCCTGACCTCCTGATCCACCTGCCTTGGCCTCCCAAACTGCTGTGATTACAGGTATGAGCCAGTTCACCCAACCGGGAACAGTATTGTTGATTGGCATTTTTGTTTGTTTGCTTGCTTGTTTGCTTTAGCATTTTGAATACATCATCCCTCTCTCGTGGACTGTAGGGTTTTCTGCAGAGAAATCCACTGAAAGCCATATTGAAGCTCCCTTGAATGTGATGTATTTCTTGTTTTTTTGCTGTTTTCAGTATTCTTTGTTTTTCATTTTTAATAACTTCATTGTGATGTGTGTTGATAAATGCCTCTTGGATTGAAATGGATTCATGACCTCTGCAGTTTTCATACCTCAATGTTGTCATCATTCTTCATGTTTGGGAAATTTTTAGTCATTATTTCATTAAATATGCTTTCTAGGCCTTTTTCTTTTTCTTCTCCTTCAGAAACTGATATTATATGAAAGTTGGGTTGTTTGATTGAGTCCCATAATTGCCATAGGCATTTGTTATTCTTTTTTGTTGTTGTTTTTCCCCGATGGAATCATTTCAAATGTTTTTTCTTTAAGCTCACTGATTCTTTTTTTCTGCTAATAAAATCAGCTGCTGAAGCATTGTATTAAATTTTTAGTTTGTTGTATTCTCTATATCTAGAATTTCTATTTGTTTTTTTGTTATCATATCTATTTCTACTTCAGAACTATCATTCTGTTAATGAATTGTTTCCCAAATTTATTTTAGTATGTTATCCATGATTTCTTGTACAGGCATACTTCAGGGATATTGCAGGTGTGATTCCAGGCAACCACAATGTAATAAGAACTTGAATTTTTGGTTTTACACTGCATATAAAAGTTTTTTACACTATACCATAGTCTATAAAGTGTGCAATAGCCTTATGTCTACAATTACATACTTTAAAAACTACTTTATTGCTAAAAATGCAAATGATCATCTGAGCCTTCAGTGAATTTTAATTTTTGCTGATAAAGAGTCTTTCCTCTGTGTTGATGGCTGCTGAATGATTAAGGTGGTGGTTGCTGCAGATTGAGGTGGTTGTGGCGATTTCTTAAAATAAAACAACAGTAAAGTTTGCTGCATCACTTGACTCCTTTGATGAAAGGTTTATCTGTAGTGTGCCATGCTGTTGGATAGCATTTTACCTCACAGTAGAACACCTTTCAAAATGAGAGTCGATCCTATCTAATGCTGCCACCGCTTTATCAACTCAGTTTGTATAATAAGATAGGTGTTTTTTTGTCATTTCAACAGTGTTTACAGTATCTTCACGAGGAATAGATTCCATCTCAGATGGATGGGCTATAAGAAACAACTTTTAGTACATTCAAGTTTGATCATGAAACTGCAGAAATTCAGTCACAGGCTCAGGCTCCAGTTTTACTCTTAGTTCTCTCCCTAGTTCCATCACACTCACAGTTACTTCCTCCACTGAAGTCTTGAAACCCTGCAAGCTATCTATGAGGGCTGAAATCAATTTCTTCCAAACTTCATATTTTGACCTCCTCCAAGGAATCACAAATATCTTTAATTTCATCTAGAATAGTGATTGCTTTCTAAAAAAATCCAGATGATTTTTAATTTGCCTTGTGCAGATACACAGAAGAATCATTGTCTATGGCAGGTATAGGCTTACAAAATGTATTCTTAAATAATAAAATGTCCTTGATCCATGGGCTTCAGAATGAATGCTGTGTTAGCAGGCATGAAAACAACATTAATCTATTTGTACAACTCCATCAGAGCTCTTGGGTTATGAGTGCATTGTCAATGAGCAGTAATATTTTAAAAGATATATATATATATATATATATATATACACACACATATATACATACACACACATACACGTATACACACACACAAACACACACACACACACGTTTTCTGGACAATAGGTCTCAACAGTGTGCTTAAGATATTTGGTAAACCATACTGTAAACGATGTGTTTTCATCCAGGCTTTGTTGTTTCATTTATAGAGTATAGGTAGCATAGGTTTAGAAGAACTTAAAAATGTAGCAGAATGGTAAATGAGTACTGCCTTTAATGTTTTAATGTAACCAGCTGCATTAGCCAGTACATAAAGAGTCAGCCTGTCCTCTGAAGATTAGAAGCCAGGCATTGACTTCTCCTCTATAGCTGTGAAAGTTTTAGGTATCCTCTTCTTCCAGTATAATGCTGTTTTGTCTACATTGAAAATCTGTTATTTAGCATAACTGCCCTCATCAATGATCTTAGCTAGATCTTCTGGATAACTTGCTGCAGCTTCTCTATCAGCACTGGCTGCTTTACCTTGCACTTTTATGTTATGAAGATTCTTTTCTTAAACCTCATGAACCAACCTCTGCTAGCTTTAAACTTGTCTTCTGCAGCCTCCTCACCTGTGTCAGACTTCATAGAATTAAAGAATGTTACTAAGGCTTAGCTCTGGATTCAGCTTTGGCTTAGCGAAATGTTGTGGCTCATTTGATTTTCTATCCAGACCACTAAAACTGTCTTCACATCAGCAATAATACCATTGTACTTATCATTTGTGCATTCACTGGAGTAGTCTGTTTAATTTCCTTTAAGAACTTTTTTTTTTTTGCATTCACAGCTTAGTTTACTGTTTGATGTAAGTTGCCTAGCTTTCAGCCTATCTGAGCTTTCAACATGCTTTTCTCACCCTATTAATCATTTCTAGCTTTGTATTTAAATACTGGCATCATGGGGGCTAATGTGGCTTACAAAGTATAATTCATCTGGCAGATGGAACCATAGTTTGACACTACCAGTCTTATGTCGGGTTCAACCCAGTAATAAATCCAAGCCTACCCATTCTTCCCGGAAGGAGCTTGATTATGCATTGAATCAAGCTCCCAGAAGGAGCTTGATTATGCATTGAAATTCTACAACCTCCGTGGTTAGTGCCCAAGGAACTGTTTTCTTAAGAACTCTGCTCTGTGAGTCGACAGGATTTTGTATTTTTGAATGTATTTAGACCATAGAAAACAAAGAAGTAAGCATACAATGGGCCCACATTCAGAAGCTATCTCCTCAGGATCAGAGGCTGCATCCAGAGTGTGCATAGGTGTTTGTCACAGATCCTCTACCAAGCTTAATGGAGAGAGAGTGGGAGATAAATGTCCATACTAATCTTCATCATGTAGCTAGAAAGAACTGAAACACTCCTCCAGCCTTCTAACTTTCTAGCTACATCTGGATTGTCTGGCTCCTACCTTAACCAATTTCTGGTTACTGACAAGGCGTGGCACATCCTAAGTTCCAGGGAGCCACCAAAAACAGTCAATACTAGAGCACACAAGGACTTGAGAGGTACCTGAAGATCTCTGGCTGGAAAGTTTGGTGAGATCCTTTTCCTACATGAGGCCAGTCTTATCAAATGCACGGGAACCAACAGAGAGAGTCGAGGAAAAATGAAGAAACAGGGAAATATATTCAAAGCAAGAAAACAAGATAAATCTCCAGCACCTGAGTGAAGTGCAGATATGTAATTTATCTGACAGAGATTTCCAAATAATGGTCATAACAATAATCACTGAGGTCAAGATAGCTTTGCAAGAACAAGTTGAGAACTTCAAGAAAAGGAAAAACGTTATACAATAATGTCAAACAAATCATAGATCTAAAGTGTACTGTAACTGAACTGAAAAAATTTAATAGAGGTGTCCATTAATAGAATCTATCAGTGAACTTTGAGACTGGTCACTGGAAATTATCTAACCTGAGGATCAGAAAAAAAGATAATGCAAACGGAGTGAAGACAACTTTAGAGAGTTATGGGACACCATCAAGCAGGACCACTCACACATTATTGGCATGCCTGAAGGAGAAGTGAGGAAGAAAGGAACGGAAAAGTGTTTAAAGGAATAATGACAGAGAATTTATCAAGCATGGGGAAGAAAACAGAAAGCCTGATCCAGAAAGCCCAAAGGAAACCAAATAAGGTGAATCCAGGGACTCACAACAAGATACACTATAATCAAATTGTCCAAAGTTAAAGACAAAAAGAGAGTGATATTGTTTGCAAATTTGTACCCTCCAAATATTGTGTCGAGATTTGATCCCCAATGTTGGAGGTGGGACCTAGTGGGAGGTGTTTGGGTCATGGTGGTTGATCTCTCCTGGATAGCTTTTTGCCCTTTTTTCACTAATGAGTGAGTTCTCACTGCATTACACGAAAGGTGGTTGTTTAAAACAGTGTGGCACCTCTCCCCTCTCTTCCTACCTCTCTAGCCATGTGTGTCATACCCGTTGTCTCTTCACCTTTAGCCACAAGTAAAAGCCTTCTGGGTCCCTGACCAGAAGCTGTGCAGATGCCACTGCCATTCTTCTTCTACAGCCTGCAAAACTGTGAGCCAAACAAACCTCTGTTCCTTATACCTAGTCTTATACCTGTTCCTTATACCTTATTACCTAGTCTCAGCTATTTTTTTATAGCAACACAAAAATTTGTGTTTTTCCGTGTTGCTCTTTTCTGTGTTATTCTGTGTTGCTAACACAGAAATTAGTACCAAGGAGTGGGGTTTTGCTATAAAAACACCTGATAATGCAGAATTTGCTTTGGAACTGGGTAATAGGCAAAGAAGACAGGAAGATGAGGAAACTTGTGGAACTTAATTAGACCTTGGTTAAGTGGTCGACCAAAATGATAATAGGAATATGAACAGTGAAGGCCATGCTGTTGAGGTACATAGAATACAACTTTCAAGAAGTGACTGCACCATTTTGCATTCCCACAAGCAATGAATGAAGTTTCCTCTTGCTCCACATCCTTGCCAGCGTTTGATGTTGTCAGTGGTTCTAGATTTTGGTTATTCTAATACGTGTGCAGTGGCATCTCATGGTTGCATTTCTCTGAGGAAATATTATGTGTAGCCTCATTACATATGCTTATTTTCCATTTGTATAATTTACTTGGTGAGGTACTTGTTAAGGTCTTTAGCTCATGTCTTTTACTGCTCAGCTTTAAGAATACTAATATGTTTTGAATAATAGTTCTTAATCAGATACGTTTTGGCAAATTTTTTTCCATCTGTGGTTTCTCTTTTCTTTCAGTGTCTTTAATGGTGTAAAAATGTTACATTTTCATCAAGTCCAGCTTGTCAATTCTTTCTTCTATTGACTTCAACTTTGGTGTTTTTTCTAAAGGTCATCATTAAACCCAAGATAATCTGTATTTCCTTCTATATTATCTTCTATAAATTTTATAGTTTTTTGTATATTTATGTTGCTGATCCATTTTGAGTTAATTTTGGTGGGGGTGTAAGGTCTGCAATTTATTTTTTTTTTGCATGTGGATATCCAGGTATTCCAGCAGCCCTTCCTGAAAAAACTGTTTCATCATCATAATGCCTTTACTTTTTTGTCAAAAATTAATCGAATGTATTAATGTGTTTCTATTTGTGAACTCTCTATCTCATTTTATCCGTTTGTTCTTTCACTAATACCACACTGTCTCCATTACTGTAGCTTTAGGGTAAGTCTTGAAATTGAGTAGTGTCTGTCCTCCAAGTTTGTTCTTCTCCTTCAATATGGTGTTAGCTATTCAAGGTCTTTTGCCTCTCCATATAAACATTTTCATTTAGAGTAGAATTGCATTGAATCTATACATTGGAAAGAACTGACATCTTAATAGCATTGAATCTACTTATGAATACGGTACATATCTCTTTTTGTTTCATTCTTCGCTTTCTTTCATCAGATATGGACATTTCTGGAATTAAGAGCATTGAATCTACTTATGAATACGGTACATATCTCTTTTTGTTTCATTCTTCGCTTTCTTTCATCAGATATGGACATTTCTGGAATTAAGAGCCCCCTCTACATTGAGCACAAGACAGTGACGAATCCACATTCTTCAGCCAGAAAGTCACCTCTGAGAGCCAAATGTCTGACTATAGAAAGGAGAGTCAAAGAATGATAACGACATCTCAGGAAAATTGTGAAAATAATCAGCAGCCGGATGTGGATAACCCTTTCAAATTTCTCCAGGGCACCTGTCATTTCAGCCAATACTTGCCAGCTTGTGCCAAGGATGCTGGAGCTCCCTGGGATGAGTTTCCCAGGGGAGGAGCTGGCCGCCATCTTTGCTGTTTGGGTGACACAGCCATTCCAGCCTGTGGGCTTTGGACAGTGCAAACTGGTGGGGTAGAAGGGATCCCTAGAATAGCACAGCTGCTCTCCCAACATGTGCCCAGATCCTTTTTTTTTTTTTTTTTTTTTTTTTTTTTTTTGAGAAGGAGTCTTGCTCTGTCACCCAGGCTGGAGTGCAGTGGCATGATCTCGGCTTACAGCACCCATCACAGCCCTGGTTCAAGCAGTTCTTCTGCCTCAGCCTCCCAAGTAGCTAGGACTACAGGTGCCCATCACCACGCACAGCGAATTTTTTTATTTTTAGTAGAGATGGGGTTTCACCATGTTGGCCAGGCTGGTCTGGAACTCCTGACCTCAAGTGATCCACCCTGCTGGGCCTCCCGAAGTATGGGGATTACAGGCATGAGCCACCGTGGCCGGCCCCAGACAGAATCTTTAAGGGGATTCCCAATCTGTTCCTCCCAACCAGGGCCTCCAGCTACCCCACTGGTGTCTGGGGCTGAGAGGAATTTGAATTCTCCCTGGGAGGGAGTTCTGGAGTTCCTGCCCAGTGGGAGTCCTTCCAACTGGGGCCTGGGGGAGAGGATGGGGCCAGCTTTGGAGAGTCCCAAATGACTGGGGGTGGAAGGGATCCCCCAGCACATCACAACTGCTCTACCAAATAGTGGCCAGGCAGATTCTTTACACAGATCCCTGATTCTTTCCTCCTCTCTGGGTGGGACCTCCCACCTGGGGCCTCCACCACCCCACCGGTGTTCTCGAGCTGACAGAGATTTACATTCTCCCCGGGAAGGAGTTGTCGAGGTCCTGCCCAGTAAGGAGGAATGGATCAGGAACCTGGTAAAAGAATCTGCCTTCTAAGATTTTGTAGAGTAGCTGTGCTGTGCTGATGATATATCCCTTCTGCCCCGGTAGGTATGGATTCTCCAGAGCCCGCGGGCTGTAACGACTAAGTTGCACAAACAGCAAAGATGGCTCCTTGCTCTTGCGCGTGGGAACTCATTCCAGGAATTCAAATCTCTGTCAGCCTGAGAACACCGGTGTGGGTGGCTGGAGGCCCCAGCTGAAAGGACCCTCATTGGGCTGGACCTCCAGGCCTCCATGCCAGGGAGAACTCAAATCTCTGTCAGCCCCAGAACACTGGTGGGGGTGGCTGGAGGCCCCAGTTGGGAGGTCCCCCACTGGGCCAGACCCCAAGACCTCCATGCCAGAGAGAATTCAAATCTCTGTCAGCCCCAGAACACTGGTGGGGGTGGCTGGAGGCCCCGGTTGGGAGGTCCCTCACTGGAAGGGACCCCAAGAACCGCATCCCAAAGATAATTCAAATATCTGTCAGCCCCAGAACACTGGCGAGGGTGGCTGGAAGCCACGGTAGGGAGGTCCCTCACTAAGCAGGACCTCAAGACCTCCATACCAGGGGGAATTCAAACCTCTGTCAGCCACAGAACACTGGCAGGGGTGGCTGGAGGCCCTAGTTGGGAGGTCCCTCACTGCGCCAGACCCCAAGACCTCCATGCCAGAGAGAATTCAAATCTCTGTCAGCCCCAGAACACTGGCGGGAGTGTCTCAAGGCCCCTATTGGGAGGTCCCTCGCTGAATGGAACCTCAAGACCTCCATCCCAAAGAGAATTCAAATCTCTGTCAGCCTGAGAACACCAGCGGGGGTGGCTGGAGGCCCCTGTTGGGAGGTCCCTCACTGGGCGGGACCTCGAGACCTCCATGCTGGGGAGAATTCAAATCTCTGTCAGCCCCAGAACGCTGGCGGGGGTGGCTGGAGGCCCCGGTTGGGAGGTGCCTCACTGGGCAGGACCTCCAGAACTCCATGCCAGGGAGAATTCAAATCTCTGTCAGCCCCAGAACACTGGTGGGGGTGGCTGGAGGCCCCGGTTGGGAGGTGCCTCACTGGGCAGGACCTCCAGACCTCCATGCCAGGGAGAATTCAAATCTCTGCCAGCCCGAGAACACTGGTGGGGGTGGCTGGAGGCCCGGTTGGGAGGTCCCGCCCAGTGAGGAGGAATGGATCACAGACCTTCTTAAAGACCCAGTATGGCCACATTTTGGTAGAGCACCTTGCTATGCCCACCCCGCCAGTGTTCTCAGGATGACAGATTTGGATTCTCCCTGGCATGGAGGTCTTGAGGTCCTGCCAAGAGAGGGACCTCCCAACCGAGGCCTCCAGCAACCCCTGCCAGTGTTCTGGGGCTGACAGAGATTTGAATTCTCCCTGCCATGAAGGCCTCAGGGTCTGGCCCAGTGAGGGACCTCCCAACCATGGCCTCCAGCCACCCCCGCTGGTGTTCCAGGGCTGACAGAGATCTGAATTCTCCCTGGCACGTAGTTCTCAAGGTCCTGCCCAATGAGGGTCCTTTTACCTGGGGTCCCCAGCCACCCCCTCCGGTGTTCTCAGGCTGACAGAGATTTGAGTTCTCCCTGGCATGGAGGTCTCAGGATCTTGCCCAGTGAGGGACCTCCCAACTGGGGCCTCCAGCCACCCCCTCCAGTGTTCTGGGGCTGACAGAGATTTGAATTCTCTCTGGCATGGAGGTCTTGGGGTGTGGCCCAGTGAGGGGCCTCCCAACTGGGGCCTCCAGCCACCCCCACCAGTGTTCTGGGGCTGACAGAGATTTGAATTCTCCCTGGAATGGAGGTCTCCAGGTCCCACCCAGTGAGGGACCTCCCAACTGGGGCCTGCAACCACCCCTGTCAGTGTTCTGGGACTGACAGAGATTCGAATTCTCCCTGGCATGGAGGTCTTTAAGTCCTGCCAAGTGAGTGACCTCCCAATCGGGCCTCCAGCCACCCCCGCCGGTGTTCTTGGGCTGACAGAGATTTGAATTCTCCCTGGTATGGATGTCTCAGGGTCTGGCCCAGTGAAGGACCTCGGCATCCAGCCACCCCTGCCAGTGTTTTGGGGCTGACAGAGATTTGAATTCTCCCTGGCATGGAGGTCTTGAGGTCCTGCCCAGTGAGGGACCTCTCAACCGTGGCCTCCAGCCACCCCCACCGGTGTTCTTGGGCTGACAGATATCTGAATTCTCCCTGGCACCTAGTTCTCAAAGTCCCGCCCAATGAGGGTCCTTTTAGCTGGGGTCTCCAGCCAATCCCACCGGTGTTCTCAGGCTGACAGTGATTTGAGTTCTCCCTGGCATGGAGGTCTTTAGGTCCTGCCCAGTGAGGGATCTCCCAACTGGGGCCTCCAGCCACCCCCGCCAGTGTTCTGGGGCTGACAGAGATTTGAATTCTCCCAGGTATGCAGTTCTTGGTTCTTGAAGTCCCGCCCAGTAAGGGTTCTCCTAACTGGGGCCTCCGGCCACCCTCACCTGTGTTCTCATGCTGACAGAGATTTGAACTCTTCCTGACATGGAGGTCTCCACTTCCTGTCCGCTGTGGGTCTTTTCAGTTCAGGCCTCCAGCCACCCACCCCTGGTGTTCTCAGGCTGACAGAGATTTGAATTCTCCCTGGCACTTAGTTCTTGAGGTCCTACCCAATGAGGGTCCTTTTAGCTGGGGTCTCCAGCCAACCCCACTGGTGTTCTGGGGCTGACAGAGGTTGGAGTTCTCCCTGGCATGGCGGCCTTGGGGTCCCGCCCAGTGAGGGACCTCCCAACTGGGGCCTGCAGCCACCCCTGCCAGTGTTCTGGGGCTGACAGAGATTTGAATTCTCCCTGGAATGGAGGTCTCAGGGTCTGGCCCAGTGAGGGACCTCCCAACTGGGGCCTCCAGCTAACCCCACCAGTGTTCTGGGGCTGACAGAGATTTGAATTCTCCCTGGCATGGAGGTCTTCAGGTCCTGCCAAGTGAGTGACCTCCCAATTGGGTCTCCAGCCACCCCCACCGGTGTTCTTGGGATGACAGAGATTTGAATTCTCCCTGGTATGGAGGTCTCAGCGTCTGGCCCAGTGAAGGACTTCGGCCTCCAGCCACCCCTGCCAGTGTTTTGGGGCTGACAGAAATTTGAATTCTCCCTGGCATGGAGGTCTTGAGGTCCTGCCCAGTGAGGGACCTCTCAACCGTGGCCTCCAGCCACCCCCACTGGTGTTCTCGGGCTGACAGAGATCTGAATTCTCCCTGGCACGTAGTTCTCAAGGTCCCGCCCAATGAGTGTCCTTTTAGCTGGGGTCTCCAGCCAATCCCACTGGTGTTCTCAGGCTGACAGTGATTTGAGTTCTCCCTGGCATGGAGGTCTCGGGGTCTTGCCCAGTGAGGAACCCCCCCAACCGGGGCCTGCAGCCACCCTCGCTGGTGTTCTGGGGCTGACAGAGATTTGAATTCTCCCAGGCATGGAGTTTGTGAGGTCCCACCCAGTTAGGGTTCTCCTAACTGAGACCTCTGGCCACTCACACCTGTGTTCTCATGCTGAAAGAGATTTGAATTCTTCCTGGCATGGAGGTCTCCGGTTCCTGCCCAGTGAGGGTCCTTCCAACTCAGGCCTCCAGCCAACTCCCCCCACCCCCGCCAATATTCTGGGGCTGACAGAGATTTCAATTCTCCCTGGCATCGAGGTATCGGGGTCCTGCCCAGTGAGGGACCTCCCAACGGGGGCCTGCAGCCACCCCCGCCAGTGTTCTGGGGCTGACAGAGATTTGAATTCTCCCTAGTGTGGAGGTCTTGAGGTCCTGCCCAGTGAGGGACCTCCCAAGCGGGGCCTCCAGCCAACCCCACTGGTGTTCTCATGCTGAGAGAGATTTGAATTCTCCCTGGCATGTAATTCACAAGGCAGGCTGACAGAGATTTGAATTCTCCCTGGCATGTAATTCACAAGGTCCCACCCAATGAGGGTCCTTTTAGCTGCGGTGTCCAGCCACCCCCACTGGTGTTCCCAGGCTGACAGAGATTTGAGTTCTCCCTGGCATGGAGGTCTTGGGGTATCGCCCAGTGAGGGACCTCCCAACCGGGGCCTCCGGCCACCCCCGCCTTTATTCTGGGACTGACAGAGATTTGAATTCTCCCTGGCATGGAGGTCTTGGGGTATCGCCCAGTGAAGGACCTCCCAACCGGGGCCTCCGGCCACCCCCGCCTTTATTCTGGGACTGACAGAGATTTGAATTCTCCCTGGCATGGAGGTCTTGGGGTATCGCCCAGTGAGGGACCTCCCAACCGGGGCCTCCGGCCACCCCCGCCTTTATTCTGGGACTGACAGAGATTTGAATTCTCCCTGGCATGGAGGTCTTGGGGTATCGCCCAGTGAGGGACCTCCCAACCGGGGCCTCCGGCCACCCCCGCCTTTATTCTGGGACTGACAGAGATTTGAGTTCTCCCTGGCATGGAGGTCTTGGGGTATCGCCCAGTGAAGGACCTCCCAACCGGGGCCTCCGGCCACCCCCGCCTTTATTCTGGGACTGACAGAGATTTGAATTCTCCCTGGCATGGAGGTCTCGGGGTCTGGCCCAGTGAGCGACCTCCCAACTGGGGTCTCTGGCCACCCCTGCCAGTGTTCTGGGGCTGACAGAGATTTGAATTCTCCCTGGCATGGAGGTCTCGGGGTCCCGCCCAGTGAGGACCTCCCAACTAGGGCCTGCAACCACCCCGGTAGTGTTCTGGGGCTGACAGAGATGTGAATTCTCTCTGGCACGGAGGTCTCGGTGTCTGACCCAGTGAGGGACCTCCCATATGGGGCCTCCAGCCACCCCCGCCAGTGTCCTGGGGCTGACAGAGATTTGAATTTTCCCTAGCATGGAGTTCTTGAGGTCCCACCCAGTGAGGGTTCTCCTAACTGGGCCCTCCGGCCACCCCTACCTGTGTTCTCATGCTGACAGAGATTCGAGTTCTCCCTGGCATGGAGGTCTCCAGTTCCTGCCCAGTGAAGTTCCTTTCAACTCGGGCCCCCAGCCACCACCCCACCCCCTCCTCCAGTGTCCTCAGGCTGCCAGAGATTTCAATTATCCCTGGCATGGCGGTCTCAAAGTCCTGCCTGGTGAGGGATCACCGCACTGGGACCTCCAGTCACTCCTGCTGGTGTTCTCGGGCCCAAAGATATTTGAATTCTTGGGATGAAATGGCCAAAGATGAGCTGCCATCTTTGCTGTTTGTGCAACTTAGCCACTCCAGCCTGAGGGTTTTGTGGAATCCATACCTACCGGGGCAGAAGGGATCTCCCAGCACAACACAGCTACTCTACAAAATCTTGGTCAGGCAGATTCTTTTAGCAGGTTCCTGACCCATTTCTTCTTAATTGGCAGGACCTTGACAACTCTATCCAAGGGAGAATGTAAATCTCTGTCAGCTCTAGAACTAAGGGGTGGAAGCCCCACTTGGGAGGTCTCACCCAGTGAGGAACGGATCGGGGATCTACTTAAAGAATCTTGCCATGATTTGATAGAGCAGTTGTGCTGTTCTGGGGATCCCCTCCACCCTAGTCACTTTGGACTCTCCAAAGCCCACAGACTGGAATAACTGAGTCACCCAAACAGCAAAGATGGCGGCCCCCTTCTCCCCCAGGGAACTCATCCCAGGGAGAATTCAAATCTCCGTCAGCCTGAGAGCACCTGCAGGAGTAGCTGCAGGCCCCAGTTGGGAGGTCCCGCCCAGCGAGGAGGAATGGATTGGGGATCCACTTAAAGAGGCAGTCTGGCCACATTTTGGTAGAGCAGCTGTGCTGCGTGGGGGATCCCTTCTGCCCTCAGTTGGTTTGGGTTCTCAAAAGCCCAACAGGCTGGAATGGCTAAGTTACCCAAACAACAAAGATGGTGGCCTGCCCTGTCCCCTAGGAAGTCAGTCTCAGGTAGGTAAAACACTGTTGCTGGTGGCTGGCTGGAGTTGTTTCCTTGATTATGTGAGTAATGCGAGTACCTGGTTGTTTCAGTTGAAGGTGCTGTATTGACTTGCCCTTTTCATTCCTCTCCATGAGAGCCGTGCACCCTAGCTTCTTCTAGTCAGTCATCTTGGCCACACACCCCCATAATCGTATTTTTTAACTAAATCATTCTTTAAAACTCTAACAAAATATTTAAACATTTAAAAAGTGTGAGCTTTAGAAATGCCTAATTACATCTTAGGTTTGAGACACGTAGCAGTTATGTACATTGTCAATTCCAGATTTTGCATCTTACAAGGAAAGGACTTAGATCTTATTCAGTCTTTGTGTGTCTAAACTATCTTCGCCTGTAAAATGAGTACAATGAAGTACTTTATAGAGTTGTAAATGTTATATGTAAAAATATAGCAGTGAGGGGGCAGTGGGCTGGCCAAGGTGGCCGAGTTGAAGCAGCTAGTGTGTTTGGCTCTCACAGAGAGGAACACAAGGGGAGAGTCAATACTGCACCTTCAACTGAAACATCCAGGTACTCACATTGGGACTAACCAAGGAAACAACTTGACCCAGGGAGAATGAAGAAAAGAAAGGCAAAACGACAGCCCACCTGGGAGTACCACAGAGCCAGGGGGAGCTCTCTCACCCAGGGAAGCAGTGAGTGAATGTGTGACCCTGGAAACCCATGCTTTTTCCATGGATCTTTGCAATCCTTGGGTCGGGAGTTCTCATGAACCCACTTTACCAGGGCCTTCAGTCTGACAGAGCTACGTGGAATCTTGGCACAGCAGCCACTCAGGCACACATGGAGACCTGGGAGCCTTAGGTACCTGGGCTTTCCTGCAAAAGTAGCTGCAACTGTGGCAAAGTGGGAGGTGAGACCCTCATACATATCCCTAGGGAAGAGGCTGAATTCAGGGAGCTGAGCAGCAACAGCCTGCAGGCCCCACTTCCACAGCACCTCACAGGATAAGAGCCACTGGCTTGGAATTCCAGCCAGCCACCAGCAACACTGTTGAGCCTCCCTGAGACAGAGCTCCTGAGAGAAGGGGTAGGCCACCATCTTTGCTGTTTGGGCAACTTAGCTGCTCCAGCCTTCGGGATTTGGAGAGTCTCAGCGGACCAGGGACAGAGGGATCCATTAGCACAGCACAGTGCTACTCTACCAAAATATGGCCGGACTACTGCTTTAAGAAGGTCCCCAATCCCATTCCTCCTCACTGGGCAGGACCTCCCAACCAGGGCCTCTAGCTACCCACTCTGGTATTCTCAGGCTGACAGAGATTTGAATTCTCCCTGAGATGGAGTGCCCTGAGGGAGGCGTGGGCCGCCATATTTGATGTTTTGGCAACTTAGCCATTCCAGCCTTTGGGCTTTAAGGAGTCCCAGCTGACTTAGGGCGGATATGGCCCCCCAGCACAGCACAGCTGCTGTACAAAAGCATAGCCAGACTGCTTCTTTAAGTAGGTCCCGGATTCATTCCTCCTCACTGTTTGGGACTTCCCAACTGGGGCCTCCAACCACCCCCACTGGTGTTCTCCTGCTGACAGTGATTTCAATTTTTTCTGGGCTGGAGCTCCCTGATGGAGGGGCAGGCCACCATCTTTGCTGTTTTTGCAACTTAGCCACTTCAACCTTCAGTCTTTGGAGTGTCCAAGGAGACCAGGGGGTGATGTGGACCCTCAGCATAGCACAGCTGCTCTATAAAAATGAGGCCAGACTGCTTTTTTAAGCACTTTCCCAATGCCATTCCTCCTCACTGGGCAAAACCTCCAAACTGGGGTCTCCAGCCACCTCCTACAGGTGTGTTTGGGCCAGCAACAAGTTCATTCATACCTCCCTAGGGCAAAGCTTCCAAAGGGAGCGGTAGGCTGCCATCTTTGCTGTTTCACAGGCTTCACTGATGATAACTCCAGGTACTGGAAAATCTGAGGCTACTAGAGACTGGAGCGGGCCCTGGGCATACTGCAGCAGCCCTATGGAAAAGTGGCCAGACTGTTACCTGGGTTCCCATTCCTATATCTTCTCACTAGGCAAGTCTTGCAGGCCTGGACCTCTACCTAACCCCCCCTACCAGAACTGTTGAGCCAGTAGCAACTCAGCCACTCCCTGGAGAGAGCCTCCAGGGGCAACTGAAAGCCTCTCTGCCACTGCTTCTGCAGTGGAACTGTCCTTGCTACCCTCAGACTGATGAAGGAGCTAACACCCTTATCTACACCTTCAACAAGCTTTAATTGACCAAAGCCCATCTCTCATGGGTTCTACACACTCCCCACTGCTCATGACAGGGAACCCCTGGATTGGCCCCCACAGCACGAATTCTCCATCCTGATTGCTGATTGCAGTAAACAGTTGCTGTATTCTCCAGGGGTGGTGGAACTCTGAGGAGACAAACAAAAGACCCTTGGCTACAACCACTACTAATGTCCCTTCCTCTTCTGCCTCAAAGTTAGGAAAGAAATATAAACACTGAGATTGCCCCAGAGCTGCAGTGGGCAGCCTAGGAGTGCCAAGCCATGACCTACAGCCAGCACTCAAGGGGGAGAGAAGCACATTTTCAGATCATTGAGAGGGAACATGGCTGCAACTGTAAGGAAACATAGGGGAGCCACATGACCAAGCAAGAGTCTACCAACTGACCAGTAAGCCCAAGTGCCACCTACTGGATCACATCCCAAAGCTTCAGCATCAAAAATACCTTACTAATATACTCCCCTCTGAAACCAGAAATGAGAAGTCAGCTTCAAATAAAGACCCTGCACAAAGCCTCAGCCTGGTGAAAACATCCGAAAATAAGTCTACGGACTGTACTCAATCTACACTGCAATTAAAGGAAAACCCATAGGTGGAAATGAGAAGAAACCAATGCAAGAACTCCAGTAACTCAAATGGCCTCTGTGTCATATGTCCTTCTAACAACCACACCAGTTCTCCAACAAGAGTTCTTAACCTGGATGAACTGTCTGGAATTACATAAATATAATTCAGAATATGGATAGGAAAAAAAATCATCAAGACTCAGGAGAATGGCAAAACCCAATCCAAGGAAAATAAGAATAACAGTAAAGTGTTACAGGAGCTGAAGGATAAAGTAGCTGGTATAATAAAAAAGAACCTAACCGATCTGAAAGCGCCGAAGAACACAATACAAGAATTCCACAATGCAATCACAAGTATTAACAGCAGAAAAAAAAATCTGAGGAACGAATCTCAGAACTTGAAGATTGGTTCTCTAAAATAAGATGGACAAAAATAAAAAAGAATGAACAAAACCTTCAAGGAGGATTGGATTATATAAAGAGGCCAATTCTACAAATCACTGGCATCTCTGAAAGGGAGGTGGAGAAATCAAACAACTTGGAAAACGTAGTTCAGGATATCATCTTTGAAAGCTTCCCTAACCTTGCTAGAAAGGCCAACAGTCAAATTCAGGAAATACAAAGAACTCCTACAAGATTCTACACAAGACCATCCTCAAGACACATAAACATCAGGTTTTCCAAGGTCGAAATGAGGGAAAATATGTTAAAGGCAGCCAGAGAGAAAGGGCAGGCCATCTACAAAGGGAACCCCATTAGGCTAACAGCAGATCTCTCAGCTGAAATCCTACAAGCCAGAAGGGATTGGGGGACTATATTTAACATTATTAAAGAAAATCTCCAACCAAGAATTTCATATACAGCTAAACTAAGCTTTCTAAATGAAGGAGAAATGAGATCATTTACAGACAAGCAAATTCTGAGGTAATTCATTACCACCACATCTGCCTTACAAGAGATTTTAGAAAGGAGGACTAAATATAGAAAGGAAAGACCACTACACGTTAATGCAAAAACATACTTAAACACACAGACCGGTGACACTATAAAGCAACCACACAAAAAAGCCAACATAATAACCAGCCAACAGCACAATGACAAGATCAAATCTACACAAATCGATACTAGCCTTGAATGTAAATGGGCAAATGCCCCACTTAAAAGGCACAGAGTGGCAAGCTAGATTTAAAAAAAAAAAAAGCGAGACCCAATGGTATGTCGTCTTCAAGAGACCCATCTCACACATAATGACACTCATCGTCTCAAACTAAAAGGATGGAGAAAAATCTACCAGACAAATAGAAAACAGAAAAAAAGCAGAGGTTGCAATCCTAATTTCAGACAAAACAGATTTCAAATGAACAATAATTTTTCAAAAGGACAAGGGGGCAGGGGCAAGATAGCCGACTAGAAGCAGCTGCAGTTTGAGGCTCCCACTGAGAAGAACTAAAAGAGTGTGCAAATCCTGCACCAGCAACTGACATATCCAGGTTCTATGATCAGGACTGACTAGGTGGTTGCCGTGACCCATAGAGAACAAGGAAAGATGGGCTGGTGGATTGGCCCACCTGGGAGCCACATGGGGCAAGGGGAGCCGTCACCCTCAGCCAGCCAAGGGAGGCAGTGAGTGAGCATGCTACCCAGCCTGGGAAACTGCTTTTTCCATGGATCTTTGCAATCCACAGATCAGAAGATCCCACTCATGAGACCACACCACGAGGGCCTTGGGTGCCAACCACAGAGCCATGCAGATTCTCAACAGCCACTCAGCTGGAGTCTGCCTAAAACTACCGAGTTCCCAAGTTGGGGAGGGGTGGTCATCATCACTGTGACTGCCTGCTGCCTAAACCCTCTGAGTTCCCTGGGGGAGGGGGAGCAATCATCACTGTGGTTGCTGGCTGCCTAAGACAACTGAGCTTCCCAAGAGAGGGGCAGTCATCATCACTGCAGCTGCCTGCTGCCTGAGGAAACTGAGCTCCCTAAGAAGGGACAGCAGCCATCACTGTGGCTGCTAGCTGCCTAAGACACTGAACTCCTGGGGAGGAAGGGCGGCAGCCATTTCTACAGATCCAGGCTGCTGTTTTTCCTTTGCTGATGCCAGGAAGACTGGACGGCTTGGTCCCAAGAGGTATTCCCCACAGCGCAGCATACTGGCTGTGGCAGATCATGGCCAGACTGCCTCTTTAGGCTGACCCTGACCCATCCCTCCTCACTGGGTGGGGCCTCCCTGCAGGAACTCCAGCAACTCAAGCCAGGGAATTAGGGAGAGAACTCTGATCTCTCTAGGTCTGAGTCCCTAGTGGGAGGGGTGGCTGGCTGTTGTCTCCACAAACCGGAAGACTTGTTCTTTCCCCCTGCTCACTCTGAGGATTCCAGGCAGCCCAGATGAGTGGGATTTTCCCCGGCACAGCATACCCCCTTCCCAAAGGGACAATCAAAGTGCTTCATTAAGCAAGTCCTGGATCCTGTGCCCCTCAACTGGGTGAAACACCCCAGTGGGTCACCAGACACCTTATACAGGAGCATTTCTACTGGCATCAGGTGGGTGCCCCTCAAGGACAGAGATCCCAGAGGAAGGAGTGGGGTCCCATCTTTGCTGTTCTCCAGCACTCTCTGGTGACATCTTCAGGTGTGGGAGGGACCCAGATAAATAGGGCTTGAAGTGAATCCCCAGCAAACCACAGCAGCCCTACAGAAGAGGTACCTGACTGTCGAAAGAAAAACAGAAAGCAACAACAACATCAACCAAAAAGTCCCCACGAAAACCTCATCTAAAGGTCAGCAGCCTCAAAGATCAAAATGAGACAAACTCATGAAGATGAGAAAGGAATGAAAAACCCCTAACAACTCAAAAGGCCAGAGTGACTTGTTTACTCCAAATGATCACAACACCTCTACAGCAAGGGCACAGTCCTGGGTGGAGGTTGAGATGGATGAATTGACAGAAGTAGGCTTCAGAAGGTGGGTAGTAGCAAACTTCACTGAGCTAAAGGAGTACGCTCTAACCCAACATATTGGAACGAATCCCAGAACTTAAAGATTGGTTCTCTAAAATAAGACAGACAAAAATAAAAAAGAATAAAACGGAAGGAAGAAAACCTCCAATAAGTATGGGGTTATATATAGAGGCCAATTCTACAAATCACTGGCATCCCTGAAAGGGAGGTGGAGAAATCAATGCATTGGGTTAGAACATGCTCATTTAGCTCTGTGAAATTTGTTATTACCCACCTTCTGAACCCTACTTCTGTCAGCAAAGAAGCTAAGAACCATGTTAAAAGATTACAGAAGATGCTAACTAGAATAACCAGTTTAGAGAGGAACATAAATGACCAGAGCCAGCTGTAAAGCACATAAGGGGAACTTTGTGATGCAAACACAAGTATCAACAGCTGAATTGATCAAGCAGAAAAAAGAATATCAGAGCTTGAAGACTATCTTGCCAAAATAAGGCAGGCAGAGAAGATTAGAGAAAAAAGAATGAAAAGGAATGAACAAAACCTCAAAGAACTGTGGAACTATGTAAAAGACCAAACCTATGACTGATTGGACTACCTGAAAGAGACAAGGAGAATGGAGCCACGTTGGGAAAACACACTTCAAGATATCATCCAGAAGAACTTCCCCAACCTAGCAAGACAGGCCAACATTCAAATTCAGGAAATCCAGAGAACCCCAGTAAGATACTCCACAAGAAGATCAACCCTCAAGACACATAGTCATCAGATTCTCCAAGATCAAAATGAAGGAAAAAATGTTAAAGGCAGACAGAGACAAAGGGCAGGTCACCTACAACGGGAAGCCCATCTGACTAAGAGTGGGCCTCTCAGCAGAAACCCCACAAGCCAGGAGACAGTTGGGTCCAATGGTCAACATTCTTAGAGAAAAGAATTTCTAACCTAGAATTTCATATCTGGCCAAACTAACCTTCATAAGTGAAGGAGAAATCCTTTTCAGACAAGCAAATGCTGAGGGAATTTATCACCACCAGGCCTGCCTTGCAAGACCTCCTGAAGGAAGTGCTAAAGATGGAAAGGAAAAACTGGTACCAGCCACTGCAAAAATGTACTGAAGTACAAAGACCAATGACACTATGAAGAAACTGCATCAACTAGTGAGCAAAATAACCAGCAAGCATCATGGTGACAGGATCAAATTCACACATAACCATATTAACCTTAAGTGTCAATGGGCTAAATGTACCAATTAAAAGACACAGACCAGCAAATTGGATATAAAGAGTCAAGATTCAGGTGTGCTGTATTCAGGGTTCCTATCTCATGTGCAAAGACACACATAGGCTCAAAGCGATGGAGGAAAATTTACCAAGCAAATGGAAAGCAGAAAAAAGCAGGGGTTGCAATCTTAGTTTCTGACAAAACAGACTTTGAATCAACAAAGATAAAAAAAGACAAAGAAGAACATCACAATGATAAAGGAATCAATTCAACAAGAAGAGCTAACTATCCTAAATATGTATGCACCCAATACAGGAGAACCCAGATTCACAAAACAAGTTCTTAGAGACCTACAAAGAGACTCAGGCTACCACACAACAATAGTGGGAGACATTAACACCCCATTGTCAATATTGGATCATCTAGGCAGAAAATTGACAAGAAAGGACTTGAACACAGCTCTGGATCAAGTGAATCTCATAGATATCTACAGAACTCTCCAACACGAAACAACAGACTATATATTATTCTTAGTGGCATATGACACTCTAAAATTGATCACAAAATTAGAATTAAAACACTCCTCAGCAAATGCAAAATAACTGAAATCATAACAATCTCTCAGACCACAGTGCAATCAAATTAGAACTCAAGATTAAGAAACTCACTCAAAACCACACAACTACATGGATATTGAACAACGTGCTCCTGAGTGACTTCTGGGTAAATAATAAAATTAAGGCAGAAATCAAGAAGCTCTTTGAAACCAATGAGAACAAAGAGACAATGTACCAGAATCTCTGGGAGGCAACTAAAGCAGTGTTAAGAGGTAAATTTATAGCACTAAATGCCCACATCATAAAGCTAGACATATCTCAAATTGACACCCTAACATCACAACTAAAAGAACTAGAGAAGCAAGAGCAAACAAATCCAAAAGTTAGCAGAAGAGAAAAAAAAATGACTAAGATCAAAGTGGAACTGAAGGAGACAGAGACATGAAAAACCCTTCAAAAAAAAAAAGAAAGAAATAAAACATGTTCAAATAGCAAGAGATAAAATCAAATTGTCTGTGTTTGCAGAAAATGTGATTCTATATCTAGAAAACCACATCGTCACAGCCCAAAAACTCCTTAAGCTGATAAGCAAGTTCAGCAAAGTCTGAAGATACAAAATCAATGTGCAAAAATCACAAGCATTCTTATACACCAGCAATAGACAGTATTCTTCAATTCCTATACACCAACAATAGGCAAGAGAGCCAAATCATGAATGAACTCCCATTCACAATTGTTACAAAGAGAATAAAATACCTAGGAATACAGCTAACGATGGATGTGAAGAACCTCTTCAAGGAGAACTACAAGCCACTGCTCAAGGAAATAAGAGAGGACACAAACAAATGGAAAAATATTCCATGCTCATGGGTGGGAAGAATCAATCTCATGAAAATGGCCATACTGCCCAAGGTAATTTATAGATTCAGTGCTATTCACATCAAACTACCATTGACATTCTTCACATAATTAAAAAAAAACTACTTTAAGTTTCATATGCAACCAAAAAAGAGACTGAATAGTCGAGACAATCCTAAGCCAAAAGAACAAAGCTGGAGGCATCATGCTATATGACTTCAAACTATACTACAAGGCCACACTAATCAAAACAGCATGGTACTGTTACCAAAACAGACACACAGACCAATGGAGCAGAATAGAGATCTCAGAAATAAGACCACACATCTACAACCATCTGATCTTTGACAAACCTGACAAAAACAAGCAATGGGGGAAGGAATACCTATTTATTTATTTATTTATTTATTTTGAGACAAAGTCTCACTCTGTCACCAGGCTGGAGTGCAGCGGCATGATCTCAGCTCACTGCAACCTCTGCCTCCCGGATTCAAGTGATTCTCCTGCCTCAGCCTCCTGAGTAGCTGGGACTACAGGTTCGAGCCACCACGCCCAGCTAGTTTTTGTATTTTTAGAAGAGACGGGGTTTCACCATGTTGGCCAGGATGGTCTTGATCTCTTGACCTCAAGATCCACCTGCATCAGCCTTCCAAAGTGCTGAGATTATAGACATGAGCCACTGCACTTGGCCAGGATTCCCTATTTAAATGGTGCTGGGAAAACTGACTAGCCATATGCAGAAAACTGAAACTGGACCTCATCCTTACATCTTATGCAAAAATTAACTCAAGATGGATTAAAAACTTAAATGTGAAACCCCGAACTGTAAAAAACCCTAGAAGAAAATCTAGGAAGTTCCATTCAGGACATAGGCATGAGCAAAGATTTTATGATGAAATCATCAATAGCAATTGCAACAAAAGCAAAAATTGATAAATGGGATCTAATTAAACGTAAGCACTTCTGCACAGGGAAAGAAACTATCATCAGAGTGAACAAGCAACCTACAGAATGGGAGAATATTTTTGCAATCTACCAATCTGACAAAGGTCTAATATCCAGAATCTACAAGGAACTTAAACAAATTTACAAGAAAATAACAACCCCATCAAAACATGGGCAAAGGTCACGAACAGACATTCTGAAAAGAAGACATTTATGCGTCCGACAAACATATGAAAAAAAAAGCTCAACACTAGTGTTTATTAGAGAAATGCAAATCAAAACCACAATGAGATACCATCTCATGCCAGTCAGAATGGCAATTATTAAAAAGTCAAGAAACAACAGATGCTAGAGAGGCTGTGGAGAAACAGGAACACTTTTACACTGTTGGTGGGAATGTAAACTAGTTCAACCATTGTGGAAGACAGTGTGGCAATTCCTGGAGGATCTAGAAGCAGAAATACCATTTGACCCAGCAATCCCATTACTAGGTTTATATCCAAAGAAATATAAATCATTCTGTTTTAAAGATACATGCACACTTATGTTTATTGCAGCACTATTCACAATAGCAAAGACATGGAATCAGCCCAAATGTCCATCAATGATAGACTGGATAAAGAAAATGTGATACATATACACCATGGAATACTATGCAGCCATAAAAAGGAATGAGATCATGTCTTTTGCAGGGACATGGATGAAGCTGGAAGCCATAAACTTCAGCTAATTAACACAGGAACAGGAAACCAAACACCACATGTTCTCATAAGTGGGAACCGAACAATGAGAACACATGGACACAGGGAGGGGCAGAACACACACCGGAGCCTGTTGGGAAGGTAGGGGGAAGGAGAGCATCACGATAAATAGCTAATGCACGTGGGGCTTAATACCTAGGTGATAGGTTGATAGGTGCAGCAAACCACCATGGCACATGTTTAACTATGTAACAAACCTGCACATCCTGTACATGTATCCTGGAACTTAAAATAAAATAGAAAAGACAAAGAAGGATATTACATAATGGCAAAGGCTTCAATTCAACGAGAAGACCTAACTATCCTAAATATATATTCATCCAATGCAGGAGCACCCAGATTCATAAGTAAAGTTCTTAGAGACCTACAAAGTATGTTTCACAGTAATAGTGGGAGATTTCCACACTCCAATGACAGTATTAGACAGATGATTGAGGCAAAAAAATGAACAAAGATATTCAGGACCTGAACTCAACATTGGATCAAATGGATCTGATAGACCTTTACAGAACTCTGCACTCAAAAACAACAGAATATGCATTCCTCACATCATCATATGCCACATACTCTAAAATCAACCACATAATTGGACATAAAGCAATCCTCAGCAAATGCAAAACAACTGAAATCATACCAAATACATACTGAGATCACAGTGCAGTAAAAATAGAAGACTAAGAAAATTGCTGAAAATCATGCAATTACATGGAAATCAATCAACATGCTCCTGAATGACTTTTTAATAAATAATGAAATTAAGGCAGAAATCAAGAAGCTCTTTGAAAATAATGAGAACAAAGTTACAACATACTAGAGCCTCTGGACACAGCTAAGACAATGTTAGGAGGGAAATTTATAGCACTAAATCCCACATCAAAAAGTTAGGAAGAACTCAAATTAATAACCTAACATCACAACTGAAAGAACTAGAGAAGCAAGACAAAACCCCAAAGCTAGAGGAAGACAAGAAATAACTGAAAATCTGAGCTGAACTGAAAGAAACCGAGACATGAAAAAAAGAAATTCAAAAGATCTATGAATTCCGGGTAGGTTTCTTGAAAATATTAATAAGAAAGTCTGCTAGCAGACTAATACAGAGGATGATTGAAAGAAACACAATTAGAAATGACAAAGGGAATGTTACCACTGACCCCACAGAAATAGAAACAGCCATCAGAAACTACTGCAAACACTTCTATGCATACAAACTAGAAAACTTCAAAGAGATGGATAAATTCATGGAGAAATACACCCTCCCACAACTGAGCCAGGAAGAAATTGATTTGCTGTAAACAGACCAATAACAAGCTCCGAAATTGAATCAGTAATAAATAACCTACCAACCAAAAAAAGCCCAGAACATGATGGATTCCCAGTCATATTCTACTAGAAATACAAAGAAGAGCTGGTACCATTTTTACAGGAACTATTTGAAAATATTGAGGAGGAGGAACTCCTCCCCAACTCATTCTATGAGGCCAACATCATCTTGATACCAAAATCTGGCAGATACACACACACACACACACACACACACACACACACACACACACACACACACACACACACACAATCTTCAGGCCAATACCCTCGATGAACATCAATGCAAAAATCCTCAACAAAATACTGGCAAACCAAATCCAGCAGCACATCAAAAAGTTAATCCATCATGATCAAGTATGCTTCATCCCCAGGATGCAAGGTTGCCTCAACATACACATATCAATTAATCTGATTCATCACATAAACAAAACTAAAGATAAAAACCATGTGGTTATCTCAATATAAGCAGAAAAGGCTTTCAATAAAATTCAATGCCTCTCCATATTAAAAACTCTAAAAAATCTGGGTATTGAAGAAACATAGCTCAAAATGATGAGCTGTTTTTGTATCAGTATCATGCTGTTTTGGTTACTGTAGCCCTGTAGTATGGTTTGAAGTTGGGTAACATGATGCCTCCAGCTTCGTTCTTTTTGCTGAGGATTGCTTGGCTATTAGGGCTCTTTTTTTTGGTTCCATATGAATTTTGAAATAGTTTGCTCTAGTTCTGTGAGGAATGCCGTTGGTAATTTAATAGGGATAACTTGCATCTGTAAATTACTTTGGGCAGTATAGCCATTTTAATGACATTAATTCTTCCTATCCATGAGCATGACATGTTTTTCCATTTGTTTGTGTCTTCTCTGATTTCTTTGAGCAGTGTTTTGTAATTCTTCTAGAGATCTCCTAGAGATCTTTCACCTCCCTGGTTAGCTGTATTCCTAGGTATCTTATTTTTTCTGTGTGTAGCAATTATGAATGGGATTGTGTTCTTCATTTGACTCTCTGCTTGACTTGATGTATAGGACTGCTAGTAATTTTTGCACATTGATTTTGTATGCTAAGACTTTGCTAAAGTTTATCAGCAGAAGAAGCTTTGGGGCCAAGACTATGGGGCTTTCTAGATATAGAAACATGTCATCTGTAAACAGAGACAGTTTGACTTCCTGTCTATTCCTCTCTTCCCTCCTCTGTTTGGATGCCCTTCCAGTTTTGCACATTCAGTGTAATGTTGGCTGTGGGTTTGTCATGGCTAGCTCTCATCATTTTGGCACTTCTGACTAGAAGGGCAAGAGGGGCCAGTGTTGTTGTTACCTGAAAGGTAAGTGCAGCCCACAAAAATGCAGTGAAGAAGAAGATGTATTATGCATATGTTTAAGTTAATACAATTGAGATATATTTAGCAGACAGAATCAATAGAGTTGATGAGTGACTGACTGGATGTGTGGGGAGTTTATATCACTCCCAGGTTTTTGACTTGGGCAACCGGGCACTCATGAAGGAAAAAGAGGATCCAGGGAGAGGAACTTTTCTGAGGACTGGGGTAGGGCTGAACAGCTGCATTCGAGGCTGGTGGAGGGTGGGCTGGGCATGGGATGCACAAATGGAAATTCCACTGGGTCTGCAGCTCACACATAGGCATGACCAGCATAGAGATAGAGAGGCCCCAGTGCTGCTGAGTAACTGTGATTCCCCAGGTGATGGCATCAGCTGAGAAGGGAAGGAAGCCCATGAGAGGACACTGAAGAAGGAGTGAGCAGACAATAAGAAGCCCACAGAAGACAGAGAAGGAACAACTAGAGGGAGAAGCCAAGGCAGGCGTGTGTGGTAACACATAGGAACTGAGGGAGAGGACATTTCAAGATGGTGGGGATGCCATACAACAGGACTATGTGATGGTTTTTGGCTGTGTCCATAGGAAGTCACAACAGGCAAGGGAAAGAAACCAGAACCCAGTCATGGAGCTAAGAAGTGAGTCAGAGAGTAGAGGGGTAGGGACAGTGAGGTAAGTCCTCTTTCTAAGGAAGTTTGGCTGAAGGATAGACTAGCTGGACACATGCTGGCTGTGTGGGGTAGAGGGAGGAATGATGGAGGGTAGGAGAGCCTTGAGCCTGCGAGAAGAGTCTCTTAGAATAGAGAAGCTGAAGTTAAAGTTGTGGAAGAGAGTGGGGATAACTGAGTGACAGATAATCAGGAGAAGAAAAGGAGATCCAGACTCATGACAGAGAGATGACCTTTGCCAAGAGTACAGCCGTCTTTCACGGTCACAGAGAGGTAGGACAAAATGAGTGGTGTTCAAGAATTGGTTTGTAGCACAATATTTCAACTATGTCCTTTAAAAAGTTTCTCCACAGACACTACCCAAAGCAGTGCTTCACTACAGTGGCAGACAGACCTGAAAATTTTCATCTGAAGCAGCAGAGTGAACTGCAGAGGCAGGTAATTTCTAGAAGGCTTGCTTTGTTACATTGAAACTGAAGATTATTCATGAGGCCAGTCTTCTGAGATTTCTGTCATTTCTCTCATGTCAGGTCACCAACCAGTGTGGAGGCTAAAAGCGGGCCTCTTTGGGGATTCCAGGTGGAAGTGTTGGACATCTGTAGTATTCCTGGTCTCGAATCATCCTGATATTCTTCATTTTGTTATTCACATTGGACTAGGGTGAGGAAATGAGTTCTGGTCAGAGTCAATGTTTCCCAACAATGTTGATTTATTTGGTCCTAAATATTTAAACACATTTTATAAATAGCTTTTCCACACCACATATATAGGGAAAAACAGGGAGTTAACTTGGCCCAGCAGCACTGTTTGTGGGGCTAACACCCTGTCTGTGTATCTCACACCAACCCTAAGCTTTGTTTCTCTCCTGTCACTTTGCTCCTATTTCTTTCATGTGAAAGAATGTTCATTTTCTTTGAAAATGAGCTCATTTCCTCATTTTCTTTCCATATTTCAGCAGGAACAAAGATCACCACAACTGGCTCGCCTTCAACTATGTTAGATGGCAACTTGCCTTCAGTATGGTGAAACACATCAGTTAAGACCGGGGTTGTGCATGGCAGGACTTTCTACAAGGACACCCAGTCTCCTTAATAAACATGAGATGCTCTCTTTCCAGAATTTCTCTTGCCTGACACAGCATAGGAAGATGCTGAACGGCCACACAGTGATCCATTGGTCAGTGGTGACATAAGGAGGTCAGAGGGGAGGAGTGAGGAGAAGTAGGGAAGACTAGGTGGTTGTAGGCCTCCTTCATCTGTTCATTGGCTGTGGCATTAGGCCAGCTACTCTTTGCACTTCTGTAAAGTGAGACGGTCGATCTTGTCTGCCTCTCTAGAGGATGGTTGCAGGTGTCAAATGGGGTAGTTAGGTGGGAGGGCATTTCACAAAGTTAAAAAATATGACTTTGGAGGCTTGTTATATTGATGAGGATTATAATCCCTGAGAATTCCTGGTATGAAGAAGGGAAAAGAAGATAATTTGTGAAAGAAATGTGTCCAGTTACTAGTCTTTGAAAAGGGTCAGTCTGTAGCTCTTCTTAATGAGAATAGGCAGCTTTCAGTTGCTCAGGGTCAGATTTCCTTAGTGGTGTATCTAATCACAGGAAACATCGTGGTTCCCTCCAGTCTCTTTCTGGGGGACTTGGGCCCACTTCTCATTTCATTTAATTAGAGGAAATAGAACTCAAAGTACAATTTACTGTTGTTTAACAATGCCACAAAGACATGGTTGGGAGCTATTTCTTGATTTGTGTAAAATGCTGTTTTTGTGTGCTCATAATGGTTCCAAAAATTGGGTGCTGGCCAAAGAGAGATACTGTTACAGAAGCCAGCAAGAAGACCTCTGTTCATTCACACCCCCGGGGGTATCAGGAATTGACTCCAGTGTGTGCAAATCCAGTTTGCCTATCTTCTCAAGTTAGGGTTAATTGGATAATTCTGGAGAAGTACACATTGAAAACTAGAACTAAGCCAAGCAATTAAATACGTTTCCTGCCTATTACATGCCTTGGTACTGTGCAAAAGAGCTCACAGGGCATCTGAGGAAAGATTACTAACACACACCTCAAATGACTGTGTCTGATTTCCTAGAAGGACTCAGAAAGGGAGTGATCACTGTGGATTGGACTGGATAGTGCCTCATGCTGGAGGTGGGCTTTGAATGGAGCCTTGAAGGTCAAGAAAAAGTGATATAAACACTGGCTCCTTCCTTTTGAAGGGACACCACACTCTTTGGGCTTAGTGGTTATAGATGCCTTTAGCGCAGCCCAGGAGCAAGCATTTGTTGTCTGCCTACCACGTGCTTGGCTTTGGAAATGCAAATAAAAAAGGAGGTCACTATTTTATGAAAGGATGATTTTATTCTACCTGATGTAGCCAGCTGCAAGCTTCAGAAGGCAGCACATACAATAATGATGGGCTGGTGAGATGAGAGCTAATGGAGAGATGTACAAAGTGCCATGGGATCACCAAGCAGTGGTCAGGTGAAGGCATCTGATTTTCTTTAAGATCTTGCTCAGATGTCATCTCCTCTAGAAGAAAATGTAGGGCTTCATCAGTCAGACAACATGGGGAAATTGATCTCAGTTCAAGAAACATGTATTGATTATCTAATACGTTCAAGCAGTTGTGCACTGGGGATAGAAAAATATTATCAATATCATCATCATCATCAACAACAACAACAACAACAATCTTGCTGTATGCCAGGCACATAATTTTACATGTATTATCTCATTTAATCTCAAACAACTCTATGCTATAGGTGTTTATTATTATCCCTATTTAGATGAAACATTTAACCTTCAGAGAATTTAAATAAGTTGCACTTGCAAGCTTAGCAGGTGAGGAATCAAATTTGGAATAGGACCTAGATCAGTGATCCCCTAGATCTACAATCTTAACCAGTACCCTGTTCTCTCTGCTTAGAGAGCACCTAGAGAAAATCTGTAAGCAAATAATCACAAAACAAGGGATGACACAATATATGTAAATGTAGGATATTACATTAAGTGGAAGAAGGAAGAAGGTCATTATTTACTTTTTCTGGGTGAGAGATGAAAACACTTCTGCAAGAGTATTTCCAATTTCACCAAAGTATGGAAAGATGTTTATCCTAATAACAATACTCAGTAATGGTATTTGATTTAATTTCAGCTAGTACATGATTTGATTCTAAAACAACATTTCCTTAGAATTTCAATATCTGGAATTCTATAGCTCAATGGTTTTGGTGACTATTAATATTTTATATACTTCTTTTGATAGTTTTGGGGCTAAGTGAATCAAATCTATTCATAACTCTAAGTTTTCAAATTCTGAAATCTTTTAGAGTTGTTTAGTTAAAACTGGTTCTTTTCTTCCAGTTTGTTAGCTTACCAAATGAGCCAAAATAAAGAAAAAACAAAAATTTATTTTCAGTCTGATATAGAGAGTTATTTATAGTTACATGGTGCTATCTCTTCCTTTAAAAACATTTCTTCTTTCTTTTTTTCTCCCTCTCTCTTTTTGAGGGGATTATAAACACTGCCAGTATTTTTTGCCTAAAGGGTAAATCCTCTTAAACTCTTTTGGGATCTATATTAGGTGCCAGATGGTCATAAGAAAATTATGTGAGATACTGGTGAATAAACAAGCAAACCAGAAGCTAGGTTTTCAGAATAGATGCTAGCCAGTAGTTCACAGGCATTATCCAGCAACTGGTGGGGATCTACTTGGCCAGCCCGTGACCACTGAGATGTGAACTTCCCTGGACCTTGGCAGTCAAGAGGGAGAGAGGCAGAGAAAGCTCCATTATCATCACTAATTCCCTTTTGACCACACGTGACAGCATGACCTGCTTCAAAGAAATAAGATAAATGGTGGTTAGGTGCCCCCACAGGCCCACAGTAGCCCATTCAACAAAGAGCAAAAGTAAAACTACTCCTGATGGATTTAGCAACATCATAGTTCACTTGTGAGGCAACAGGCTTTTATTGCTTGCTTTGGGACTGGCTTCTTCTCATTTTCTGTAGGAAAGTGAGCCTACCTGACTTAGAAACAAAATTTTGGAACACAAACCCTTTGTAAGTTGGGAGATCCCTAAACTAAAATTTCCAGTGAGATGAAAAGCCCCTTGAGAAAGAAATTTCTGGCTGGGCATGGTGGCTGATACCTCTAATTCCAGCACGTTGGAAGGTTGAGGCAGGAAGATCACTTGAGGCCAGGAGTTTGAGACCAGCCTAAGCAACATAGGGAAACCCCTGTGATATAGTTTGGATCTGTGTCCCCACCCAAATCTCATGTTGAACTGTAATCCCCAGTGTGGTAGGTGGGGTCTGGAGGGAGGTGACTGGATTAGGAGGGTGGATTTCTCATGAATGGTTTAGTACTATCTCCTTGGTACTCCTCATGATAGCAGGTGAGCTCTCAAAAGATCTGGTTGTTTAAAAGTGTGTGGTATCTCCCCCCTCACTCTCTTGTTCCTGCTTTCACTGTGTGACATGCCTGCTCCCGCTTCACAATCTGCCAGTAAATTGTGGCAGGTTATGAGTGTGTGTAATTTATGAGTGCTGATAGGATGAAAGATAGAAAATGATTTTAGATAGAAAGAAAATCATTCTGGAAGCTTTGAGTCTTCCTTTTGTAATCTATGTTGGTTCTTTTTTAACATCCCCTGTTTCAGCACTTACTGACCTGGAGTCTGTCTCACAATGACTAAATGTAATATAAGATTCTAGGATGTACACTAGAACAGAAAATGGAAACTAAATAAAAACTGAGGAATTCTGAACAAGTATGGTCTTTAGATAATAATAATATGACAATATTGATGCCTTAATTGTAATGAATGCACCACACTAATATAAAATTTTAGTAATAGAGAAAGCAGAGTTTGGGTACTTACCAGGAATATTATACTATTTTCACGATGTTTCTGTAAACCTTAAAGTGTTCAAAAATTAAAATTTTATTTAAGTCAATTGCAATATATAAGATTAATTGAACCCAAATTGTGGAAAATATAACTTCTGTTATAATGTTCCTTGGAAGCTTCTAAAGACAAGGCCTTTCTTTTCTATTTTTAGTAGAAATTACACGTATTTTCAAGTCAAACTGTTAATATGTGACAATATTTGCAGTACTGAAAGCTTAATAACTTATAGATTCATGGTAACGAAAAGCAAAGCATAGTGTTGTTTTTGGTTTTGGAATACTGTATGAAATATGTAGTCTTTTTTTTTTTTTAAGATGGATTCTCACTCATTTGCCCAGGCTGGAGTGCAGTGGGATGGTCTTAGCTCACTGCAACTTCTGCCTTCTGAGTTCAAGCAATTCTTCTGCCTCAGCCTCCCCAGTAGCTGGGACTACAGGCATGTGCCACCATACCTGGCTAATTTTTTTTTTTTTTTTTTTTTTTTTTTTTGTATTTTGAGTAGAGATGGGGTTTCACCATTTTGGCCAGGCTGGTCTCGAATTCCTGACCTCAGGTGATCTGCCCACCTTGGCCTCCAAAATTGCTGGGATTACAGGCATGAGCCACCGTGCCTGGCCAAAACATGTAATCTCTTATTCAAGATTTATAATAACAGTTATGTGATACTCAGTAAGGGATGGTGATCTACATAAAATAAAAGTACAGGCACAGTGGCTTATGCCTGTAATCTCAGCATTTTGGGAGGCCAAGACACGAGGACTACTTGAGTTCAAAACCAGCTTTGTCAGCATAGTGAGACCTCATCTCTACAAAAAAATCAAAAACATTAGCTGGGGGTGGTGTCACACACTGGTAGTCCCAGATATTTGGGAGGATGAGGTAGGAGGATCCTACCTGAGCCTGGAAGACAAAGGCCACTGCACTTCAGCCTGGGTGACAAAGTAGGATCCTATCTCAAAATAGATAGATAGATAAATAGATAGATCAATGTTATTTATCTCAATATTTGAAAGAAAAGTTGAAAAACCTCCGAGCTCAACTAAGAATCAGTTTCTAGAATAAACAGAAGTATAAATCATTATACCTCTTTACTTTAAAAATATTACAGACATTATAAGTATTTTAATAACAAAAAATCAAATACTTTATATATGCTTTGTAATCTGTCCTTTACAAAATCATTTAACCTTTATGACAGGAGCTACTATGGTGCTCATTCCACAGATGAGGTGCTGAGGTTTAGTGAACTGAATAGCTTGTTCACAGACAGCTGGAGACAGAGACTCAGTTTGCCCATACAAAGATAATTTTAACCAATAGCATTTTACAATAGAATATCATAATGCCTATGAATTCTAAAAACATTTTATTCAAATCTCTCTTTTAATATTAGCACCTCTTCAACCTCTTCTTGACTCTACCACCAAAATTATCTTCCTAATCTCTCTTACCCTGTAAATTTCTGTGTGTGTGTGAGTGTGTGTGTGTGTGTGTGAGAGAGAGATAGAGACAGGGAAAGAGTGGATTTACCAAAAAATAAGATAGGAAGGTTGTCATAACATCTTCCCTTTTATTTCTCAATTCTGAAGTCCCCATTTTCATCCCTGGGAGAGTTGTTCTAGGATAGGGTAGCTAAAGGAACAGAGAAAATCAGAGTAATGGAATTAGCTAAAAGGGAAAGTGGCGACCTGAAGACCAAACACTAAAGAAGGGGCCAGTGAATGGCAAAGAAAGTGGAGAGCAAAACATGCAGGTAGATAGGGTCCTAGTTAATGAAGGCTCAGAGGCTGGAGGGTAAACCCATGCAAGGGTAAAGTTTAATACAGTGAAAATATAAGTAAGATGGGAGACCTACCACAGAGAACCAACACTTGGCATGTTTCTGATGACAGTGTTTAGATTGCAGTGGTTCTAAAAATTAAGTGATTTTGGAATTGGCATTCCATGTGACTTTAAAAGATAAATGATAAAGTAAATGTTTTATTCAGCTCTCTCTCTCCCTCCCCACCCACCTTCTTCCCTCCATTCTTCTGTTTTTAATGGGGATGTTTAAAATCCAATCTCACATTAATTTTTTCTTAAGTGTAAATAATGGGAAAACTTCACTTCGAGAGGGGACTCCTCAGTAGACCTCCATAATTTCCTGGCTTTTACTGCCAGTTAGTCATCAGGAATAGCCATGGCTAAGAGAGTACCAACTGGGCAAGCCAGTGAATTATACCAGTGCATCTCAGATTTACTGATTTGTTTAACTTTTGTTTTTTGTTCTTTTTTTTTTTCAGAGATAGAATCTCACTATGTTGACCAGGCTGGTCTTGAACTCTTGGCACCCAAGCGATCCTTTTGCCTGGAATCCCAAAGTGTCAGATTTACTGAAGAATATTTCATTGTAATTACTTTTTATACTTTATAGGTCAAGAGCTCTGTTTTAAATACAAAATTTATTGAATATACTTTTTCAAACAAAGTTTCATGTTCTAATCATTGTCTGATTTCAGCATTAAATGAAACACAGTAAAGAAAGTTGGGCTGATGTTGTTGTTGGTGGTTGTTTTTGTATTCTGATTACAGAACTGTATTTTGAGTGGGCTGAACATAGAGTAAATGCATCCTCAGCTGCTGGTCTAGACACTTTTTTTCCATGAGTGAAACTGCACATTGGGGATGGTGGGTCGGGGCTGTGAGTCCAGAGAGTTAAGCAGTAACCCCAAAGATTTTAACTGGGATCCAGAACAGTTTTATCATCGCTCTTCTTTATGTCTATATTTATCTTTAGTAATTGTACCATATGCTGCATTTTCCACTGGTTACATAGGTAAGCCTAGTCCTCCCCACAACATTCTTATACCAATGATGGTGACAATATGCTGTATTTCTTTTGTATCAACTCCTTACTTACTGTAGCTACTCAAATTGTACTAAGACCACTGGTACTAATCTGCAAACTAATTTTGAAGTACCTGGAAGTACAGATTTGAAAACCTTTTATAGCAATCTGACATTGCCACAATATTTTACATTTTACAAAAAATAAAAGTCTTTCACTCTGGGTAGTTTGAAAAGCACCACTGCAGAGAAAATAGTTGACACTTCACAAATGCTTATTTGATTTTCCTGAAGGTGATAAGTAAATTAGATATTCTATAATGTGTTATCTTTAACACAAAAATTATAGTAACTATTTAAACAATTAAATAACAGAAATTCAGATTCATGGTAAAATCAAAGAATATAAACTAAAAATTCCCTATATTTTCTATATTTTCTGAGAAAATATAAATAAATATATTTTCTCAGAAAATATAGAAATAAATATATTTTCTGAGAAAATATAGAAATAAATATATTTTCTGAGAAAATATAGAAATAAATATATTTTCTGAGAAAATATAGAAATAAATATATTTTCTGAGAAAATATAGAAATAAATATATTTTCTGAGAAAATATAGAAATAAATATATTTTCTGAGAAAATATAGAAATAAATATATTTTCTGAGAAAATATAGAAATAAATATATTTTCTGAGAAAATATAGAAATAAATATATTTTCTGAGAAAATATAGAAATAAATATATTTTCTGAGAAAATATAGAAATAAATATATTTTCTGAGAAAATATAGAAATAAATATATTTTCTGAGAAAATATAGAAATAAATATATTTTCTGAGAAAATATAGAAATAAATATATTTTCTGAGAAAATTAAATTAAATAAATATATTTTCTGAGAAAATATAAATAAAATTTCCCTATATTTTCTGAGCTTGAGTAACTCTTTAACAAAATGTTGACATAGATAAGCACTTCAGCATTCATGGATAAGCATACTTTCATAAAATCTGAAGAAAAATATATTTGATAATTCCAATGCCTGTCTCAGAGCTACTTTTTCTGCTGGTACCTCTGACTGGAATGCTTTCTCTCTCAACTCATACTTTTAAATTCTAGCCCCCTTTCAGGATCCAAATGCTCCATTTTGTAGAACATGTTTATTAAAATAGTTTATACTCTCTTATTGTATTATTATATGATGCCTTAATTCATGGCAACTTGTTAATATGTCATATTTCCTCTTAAGCTTCTTAAGACGAGACCATTTATTATCACTTTGTATATTTTTAATCTTTCCCAGAATAGGTGCTCTATAAATGCTTACTCAGCATTACATCATTAAATAAGGCAACACAATGTAATTTTCACTCTTAATAATGACTGCATTAGCAGGGCAAGGACTCTGAGGTATTTGTCTGACAAGCATTCAAAATTGCTAGCCAATGTTAGAACTAGAAATTTTGGAAAAGGTAGTGAGGTCAAGTCATTGACTGACCTTGGCTTTACTCATACATACTCTAACCAGATGGATACACATCAGAGCCTCAGAGTCTCCGAGTTTAAATGGGCCATAGGCACCACCTAAACTAATAGTCAAACCGGAAAAAGTATACGAGGACACTTGGAAGATGTATTGAGTTGTTAACCTAAAAGTTAAGAGAACTAAGAATCTAAATGGTGGTTGCTTAAGAAAAATACCATCTCACAAAAGAATACTCCTAACCACTACTGCAAAAAACACACTTTTGGGGAAAGTACACCCATATGGTTTGTACACATTCTCAAATATCTAAAAGTGACTTGGGCTTGACATGTAGTTCTAAATGCTTCTGTTAGATTTCCAATTTATCTCTCTTTTGGTACCAGTACCATGCTGTTTTGGTTACTGTAGCCTTGTAGTATAGTTTGAAGTCAGGTAGCATGATGCCTCCAGGTTTGTTCTTTTGGCTTAGGATTGACTTGGCAATGCGGGCTCTTTTTTGGTTCCATATGAACTTTAAAGTAGTTTTTCCCAATTCTGTGAAGAAAGTCTTTGGTAGCTTGATGGGGATGGCATTGAATCTATAAATTACCTTGGGCAGTATGGCCATTTTCACAATGTTGATTCTTCCCATCCATGAGCATGGAATGTTCTTCCATTTGTTTGTGTCCTCTTTTATTTCATTGAGCAGTGGTTTGTAGTTCTCCTCGAAGAGGTCCTTTACGTCTCTTGTGAGTTGGATTCCTAGGTATTTTATTCTCTTTGAAGCAATTGTGAATGGGAGTTCACTCATGATTTGGCTCTCTGTCTGTTATTGGTGTATAAGAATGCTTGTGATTTTTGCACATTGATTTTGTATCCTGAGACTTTGCTGAAGTTGCTGATCAGCTTAAGGAGATTTTGGGCCGAGACAATGGGGTTTTCTAGATATACAATCATGTCATCTGCAAACAGGGACTATTTGACTTCCTCTTTTCCTAATTGAATACCCTTTATTTCTTTCTCCTGCCTGATTGCCCTGGCCAGAACTTCCAACACTATGTTGAATAGGAGTGGCGAGAGAGGGCATCCCTGTCTTATGCCAGTTTTCAAAGGGAATGCTTCTAGTTTTTGCCCATTCAGTATGATATTGGCTGTGGGTTTGTCATAAATAGCTCTTATTATTTTGAGATACGTCCCATCAGAGATATAGACCAATGGAACAGAACAGAGCCCTCAGAAATAATACCACACATGTACAACCATCTGATCTTTGACAAACCTGACAAGAACAAGAAATGGGGAAAGGATTCCCTATTAAATAAATGGTGCTGGGAAAACTGGCTAGCCATATGTAGAAAGCTGAAACTGAATCCCTTCCTGACACCTTATACAAAAATTAATTCAAGATGGACTAAAGACTTAAATGTTAGACCTAAAACCATAAAAACCCTCGAAGAAAACTTAGGCAATATCATTCAGTATATAGGCATGGGCAGAGACTTCATGTCTAAAACACCAAAAGCAATGGCAACAAAAGCCAAAATTGACAAATGGGATCTAATTAAACTAAAGAGCTTCTGCACAGCAAAAGAAACTACCATCAGAGTGAACAGGCAACCTACAAAATGGGAGAAAATTTTTGCAATCTACTCATCTGACAAAGGGCTAATATCCAGAATCTACAAAGAGCTCAAACAAATTTACAAGAAAAAAACAAACAACCCCATCAAAAAGTGGGCAAAGGATATGAACAGACACTTCTCAAAAGAAGACATTTATGCAGCCAACAGACACATGAAAAAATGCTCATCATCACTGGCCATCAGAGAAATGCAAATCAAAACGACAATGAGATACCATCTCACACCAGTTACAATGACGATCATTAAAAAGTCAGGAAACAACAGGTGTTGGAGAGGATGTGGAGAAATAGGATCACTTTTACACTGTTGGTGGGACTGTAAACTAGTTGAACCATTGTGGAAGACAGTGTGGTGATTCCTCAAGGATCTAGGACTAGAAATACCATTTGACCCAGCCATCCCATTACTGGGTATATACCCAAAGGATTAGAAATCATGCTGCTATAAAGACACATGCACACGTATGTTTATTGTGGCACTATTCACAATAGCAAAGACTTGGAACCAACCCAAATGTCCATCAATGATAGATTGGATTAAGAAGATGTGGCACATATACACCATGGAATACTATGCAGCCATAAAGAATGATAAGTTCATGTCCTATTTAGGGACATGCATGAAGCTGGAAACCATCATTCTCAGCAAACTATCACAAGGAAAAAAAACCAAACACCACATGTTCTCACTCATAGGTGGGAATTGAACAATGAGAACACTTGGACACAGGGTGGGGAACATCACACACTGGGTCCTGTTGTGGGCTGGAGGTATGGGGGAGGGATAGCATTAGGAGATATACCTAATGTAAATGACGAGTTAATGGGTGCAGCACACCAACATGGCACATGTATACATATGTAACAAACGTGCACGTCGTGCACATGTACCCTAGAACTTAAAGTATAATAAAAAATATATAAAAAAATAACAAAAAAGTGCTAATTGTAAAAAACAACAAAAAAAGGATTTCAAATTTAGTTTGAACCTTCAATGTATACCTTAAGCAAGTGACTTGAAGGAAATTTGAATGCTGCGTGCCTTCTCCCAGCTCTGCCTCACTGAGGATGGGAACCCAGTGGCACCTGAGACTCCTGGATGTAGTGCCTGGGTGACATTCCTGTGGAGAAAAGCACTTTAGGGCTAGTCTCTAGATGTCTTCTCATGAGTCTTCTGCTTTCACATGAAGCTCTTTAGAAGACAGAAGGAAAAAAAATGTGAGAAGAAATACCTTGCCCTTCCACAAGATAGACCTGTTGTGCAGAGGTGCATACAATTGAGGACAGAGTTCAACATTTTAAATTAAATTTCCAAGTAGTTTCTGTGACTTCATTTAAGAGACCGTTTTTTGAATTCCATGGTTCCAATTTGTGTCTATTTTCCTGTTCACATAAATTTATAGGAATATACATGCCAGCTGTGAGAGATGACTTTATTTCACTGTTGCTCTTATATCCCCCTACAGTTGTCACAAGGACACCGATATCACACAGTGACATGAACCTAGACATATAGTACACTTGGCAGAAGAATTTTCCAGGTCTAGCCCAGCAGTCCATTCAATGATCTAAAATGGTGATACAGAGAAAAATAGAAACACATATGAAACACTATAGTCAAAATACCCTGAAGTAAAAAACAGAATAATTTTGACTGATGCATGACACATGCAAAGCCATATTACACGTGTATGTGCATATGTAAGGATCATATTGTATGATCATATTGTATGATCCTTCTCTATAATCTGTGTTTCTAGGGCATATCTATGTACAACCTCTATTACACAGAATTAGGCTCAGCCAGAAGGGGGCCAAGAAGGCCAACTAGAAGCAGCTATGGTGCATGGCTCTCACAGAAAAGAATGAGAGGGATGAGTAAACACAGCACCTTCAACTGAAATATCCAAGTACTCACATTGGAACTGATCAGGAAAACAGCTCCACCCATGGAGAATGGAAAAAAGCCGGGCAGGGTGACAGCCCACCCAGAAGCGACAAAGAGCCAAGGGGAACCCCTTCGCCTGCGCAGGGAAGTGATGAGTGAATGTGTGAAAATAAACTCCAGGCCAGAGTTTCATATCCAGCCAAACTAAGCTTCATAAGCAAAGGAGAAATAAGCTCCTTTTCAGACAAGCAAATGCTGAGAAAATTTGTTACCACCAGACCAACTTTACAAGAGCTCATGAAGCTCAGAAGTGTCCCACAACTACATGGAAATTGAACAGCCTGCTCCTGAATGACTCCTGGCTAAATAATGAAATTAAGGCAGAAATCAAGAAGTTCTTTGAAACCGATGAGAACAAAGAGACAATGTACCAGAATCTCTGGGACACAGTTGAGGCAATGTTAAGAGGGAAATTATACCTCTAAATGACCTTATTCAAAAGCTAGAAAAATCTCAAGTTAACAACCTAACATCACAACTAAAAGAACTGGAGAACCAAGAGCAAACAAACCTCAAATCTAGAAGACAGGAATCAACCAAAATAAGAGTTGAACTGAAGAAGATAGGGACACACACACACACACACACACACACACACACACACACACTCAAACATTCAAAAGATCAATGAATCGAGGAGCTGGTTTCTTGAAAAAAAGTAATAAAATAGATTGACCACTAGCTAGACTAATAAGGAAGAAAAGAGAGAAGATTCAAATAAACACAATCAGAAATAATAAGGGTGATATTACCACTGACCCCACAGAAATACAACCATCTGAGAATATTATAAACATCTCTATGCACATAAACTAGAAAATCTAGAAGAAATGGATAAATTCCTGGACACATATACCCTTCCAAGATTGAATCATCGAATCCCTGAATAGACCAATAATGAGTTCTGAAATTGAGGCAATAATAAATAGCCTACCAACCAGAAAAAAAAAAAAAAAAAAAAGCCCAGTACCACACAGATTCACAGCTCAATTCTACCAAATGTACAAAGAAGAGCTGGTACCATTCCTGCTGAAAATATTCCAAAACAATTGAAAAGGAGGGACTCCTTCCTAACATTGTATGAGGCCAACATCATCCTGATACCAAAAACCAGGCACAGATACAACAAAAAAAAGAAAACTTCAGGCCAATATGCTTGATGAACATTGATGCAAAAATCCTCAATAAAATATTGGCAAACTGAATCCAGCAGCACATCAAAAAGCTTATCCACCGTGATCAAGTAGGCTTCATCCCTGGGATGCAAGGTTGGTTCAACATACACAAATCAATAAATGTGATTCATCACATAAACAGAACTAAAGACAAAAGCCACAGGATTATGTCAATAGATGCAGAAAAGGCTTTGATAAAATTTAACAACCTTCATGTTAAAAACTCTCAATAAACTATGTATTGAAGGAACGTACCTCAAAATAATCAGAGCCATATATGACAAACCCACAGCCAATATCATACTGAATGGGCCAAAGCTGGAAGCATTCCCCTTGAAAACTGACACAAAGATGCCCTCTGTCACCACTCCTATTCAATATAGTATTGGAAGTTGTGGCCAGGGCAATTAGGCAAGAGAAAGAAATAAAATGTATTTGAGTAGGAAGAGAGGAAGTCAGACTATCCCTGTTTGACCCCATCATCTCAGCCCAAAAGCTATTTATTTATTTATTTTGGGATGGAGTCTTGCTGTGTCGCTCAGGCTGGAGTGCAGTGGCACAATCTTGGCTCACTGCAACCTCCGCCTCCCGGGTTCAAGCGATTCTCCTGCCTCAGCCTCCTGAGTAGCTGCTACTACAGGTGTGTGCCACGACGTCTGGCTAATTTTTTCTATTTTTAGTAGAGACGGGGTTAGCCACTATGTTAGCCAGGATGGTCTTGGTCTCCTGACCTCATGATCCACCCACCTCGGCCTCCCAAAGTGCTGGGATTACAGGCATGAGCCACCGCGCCCAGCCCCCAAAGTTTCTTAAGCTGATAAGCAACTTCAGCAAAGTCTCAAGTTACAAAATTAATGTGCAAAAATTGTTATAGCATTTCTATACACCAACAACAATCAAGCTGAGAGCCAGATCATGAGTGAGCTCCCACTCACAATTGCTACAAGAAGAATAAGGTACCTAGTAATTCAGGTTACAAGTGAAGTGAAGGACCTTTACAAAGAGAACAACAAACCACTGCTCAAAGGAATCAGAGAGGATACAAATGGAAAAACATTCCATGCTCATGTATAGGAAGAATCAATATTATGAAAACGGCCATACTGCCCAAAATAATTTATTGATCCAATGCTATTCCCATTAAACTACCATGGAAGTTCTTCACAGAAATAGAAAAAAAAATATTTTAAAATTCATGTGGAACCCAAAGAGAGCCTGAAGAGCCAAGGCAATTCTCAGCAAAAAGAAAAATCTGGAGGCATCATGCTCTTCAACTTCAAACTATACTACAGGTCTACAGTAACCAAAGCAGCATGGCACTGGTGCAAGAAAAGACACATAGACCAATGGAACAGAATAGAGAACCCAGAAATAAGACTACACCCCTACAGCAATCTGATATTTGACAAACCCGACAAAAACAAGCAATGGAGAAAGGATTCTCTAATAAATGGTGCTGGGAAAGCTGGCTAGCCATATGTGCAAATTGAAACTGGACTCCAGCCCCACACCTTATATAAAAATCAGCTCAAGATGAATTAAAGACCTAAATGTAAAACCCCAGACTATAAAAATCCTAGAAGAAAGCCTAGGCAATACCACTCGGAACATAGACATGGGCAAAGATTTCATGACAAAGATGCCAAAAGCAATTGCAACGAAAGCCAAAATTGACAAATGGGATCCAATTAAACTAAAGAGCTTCTGCACAGCAAAAGAAACTAACAGCAGAGTAAACGGACAACCTAAAGAATGAGAGAAAAGTTTTGCAAACTATGCATCTAACAAAGGTCTAATATCTAGCATCTGTAAGAAACTTGGCTGGGCATGGTGGCTCACACCTGTAATCACAGCACTGTGGGAGGCCAAGGCAGGAGGATCACCTGAGGTCAGAAGTTCAAGACCAGCCTGGCCAACATGATGAAACCACATCTCTAGTCAAAATATAAACATTAGCTGGGCGTGGTGGCGCATGCCTGTAATCCCAGCTACTCGGGAGGCTGAGGCAGAAGAATTGCTTGAACCCAGGAGGCGGAGGTTGCAGTGAGCCGAGACTGCACCACGGCACTCCAGCCTGGGCAAAAGAGTGAGACTCTATCTCAAAAAAGAAAAGAAAAGAAAAGAAAAAATAAATAAAATAAAGTAAAATAAAAAAGAAACTTAAACAAATTCAAAACAACCCCACTAAAAAGTGGGCAAAGGACATGAAAAGACACTTTTCAAAAGAAGACATACATGCAGTCTCACACCAGTCAGAATGGCGATTATTAAAAAGTCCAAAAATAACAGGTGCTGGCAAGGTTATGGAGAAAAAGGAGCACTTTTATACTGTTGATGGGAATATAAATTAGTTCAACCATTGTGGAAAACAGTGTGATGATTCCTCAAAGACCTAGAGAAATAAATAACATTCACCCAAGCAATCTTACTACTGGGTATATAACCAAAGGAATGTAAATCATTCTATTATAAAGACACATGCATGCATACGTCCATTGCAGCACTATTCACAATAGCACAGATGTGGAATCAATCTAAATGCCCATCAGTGATAGACTGGATAAAGAAAATGTGGTATATATACACCACGAAACACTATGCAGTTATAAAAAGTAAGAATAAGATCACGACCTTTGCAGGGACATGGATGGAGCTGGAGGCCACTATCCTTAGCAAAGTAATGCAGGAACAGAAATCCAAATATTATACCAAATGTTCTTACTTATAAGTGGGAGCTAAATGATGAGAACATATGGACGCAAAGAAAGGAACAATGCACACTGGGGCCTACCAGAGGATGGAGGGTGAGGAGGGAGAGCATCAGGAAAAATAACTAATGGATACTAGGTTTAATACCTGGGTGATGAAATAATATGTACAACAAACTCCTATGACACGTTTACCTATGTAACAAACCTGCACATCCTGCACATGTACCCCTGAATTTAAAATAAAAGTTTAAAAAAAAACAAAGTATTTCAAGATAAATGTGTTCTTATTGAATAAACAATAATTTTGTGAAAAAAGAGGCTCAATTGAAGGTGGCAGAAGAGCTCCCAAATAGCAGTCACCTAAACAAGTTAGTATACTTCTTGCTCACACAAAATTAGACAGAGGCTTGGCCATCCGGGTTTGGTGTGGCAGCTGTGCCTCATGAGCCACTGGGACTCCACACTCCCCCAGCTTTACTTAGGGCATGTCTCATTTACTAATAGTCACATAGAGCTGCTGGAGCTCCAGGAAATGTAAGTGCATCCAAGCTGCAGTAATGAAAGAGGAGTAGAAAGGACAAAAGATACCCTCCTGTAAGGAAAGACCCTGGAAGTCACAGGCAAATAATCGTGCCTTCATCTCACTTTCCCAAATTTAGTTCCATGGTCGCAATGACCTCCAAGGGAGGCTAAGAAACGTAGTGTTTACGTAAATGATAATGTTCTCAGCTGACTGTGTGGCGTTCTAAGGGAAAATGGGATTTAATAAATATTAAATATTTATTATTTAATATTCAATAAATATTAAAAAGAAACTAGGATCCTTTGACACACATAATACTCCTTCTACAACAGTAATAATACCTTTTTAAGGTACTCTTATATTACCTAGAAAAAACTTGGGAAATGCAGACTCTGAACACAATATGAAGAGGTAATTCAAAGTAGAGGAAACTTTAATGGGTTAGAAATATGTGAACAGCAACTCAGAAATATTAGTGACCTAATAAGTGACACAAAATAACACTTTATATTTGTTTATTAACTTTAGAAATTTGGATTACGCCAAACATTAGTGACAATGTGAGGATATGGGCATGTTCATGTTTTACTTCAAGGATGCAGACTCCTTTGGAGATTATTTTCTTAGTACTTAGGGAAAATTATTATGTGTATACTTTACGTCCTGACCATCACATCCTGGGTATATTCCCCTGAGAAGCAGCCACAGAAGTCTATCAGAGGACATTTTCAAAGATCTTATTTGCAACAGTTTATTCTACTTCTAATTGTACTGAATTTAGATGCCCTTTACTTGGAGATTTCATGCATAAGACATGGAACAGCTATTATAAACAAATTCATGATGTAATATGCATATATGAACTATATATTCCACATGAAATATATATTTATGTACATATGTGCACAATACATACTCACAAAGCACCATTGGTAGGCTTAAAATGATGTGCAAATACATTAAGCATATTCTAAGAAGCAGATGGCTATCTAGACATAAATAACTTACGTATATTTAAAAGATACGCACATGGCCGGGTGCAGCGGCTCACACTTGTAATCTCAGCACTTCAGGAGGCCGAGGAGGGTGTACCACTTGAGTCCAGGAGTGTAATATGAGCCTCGGCAGCATGGTGAAACCCCGTCTCTACTAAAAATAGAAAAATTAGCCAGGCCTGGTGGCGCCTGCCTGTAGTCCCAGCTACTTTTTGGGGGCTGAGGTGAAAGGATCACTTGAGCCTGTGAAGTTGAGGCTGCAGTGAACTGAGATTGTGCCACTGCATTCCAGCCTGGGTGACAAAGTGAGATGATCCTGTCTCAAAAATAAAAATAAAAGATGCGCACAGAAAGCACAGCATTATGTAACTTTCAAAGACATCTCCAGGGCCATATATCAAGCACATGACAGTAAAAACCTATGTGGAAAAATTAGAAAATTCAAGTGAGGTAAAAAACGGTGGAAAATAGAGAAAAATGAGAGGCGATTTCCAATGACGAACTGAGATGATGAACTCAATTCAGTGCACTATTTCTTCCACTCTTACACTTTACAGGCTAAGAAGCCATTCCTAGCATTTCACTGGTATAAACTCTTCAAAATGGGATTCTTGTCCTTTGATTATTTTAGGTTGACAAATTTATACCAAAATAGTGGGCTTTGTAAATCGGTGTCTTTATGATAGGTTTCCTTAAATAGTATGTCTTTAAAATATTAAATGGTATCCCTTGTTTGTCTTGTCTTTTCCACAAGCAGATGAAACTTCCTCCCCAACAAGCCGATGGAAGAACTTATGCAGTGTTACTTCAGGGAAGCGACATGGCAGGGTGGAAGTAAAATGGACCTGCACATTTTAAAAAATGTTTTGTTTTGTTTCTTGAAGGGCCCCAGGGGCTTATAAAGGAGAGGAAGGGGGTGGAGTGTGAGGTTGGTAAAAGCAGCGGAAGCTGGCTTGGCATCCTGGAGGAGCAGGAAGAGAGTTCATGTTCCACCTTCCCCTCTTCCCCGCTATTCCACAGGGTCTGGAGGAGAAGAGCAGAGGGGTCTCTGGTTCCCAGGAAAGGGCCTGGGCCAGACTTTCTGATGGAGACAGCTGGGTGGTGAGTGTCCACGCAGACAGGACTGAGGCTTGCCTCACAGAAGATTCTCGCCACTCAAGTGAGGTGCAGAAGCAGCAGCGAGGAAGCACTTTTGAAGGGAACACCTGAGCACAACTCATTCTTTCTTGATGAGGCTTTGCTGCTGAGGAGTTCTTGCTATTAATACTTCTCTTCCTGCCAAAAAAAAACCTGGTTCCTGCACATTTACTGTGAAGGCACGTGATGGCCCTACAGCACCCCCAGAAATCATCAAAATTTGTACCAAAGATCCAGAGCAGAGGTGGTGGGTTGCTGAGTGACTGCTCACAGAGGCCATGTTGGTAGGGTCCTCACAGATGTCAGGGTCTTGCTATTCCTCAGTGAGGAGGAGGGAGATTCCAAATGGTGGCTATCACCCAGACCACCTCCCCACAATGTTCATGCAGAGGGAATGAGGCAGAAGAGCCACTGCCTGCCTAGCCACTTACCTCTGAGACTTGGTTTTATCCTCTGTGTCCCACTCCAGCACTGATTATTAGCCTCCTGGTGCTCTAGGATACAGCAGAGAGAGTTGGCTGGCTGTACTGGGGAGAATGGGGATGACAAAAGCCTATGGAACCAGGTAATATCGGGTGGCCTTCCATTCAAGTCCTATCTGGTCTCTACTTCCATGAGATTTTAAGAGCAGAAAATACAGGGCTTTTTCTAGGGCCACACACTCCTCAGCCTAGCCTTTGAATGCAGAGCCCAGCTGAGAAGCTAGCAATGCTTCTGACCAAGGCCAGATGCCCAGCTTGGGGCCTCAAGGCTCTCTGTAGCTTCCCAGCTTGTGTACGCACCATTCACATCTGCCACAATAGCCCCACATCACAGCACAAGCCAGGGTTTAGTTTGGTGACAGGCATTATCTGTCCACCTGGGTGGCAGTGTGAAAAAGACTTACTCTGGCTTGTTCTTCCTCACCTGCCACCTATTTTGGAGTGTAGAAGGCCAGAACCCTGTTTTCTATATGTTTTATACAGATGGAAGAAGCCTCATAGACTTAGCTCCCCAAACAGCTCCTTGACACTTACGTGTTCCTTAGGCCTGCCCTGTAGGGTTCTGTAGATCCAGATGAAAAGGCCAGAACAGGCTTACTCAGGACTGGGTGGCTTCATTGTCTGAGGCCATTTTCCTGGTTCCTGAAAGTTATAAATGGTCCTCAGTGCAGGCCTTCCCCAGCCTCGCTGTCCTTCCAGCATCTGGCCATCTTACTTCAGCCATATTTACACTGTCCCACAGCACGTCCTGAAGTCTCAGACCTCACCTTTCTTTCTCTCTGGGGAGAGCCTCTTCTCTACCCACTTGAACCGGAACTCCACGCATGTGCTTACTTAAGGTCTTCAGAAGGAGAGCACCTATCCTGATTGCCAGATTCTAGGGATGTGGACAGCTTTCGCACTGGAGGGTGGTGGCACCTGGGCTGGGTCTGGTTAAAACATGCTGGGCCAGTGTTTGCCATCACTGTAAGGTCACGTGGATATGGCAGAGAAAGACTCCTGTAGCTTTCGCATTTCCCTTCCCTGTCAGCAGGTGGCAAGAGGGCCTAGTGGCCCCTGCATAAATGCATTTACATCAGTGTGTTTGTTTGTGTTTGTGATTTATGTTTGTTTTATATGTACATATAGTTGTTTATATATGTATAAATACATATATGTAATTAAATATATCTATATTTCTTTATGAATAGATGTGTTGCATGGGCCAAGAGCCAACTTCCACTTCACCCTGTGAAATGATGCTGAAAATCAACCCACAAAAGGCAGATGAATACAAGGAAAGGCAGGCAGATTTATTAATGTATATGAGGCATACAAAATATAAGAACTCAAAGGCAAGATGGCTGATGCTTTTATAATAGCTTAAGGTTACAGTAAGAATAGGTGCTTGGATAGTGGCATCTATACATCGGACTTCACATGCCAGGTCATTTCTTCTTCTGTTGTTTGAGAAACTTGTGCCTAGGGCTCTCTCTCTGTAGCCTCCAGATTGCACATGGGCCATTCACATCCACCATGGTGACTGGCCTCACCCCACAAGCTAGGCCCTATTTAGGTGACAGGCATCATCCATCCACCGGGGGTGGCAGGGTTCAACTGTCTCCCACTGACCTGGTTTTCTTCTCCTGCCCTTTACATTTGAGTGCACAAGAGTTTGTCAAAGTCAGCCTCTTGTTTTCCCTGCTTCTTATGCTTATGGCAAAGACCCTGGAGCCTGGTACTCTGTGTGCCTCCAGTTTGATGTTCTTCAGGGCTGCCCTGTAGGACCCTCCAGATCCAAATGAAACCAACCAGAACAGACTTACCCAGGACCATGTAGCTGTCACCATCTGAGGCCACTTACCTGGCCCCCAAAAGGCCCTAATGGCCCTCAGTGCAGTTCCGCCCTGGCCTGGTACTCTCTCTACACCCTACCATCTGATGCCATCCACACTTGTACTGCCCTGGCACATCCTGAGGGTTCAGACCTAGCCGTTTTTCCTCTCCGCCTTGGATTTTCAAAAGAAGAGTACCTGTCCTGATCGAAAAGTTTGGCTAAAGTAGACAGCTTTCACATTACAGGGTGATGGGCCTTGGGCCAGCTCTGATTAAAGACACCGTCCTGGTGTTTGCCGTCAGGATAGGGCCTGGAAACTGGCAGGAGAAGACTCTTGTGACCATTTTGGATCCCTTCACTGACAGTAGGTGATAAAAGGACCCTCTGGCCCCCACTCTTAATGTAACTGCATTTGTGTTATGTATGTGTTTCCATTTGTGCTCTTTTAAAATTATGTCTGTACGTATATTAATATATTATGTAGTTACACACTTACACACACACACACACACACACACACACACACATATATATTCTGCACAACTCCAGTCTCAACTCAGTTATCCCTCCTCTATATGTCCAAGTTCTCCTGTGGGCATCTGCAAGTGATGGCATACTCTTTCTCAATTGACTCGTGGCCAGTCTCAGAACGGTGGGTCCATATGTTACGGATACCCATTTATGAATGGCCTATACCTATAGACAGCTGGCCTGCTCTTTCCAGGTCCCTTACTAAGAGTATTGTGGAAAACCTTAGAGCTTTTGAAAAGTAATTGGACTTTTAGCTAGAAGAAATGAAGAAATTGCCCAGAATATCATCAGTTAGAGGAAGCTCTCTGTGCCTAGATTTTCTGACATGAGATAATAGCCAATATGGCTGATCCCAACCCATAATTGTATGCTCTTGACAGCTTCTGTTTTTTTGTTTTTTTTTTTAAATCAGTTGTTGCTCTCTGGAATTCCAATGATGAGTTCAACTTAGTTAACATCTCCTTTCTAAATGTGAGGGTTAAGGAGTTGGTGGTAATTCATATAATAATTAGTTAGAATCAAATTACTTTCTTTTGGAATAAAATAAGTCAGGCCAGCCACTCTGAAAGAAGGTGAGTTTTGGGTTGGAGTCAGAAAGTCCATGCTTTTGGGGGATGACTCCTTTGGGAAAGGGGATAGAGTAAAACCAGTCAAGAGAGATAAGGTGAAGGGTTCAAGGCAGCTCTATATGGAGGACAAGGGTAGGGACAAGAGGTAGTAAGTAAGAGGAGAAAGATGAACTTTTGGTTTTTCAAAATATTCCTAGTCACTGTCCTAATGTTGATACCAATGGTACATTCATAGCATGGGATATTCTGCAGCCGTTAAAGAAGTAAGGTAGATTTATGGGTAAAAAGAAAGTGTACCAAGACAAGGATGCCTTCTCTCACCACTCCTATTCAACATAGTATTGGAAATTCTGGCCAGGACAATCAGGCAAGAGAAAGAAATAAAGAGTATTCAAATAGGAAGAGAGGAAGGCAAACTATCCCTGTTTGCAGATGACATGTCCTATATTTAGAAAACCCCATCATCTCAGCCCAAAAGCTTCTTAAGCTGATAAGCAACTTCAGCAAAGTCTCAACTTACAAAATCAATGCACAAAAATCTCTAGCATTCCTTTATACCAACAACAGGCAAGCAGAGAGCCAAACCATAAATGAAGTCCCATTCACAATTGACACAAAAAGAATAAAATACCTAGGAATACAGATAACAAGGGAAGTGAAGGACCTCCGTAAGGAGAACTACAAACCACTGCTCAAGGAAATCAGAGAGGAAACAAACAAATGGAAAAACATTTTATGCTCATAGATAAGAAGAATCAATATCATGAAAATGACCATACTGCACAAAGTAATTTATAGATTCAATGCTGTTCCCATTAAACTACCATTGACATTCTTCAAAGAATTAGAAAAGACTATTTTAAAATTCATACAGAACCAAAAAACAAAACAAAACAAAACAAAATAGCCCGAATAGCGAAGACAATCCTAACAGAAGCAACAAAGCTGGAGGCATCATGCTACCCAGCTCCAAACTATACTACAGAGCCACAGTGACCAAAACAGCATGGTATTAGTATAAAAACAAACACATAGACCAATGGAACAAAATAGAGAACTCAGAAATAAGACCACACACCTACAACCATCTGATCTTCAACAATCCTGACAAAAACAAGCAATGGGGAAAGGACTCCCTATTTAATAAATGGTGCTGGGAGAACTGGCTAGCTATATGTGGGAAATTGTAACCCCCTTCCTTACACCTTATACAAAAATCAACTCCAGATGAATTAAAGACTGAAATGTAAAACCCAAAACTGTGAAAACCCTAGAAGAAAATCTAGGCAATTCCATTTAGGACATAGGCATGGGCAAAGATTTCATGACAAAAATACCAAAAACAATTGCAACAAAAGCAAAAACTGACAAATGGGATCTAATTAAACTTAAGAGCTTCTGCACAGCAATACAAACTATCATCAGAGTGAACAGACAACCTACAGAATGGGGAAAAAATTTTGCAATCTTTCCACCTGACGAAGGTGTAATTTCCAGGGTCTACAAGGAACCTAAACCAATTTACAAGGAAAAAAATATTAAAAATGGGCAAACGACATGAATGGATACTTCTCAAAAGAAGACATTTATGCAGCCAACGAACATATGAAGAAAAGCTCAACGTCACTGATCATTTGAGAAATGCAAATTAAAAACCACAGTGAGATACCATCTCATGCCAAGTCAGAATGGCAATTATTAAAACGTCCAGAAACAACAGATGCTGGAGAGGTTGCAATGAAAAAGGAATGCTTTTATACGTGTTGGTGGGAGTGCAAATTAGTTCAACCATTATGGAAGACAGTATGGCCATTCCTCAAAGATCTAGAAGCAGAAATATCATTTAACCCAGCAATTCCATTACTAGGTATATACCCAAAGCAATATAAATCATTCTATTATAAAGATACATGAACGCGTATGTTCATTGCAGCACTATTCCTAATAGCAAGGACATGGAATCAACCCAAATGCCCATCAATAATAGACTGGATAAAGAAAATGTGTTACATATGCCCCATGGAATACTATGCAGCCATAAAAAGGAACAAGATCATGACCTTTGCAGGGACGTGGTGGGAGCTGGAAGCCATTATCCACAGCAAACTAATTCAGGAACAGAAAACCAAATACCTCATGTTCTCATGTATAAGTGGGAGCTGAACGATGAGAACACAAGGACATATGGGCGGGAAACAACACACACTGGTGCCTTTCACGGGGGTGGGGGAAGGGAGAGCATCAGGAAAAACAGCTAATAGATGCTGGGCTTAATACCTAGGTAATGGGTTGATCTATACAGCAAACCACTATGACACACGTTTACCTATGTAACAAACCTGCACATTCCGCACGTGTACCTCTGAACTTAAAATAGTTGAAAAAAAAGTACACAACAGACTGCATGCTTCCATTTCTGCCTATAATTTGAAAGGTGATATATGCATGCATACGTTTGAGTATATGCAGAGAGTATTTCTGGAAGAAATGTAATAAACAGTGACTTTGTCTCTTTGAAAAGAGCCTGAGGATATGGGTCTGAGATGGGATTTTTTTTTTTCCAGGAGCACATTTTTAATTTGTATGTACTTTACTTATAAATTAAAACAAAAAAACTAGTTGAAGGTTTTCTAGGATTACTCTTACCTCTGAGAGAGGTGGTGTAGAGCAGGGGACTTAGGGAGTCTAAGGAGAAAAGAAACAGATAATCCCTTTGTCCTTCTTTCTTCCAAGAAAACTCAGGGCTTGTGTATCCCCGGACTCCTGTGGTTTTGGCACCTCAGGTGGACTATTGTCCAGTAAGCTCTTCTGGGCTGACCTGGAACTGAACTACCATTTGTAAACTCTTTCTACGGGGGAAACGCAACAGTGTTCCAGAGAACATACTAAACCAAACGGCCTCCACTCATTCTTTCTCAATTTCTTGTCTATTAGCTTCCTTAAGAAAAGAAAAAAAAAAAAAGACTTCAGATTGAACCCGGGAGGCCTGAGCCATCCATATTCTAACTCATTTCCTCAGAAATGATGAAAACACTATATGCATTTCTGTGCTTGGCTACTGTCTGGATTTTTTGTTGGTTTATTTCCTTGAGAAGGTACCCACTGTTTTGCGCTTTTTTTTCTGACTAACTTCTGTGGTTTTATTTTGAGGAAAGTTGCTGTTTTTTCCTTGCTTGCATGCCTGGTAGAGAGCTATAGGCATTTGGTACATATCTGTTGACTTGGTAGATTAAGGTGTGGACACCAAAGCAGAGAGGTTACTATAAGTTGTCACGGGTAAGACTTTGGTCTGAGAAGACACGGTAGAAGAGATTTGAATCTAGCACAGTGCTTCTCAATTGTGGCTTTGTTGACATAATTCCTTGCTGAGATATTGAGATAATTCTCTGTTGTGGGCCACTGTCCTGTGTATTACAGGCACTTTGGCAGTATCCCTGGCCCCTACCCACTAAATGCCAATAAGAACTGCTAGTTGTGACCATTTAAAAATATGTCTCTAGGTGGTGCCAAATGTCCCCTAGGAGCAAAACCATCCTGGTTGACAATCACCAATTTAGAGTGATTTTGGATTTGCTATTCGCTGTCCAGAAACTGGTTTCTATATTGACATAATTCTTCAAATCCTGGAAGCCTGGAGGTGTGGCCCAGCTAAAGCTTCTGAAAACTTACGCAGTGTCTTTGCGAAGAATTAGAAAAGGTACCGGATGAATTAGAAAAGGGCTAGATGAGGAAGGTTAGGCTGAGTTTCATTCTCTATTTCTCCTCTCCTTTTATTCCTGCTGTGTATATGAGGCTCTCTAAGTCAAGGGTCTTGATGTGTTGATAGAGAACAGATTCTTGGAGCCAGTACCCAGGTAGAAGGATGAAATGCAGACTTGATGGCTTTACCATTAAATCAGCTGTAGTACAGTCACTTCCAAATAGTGTATCAGCAAAACATTTCTCATTCATATGGATGAGCAGATTGTCCTTCCTAAGAATGCATTCATTTAACAAATGTTTATTGAGGACCTACTATGTACTGGGAGGAAAAATGCTTCCCTCTACCTCTTCATCCCTTTCTTTCTGCCTAAAGTATTCTATTTCTGTGTGTTTGGTATTATTTCATTTTACATTCTTCGGAATCTGTCTTACTAGCACAAATTCTTCTTTCCCCTCCCCCTTAATTTACTTGATTTCTGAAGGGTCAATTGCAATTAAAAGGAAGAGGAGTGATGAGAGGGATGGCTTGAGTTTTCAGAATGTTCCTTAGCTGTATGTCAGGGCTCCACGAGTGCACACCATGCTGGGCTGCATTCTGGAGGCCCTCCTTGGCTCTGACTGTATTTATAAGTTATCCTACACTGTGCTAGCACATCAGCTGCCAAGGCTGTTTGTAGAATCTGCCTCCCCAGAGGTCTTCAGAAAGAGAAAAGGATGCCAATCTCCATGACGGTTTCAGTGCAGTCCTGCTGATTAGAAGGAACAGGCTAGATTTTTCTGTAAAGGTTTCCTTCAGTCTTGAGTGCTCTTAGATGGATGAGTTTGCTTTTTGGTGCAGGAGGGAGAGATGAAAACTGACACTCTATGAACTTCCTGGCATATCACTGCACACATCCTGTGTATTTATATTTATGTATTTACTTATTTTGAGATGGAGACTTTCTCTGTCACCCAGGCTGGAGTGCAGTGGTGCGAACTCAGCTCACTGCAACCTCTGCCTCCCAGGTTCAAGCGATTCTCCTGCCTCAGCCTCCTGAGGAGCTGGAATTATAGGAGCCTGCCACCACATCCAGCTAATTTTTGTATTTTTAGTAGAAACAGGGTTTCGCCATATTGGCCAGGCTGGTCGTGAACTCCTGACCTCAAGTGATCTGCCTGCCTCAGCCTCCCAAACTGCTGGGATTACAGGTGTGAGCCACTGCTCCTGGCCCATCCCGGATAGAGAGTAAAACATACTGTTTTCATGCTTTTAATGTTTTCAAAGTACTTAGCTGTGCCGTGTGAGGGAGGTAGGGCCTCTCTTTAGGTCCCTATGGCACAGAGGAGTCAGCGAGGCACAGAAGCATTTAATTATCAGTTAAAGTGACAGCCTGGCTTGACACAGAGCAGAGATGGTGTTCCTGGATGTCTGCCCTCCAAGTGCATGCTCTTTTCTCTTGACCCTGTTACTTCTTTGTGTTCGTGCTTTTTGCTCTGTCTCATAGAGTTCAGACATTTGATTTGGAGCCATAATATTTTAGAGCTATAACAATTTGGGGAGCATATTTAGTATAAGTCTGTCCCATGCAACTTTTATACCAGGCATCCTATATTTTATCTGGCAATCCTGGCCCCAGGGCAACCCTGTGTGAGAAACTCGTAGGTCCATTTTACATGTGAGGGAACTGAGGCTCAAAGAGGTTAAACAACTTTCCCACGGTAACACCTGAGATGAAATGGCAGGCAGCTGACTCCAAAGCCCCCCAACATGGCCTTTGCTTGTCTGGGAGATGGAGCTCCAGGTGGAACTGGTAAAGGGGGTGAATCCATTGGCTGGGAGATGTCATGAGTTTGAGACTGTATTGGGAGCACCTGGCACATGGTGGCCATCAACCAATTTTTAGTCTCTCTCTCCCTTCCTTCCCCTGCATCAAATTGGAAATTCCCTTCAGACCCTCACACAGCGAGGCCTCTACAGACACGTTGAACCTGCCACCCTCGTAGGAAAGCAGAAGGAAGAAGGATGATGTTGGAGAAGATCCCTGCCATTTGATTTATTATGACAGCCTGAGGCCTCAGAGAGCTCAGAGCAAAGAGACCCTGGAATGCAGCCCCAGATCCCTGGAAGAGACTTTACAGGTGTCACGTGGGAGAGTGGAGAGTGACGGGGATGGTCTCAAAGAACAGGAGCAGAGATTATCAGAGACACCACAAACTTGAAAAGTCAGGATGAGTAGGACTTGGGGAGAAAAAAGATCTTACCTTTACAATAGCTTCAAGGACCACAAATTTAAGGGCTCTCCAGAGGCTTTAGGACAGAGAGAGTTGAGGAAGTGCCGGTCCAGGATACGACCCTTTTAAAAGTGTGCCCGTGGTGTCACTGCTGTGGGCAGCGGTGGTGATGTCAATGTTTGCTCTTCTCGGGCTCCCTCCATGACACTGAAAAGACGGAAGTGCTTTTACCTGTCCAGAAGGAGGGGCAGCTGAAAGAAGGAGGGAAGAGGGTGGTCCAGTGCAGGTGCAGCCTGTTTGGAACCTTCTGTGCCTGCACTGGACCACCCTCTTCCCTCTCTCCTTCCTTCAGCTGCCCCTCCTTCTGGACGGGTAAAAGCTTCTCCTGTCTCCTCCTGGACTTTCTCATAGCTATAGGCTTCCATATTCCCCACCTCTATGATTCAGAGGAGTTCAGCTCAGCCACGTCTGTGCCAGAGCTTTGATGCCCCACCTATCAGCCACACAAAGGGCCCTGCCATGAATAAGGCCTCCCTCACTGAGGATCCTTAATTTTTTAAAATAATGAAGCCTCTGCCATAAAGTCAGTGTCCTGGCTGCCAGCCACCAGGCAGAACCTACTAGACTTCTCCAAAATAGATACTGGGGCCTCCTTCCTCAACCATGGTCAAGGCCTAAGCTTCCTTCTCAAAGGCAGGCAGTCCTAGGCTTTAGGGCAAGAAGTGCTTCCTACATGCAAGGTGCTCTGGGGAAGGGCTGCGTGTGGCGGCCATGTGTGCAGGTCTTCAGGATTTCAGCTGAGCCACCTTTTCTTGCAGTTCAAGAAGAAAACAGCCAACCATTCCCTCCTTGTAATAAATGCCTCCGCATATTTGAAGACAGAGTTAGGTCATTCTTGAGCTTTCTCATCTCCAAACAAAACAACTGTGGCCCCTGTAACCTTACCTTGGCAAATTATAAGGCCCATATGCAGAGAGAAAGCAAAACAAAACCATCTGATGGGGAAGGCCTCCTATCTCTGACCAAGTGTCTGTTTTGAAATGCGGTCTGCACTCGAGTCTTTAATTACATGTAAATTCAGTAGCTTCAAGCGTCTGAGCCAGTGGGGGACCAGGTGCTGCTCATCAGGCCCCTTGGATGTGTTCAGGCTGCAATGCTGGGCGACAGCGCTTGGCAGAGGCTAGGATTTCTTCTCTTCAGATTCATTTTGGGGCATAAAAAGGGGGCATCCGTGAGTGACCCAGGAGCAGTCAGCTGACCTTCCTGCCAGGTCCCCTGAGGGTAGGATGGGCCCCAAGAGCCTCCAGAGAGCTGGCAGCCTGCCAAGAAGGCTGCCCTTGGCCTCCACAGAAGCCAGCAAGAGTGGCTTCCAGATGTCCCTGGTGGAGGCTGGCAGCCTCGTCCTGCAGCCAGTGTCTTCCAGGGGAGGCTTCCTGATGCTGCTAACTCAGAGACAGCTGCCCTGCTGAGCGCCTGCCCTCACTGGGGGTGCTGTGATCACATCAAGTTTCTTCCCATGGTTCTTTCCAAGCTCCTTCCCATATTTGTAGTGTGTTATCTTGGTGATACAGACAAGAGTCAAGGAAATACTGGGTGGAAGAGGGCAGTTCCCCAGCAAACGCCCCCACCCTCAAGTCTGGAAACCCGCAGCCCTAAATGGGAACAGGCATTTGTACTTTCATGCCCAAATGTGGGATCCTCCCCCATGACCCAAACACCTCCCACCAGGGCCCACCTCCAACACTGGGGATCCCATTTCAATATGAGATTTGGAGGGAACAAATATCTAAACTGTATCAACCAAGGTTAGTGCGTTTCTCTGCCCTCCAGTTTTGCCTGCCATGAGCAGCTTTCCTATGAGCCAGCTGTCCTTTTGGTCTCCAGGGTCACTTTCTTTTTTTCAAAGCCCAGTGTTCAGATATTCAGCTGAGCTTCGGGACTGGGGAGTCACAGGACAAGCTCACGTACATGCTTAAGCAAATGCAGTAAATTTTTTAAATAAAGAAAAAGTCATTTAGGCAGTGCCATTCATTCTGTGTGCCACCCTAGATATACCACAGGGTGGATGCGGAGTGGACGGTAGAGGAGGGTGCATCCCTTGCTCTATCTGCGCCTGTCCTTCCTACAGGCTGCTCAGACCAGGAGCACCTGGATTTGCCCCAGTGGGACTCACCTTTGAGAGACATAGTTTTGGCCAAAATAGCTGTTCAGTGCAAGTCTTCCACTGGTGCCCAACCAAAGGGAAAGCAACCTTTTCCAACAATGAAGAAGAAATTGGTTGTGTCTGCTTTTCAATAGCAAGGGAGTGAATCTCAAACACGGTGCCTCCATTAAGGTGTTCAATAATTTCTACTACATGACAAATGTGCTTTGGGAATGTGAAAGGAAACTAAATCTTGGGACCTCAAAGTCACTAAGCTAAAGGGACAAGTCAAGCTTGGAACTGCTTAGGGCAAACCTACTTCCCATTCTGTTCAAAGTCATCTCTCTGAGGCTCACCTGAGACAAATGCATATCTAATTGCTTCCTCTGCCCTATTGTTGATGTAAAAATGCAGATTCACTGAGCCAGACTAAATTGTGTATTCAGTGGAAGGTTGATCGAGTATGCAAAATAATGAAACCTTTTGTCTCTTATCTACTTCTGACCTGGAAGCCCCAACTTTGAGTTGTCCCACCCTACCAGACCAAACCAATGTACATGTGACACATATTGATTGATGGCTCGTGTCTCCCTCAAATGTGTAAAAGCAAGCTGTACCCTGACCTCCTTGGGTGCATGTCGTCAGGACCTCCTGAGGCTGTGTCACAGGAGCATCCTTAACTTTGGCAAAGTAAACTTCTTAAATTGACTGAGCCCTGTCTCAGGTATTTAGAGTTCACAGGAATGATTTCAGACACCCCAGGGAGAGGTGCCTCTACTGCGCGGCTCCTGGCCTGGTCTCAGACTAAACCGTAAGCTCCCTCATTTTTGTATCCCCAGTGCCCGAAACTGTGCCTGGCACTCGAGGGTCCATGATATGTATTTTTGGCTTTGTTGAATAGTTTAATTAACTCATTAGTGATGCAAAGTTCTAACTGCATATTTACAGATATTTATGTGTGCACCACATTATGGGTGGTGAGAAGTAGGAATTCAAAGAGACAAAATCATACTTTCTCTCCTCGAAATTCTTGTAAAGCTACCAAGAAGACAAGACATAGACACACTAAATATAAATAAAATACAAAAGGATGTACCCTGACATGCAAATATGTGTTCACAGAAACAAAGTTCTTCTTACCAAATTCCTGTTGTCTAAAGCAGTTTTTCCTAAAGCGCGTTCTTCAGAATACCAGTTTCTCAGGGTGCCAATGTGAGGAAAAGCTTTGGTGGTCAGATGAGTTCAGGGCTGGGTTAGGCTGATTTCTTTACCAGAGGGCTTCTTGAAGACTTAAAGAAATCTGTATTGAGATATAATTTGTATGGCATAAAGTTCACCCACTTTAAGTAAACAACTCGTTGGCTTTTACTATAGAGTTGTGTAGCCATCACCACAATGTCACTGCAGAATGTTTCCATCACCACCCAAAACACCTCACGCTGTTTGCAGCCATTTCCCATCCTCTTCCTTCCTAGCCCCTGACAACCACTAATTTACCTTCTTCTTCTATAGATTTGCCTATTCTGGGCATTTCATAGAGATGGAATAATTTACTGTGGGACCTTTTGTGACTGGCTTCTTTCATTTAACTTAATGTTTTCAAGGTTCATCCACGTTGTTGCATGTATGCACTGATGGACATTTGGGTTGTTTCCACTTTTTGGCTATCATAAATAACATTGTTATAAGAATTCATGTGCAAGTTTTATTTGACTATATGTTTTCAGTTCTCTTGGGTCTATAGAGAAGAGTGGAATTCCTGGGTCATACTGTGAATCTATTAAACCTCTTTTCTTTATAAATTACTCTGTGTCAGGTATTTCTTCATAGCAGCGTGGAAATGAACTAATACAGTAAATTGGTATCAAGGTAGTGGGGGATTGCTATAAGATACCTGAGAATGTGGAAGCGACTTTAGAACTGGGTAATGGGCAGAGGTTGGAACAGTTTGGAGGACTCAGAAGACAGAAAGATGTGGCAAAGTTCAGAACTTCCCAGAGACTTGTTGAGGGGCTCTGATCAAAATGCTGATAGTGATATGGACCATGAAGTCCAGGATGAGGTGGTCTTAGATGGAGATGAGAAATTTATTGGGAACTTGAATAAACATGATTCTTGCTATGCTTTAGCAAAGAGACTGGCAGCATTTTGTCCCTGCCCTAAATATCTGTGGAACTTTGAACCTGAGAGACCTAATTTAAGGTATCTGGCCAAATAAATTTCAAAGCAGCAAAACCTTCAAGTGATGACTTGGGTGCCCTTTAAAGCCTTCAGTTTTATGCACTTACAAAGTTATGGTTTGGAATTGGAACTTACGTTTAAAAGGGAAGCAGAGCGTAAAAGTTCAGAAAAATTACCCGGAAGGAGTTAAACCCCATGGCTGCTTCATGAAGCAGGAAAGGTGGATAAAAAAGACAGAGAAAAGATGCAAAATACACAATCTATAATTTAAAAAGGGAAAATTATTACAGAGCCCAGGATAGCAAACACATAAAAGTAGAATACAATGAAATAAATTATGGCAACTATTTTCACTAAACTAAAAGGAACTCTATAATGAAAACTTTTCTATAAGGAAAATTTCCATCTTATGTTTCGTTTACTGGAACCAACCTTGTGAAAATTACACAAACTTCAAGAGAATTAAAAAGAAGGAAATGCTTCCAGAATTATTATATGTGGTCACAATAAACTTCATTTCCAAAACGAATAAAAGCATTAGAAACAAAAATTAATTCCTGCATCTGACATGAACACAGATATAAAAAGCATAAAAAGCACATATATGTGTAATGTGTAGTTCATATATATATATACATATTTGAAATATCTATCTATCTATATAGGTATTTATAGATATCTAAATATATCTATATCTGTATATATGTAAATGTACATATATGTGTGTTAATGCACATATATGTATATATGAATGCATATCTGTATATAGCTACATATGTATGTAGCCCTATATTGAATTATGTATGCCTATAAAATTGAATGTCAGTATATTTCTATCTATTTAATAAACAGGTGTAGCAAGCCACATTACAGCTCTTATGCTTAAAACTCAGGTAAATTTTAATAATAGCAATTTCTGAGTGATGGTCATAAAACGAAAGGTATGACAGGCTTAGTTAACTAATTTTAGAAAAAAATTTATATTGTTTTATTTAAATGTTTTATTTTCCTTTTTTCTTTTAATTTGGAGACAAGGATTTGCTGTGTTTCCCAAGCTGAAGAGTAGTGGCAATTCACAGGTGAAAACTTTTCTTCACTTTTGGAATAAGTTTTTATTTTGCTTGGAATTTTAGCTTCAATAAATAATAAGTGTACATGAAAAAGCCGCTACTTTGATCTAATCTATGAGAATTATTTAAATTCTCATCCAATAGAAGACAAAATCAAAGTAAAAAGAAAATTGGGCTCTTGCCAGAGAGACACAGCTCTTTACTCTTAGGTCTGAGGCAATCTCCCAGACATTCTTGCTCACACAGTTGCAGTCCACTGCAAGAATAGAAGATGTGAGGACAGCATTACTCAGTTGCACCTTGAGCTCCCTGACTACATATAGTTAACTATCTTTATTGAGGATAATAATAGTTAAAATAAATCACATTGATTTTTAAATGTACAGTTTTTATGAATTTTTGCAAATAAATAATCCTTCTAACCACCTCCAAAGTCAAGATATAAAGTATTTTCACAACCCCAAAAAGCTCTTCCTGAGCAAGTTACGTGATCAACTTGCTCTCTACCCCATAGATTAGGCAACTTTTGGCCCATTTTGAAAGGTCTACTCATGGCTCTTCCACCATGACTTTGTCTCTAATCCTCTGTTCTGTTTTTTCTAAGGTCTGATGATTTGTTCAAACCCATAGACAATGTCATTGAATGGCTGATCTCCCTCTGCAAAATGAACAAGGATATAACACTTGCACTTTGCTCACTGTTATGATTTTTACTCTCCAGGCCATCCTTGACTGTGAGAATGATGTGACATCAGCCCAGCATCCATGGATAGAACTCTGTCCAGAATAGCATCATTGTAGACATACAAAGAATGAGGACTTACCTAGGAGACAAGGATATAATTTTTAACATTAGGGAAAATCATCTCCATTCATACTCTTTGGCACCTCAAGTAAGTTAGAAAAATATTTTAAGGTGACACATGAATTTGGTGAGTGTTTTAGAAATACATCAAATTTCAAGGACATTCCTATAGCCAGAGCAGGTACTATATCTGGTTCTAGAAACCAACTATTTTGATGAGGAATAAATAGAATTATCTTAAGAGATTTAATTTATTAAAACATTTTGTAAATATGCATATGTTTCTCATATATATATGTAAATGGCCTTATTTAGACATGAATATATGCATATGGAACTACACGCACCCAACTATTTATCAAATAAATATATATATATGTACCTACATTAATGTTTATATATATATATGTGGAGTTTCCATAAATAAGGTAAATTTTACACTTTTTATTTATATATAATTTTTTAAATTTCTTTTTAAATTTCTCATTGGTAGCTTTATAAATACATTACCAAATATTTATACTTCTGCCACTAATTATAATAAGATACATCCTATATGGGTGAATGTGTAAGTATTACATTGGTCACTTTTTTTGCACAATGATGATTGATAACCAACTACTTAAAAGTCAGTGTATTACATCAAGTTTTATCGTGTTTCTGGATGATCATTTTAGTATTAACATGACTCTTCAAGACAGGGCTCAGCTGGGTGGTTTTGCTGCAGGGAGCAGAGCTTGTCTCTAACCTATGGATTGTGTTCATCTGAGGTCAAGGCTAAAGGGCAGTATCTACCCAGGCACCATATTCTGATGAAGGCAGCAGGAGTGGGCAACCTCCCCAAACCAAGTTGAAATGGTGAATGAAGTCTAATAATTTTGAACACAGATACACACAATTTTAAGTTATTCTTTCACCTTGGTAATTATTATGGTTCCTACAAACTTTTCCTCCATTTAAACATCAAAGCATTTTATTATTCCATGGACAGATCATTATGTTTCTCCAACTTTACAATCTTCCAATTGTTTTCAAATGTCATGTTGCATGGATTAGAAAATAAAGCTGGGTGTGGCTGCAACATGTGGCTTTCCATTGAAATTTTTAAAAATAGCCTCATTGCCATAATAGTATACAGAAGTTTGCTCTTGTCACCCAGGCTGGAGGGCAGTGACATGATCTTGGGTCACTGTAACCTCCACCTCCTGGGTCCAAGCGATTCTCCTGCCTCAGCCTCCCTGGTAGCTGGGGCCAATGGTGCCCACCACCACGGTATCTCTTTAGCTGAAACAAATATCACATAGAACATAGCTTCTTAAACCTTTTATAGGTCACCTGTTATCAACTACCATGGCTAAACAAAGGTTCTCATTCAGTGAACTGAAGGTCGTTCTGCTATTTAGCATATGTATCATGCTCTCAGTGTGCTAATGATCCTGCTGGATTCTGGATACATGTTGAGTAGCAAAGAATTTTCATAATTTAAAAAAGGTTACACCAATGTTCAGGTTTTTCTGTTGTTTTGGTTTCTTTGTTAAGAAATATTTTTCATTTGTTTGTAAAATGATTGTTATGTATGTCATACAATTTCCTGATTTTTAAGCTGTGTCTATGACTTAATAAAGTTATGTTGCTATGTGACAAGTGCAAGTATATTCAAATGTATTCTGAGGCCATGCATAACTGGCAAAAGTTTTCACTATTTTGTGAAAATACTGACCATGTTGGGCTTTCAGCTGTCAGTTCCTCATTATCACCATCACTTCTGAAAGCGCATTCTTCAGAACCACCTTTCCCTCTATACTTTCCTGTAGAGTTGTTCACTGAGGGGTCCTTCCACGAGATTTGGAAGTCAGAAGAGAATGATTCAATGCTCATTGACACCTGCAGACAGACAAGTGGACTTAGTTGAGACCTAGAGAATCACCTAGAGACATACTGCAGGAGGCTGAGAGCATCAGCACCTGCACTCTGGGCTTCTCAGACAGATCCAAGGACCATGTGGCTAGGCAGCTCACACCTGCAGGGTAGGGTGCACCCTGGTTTCTGCAGGAGCACCAGAGAATCATGTCTCTAGTATCTGCTTCCGTGACTAACATCAACCAGGCCTTGAAAAGCTGTAGTTTAGACACTGATTTCATAAATTAAAACGATTCCTGCTTGGAAGGGCTAGAGTGGCTTCTCTTTTGCTACAAGAATTCCAATCATCCCATAACAGACTCCTCAGGTGGTTAAATCTCTTTATTAAATCAGGACTCGCATTTCATGTCTTTGCTTCTGGGGATGAGGAGGAAAGAGAGTGGGTGCAAAGGAGCCACCTCATCACAATTTACCAAAATTTCCAGACGACCTTCAAAACTTGGCTGCATCTGGAAAACAACTCAGCAGATTGAGGCACTAGGAGGGGCATCTAGGGCAACCCGGCCTCACTCATCTGCTATCCTAGCAGTTGATGTTATGACTTGTCACACTGGGGGAGGGAAAATGCTCTCTTGTTGACATTAATAAGTTGCAAAATCTTCAGGCTGCAGGCTGCTGACGGTGAGAGTGAAATCTCTTCCATATCCGCTGCCACTGAACTGAGATGGCATCGCCCTCTGCAAACTGGATGCCCTATAGGTCAGGAACTTAGGTGCTTTCCCTGGTTTCTGCTGATACCAATTTAAATAGTTGTAAATGCTTTGACTAGCCTGGCAAGAGACGGTGGCTCTGTCTCCTACAGATGCAGACAGGGAGGATGGAGGCTGAGTCATCTGGATGTCACATCTGGCATCTCAGGTTGGAAATACAAAAACAAATATTTACACTTTTCACCATGTTATGCGAGGATTTCCCTGAAGAGCCAGGCTGTACTGAGCACACTGGGTGGCTAACTTCCCAGTGTTCTCCTTCTTTACCTGGGAGACAGAGCAGCAGGAAGGCCAGGAGCTGAGCGGGGATCCTCATGTTCATGCTGTGTCCTGACTGCAACTGACTCCTGCACAGGGTGTGACCAGCCTATTAAGAAGTCTTCAGGGCAGGGGGCTGCGCTCTAGGACACACAAATCAGCAGGGGATGGGGCAGGCTGGGCACAGCCACGGGGCTGGCTCATCTCGGTAACTCAGCAAAGGGGCAGTGTCCGCAGGGTCCCAGGTCAGACCAGGCCTGACAGATTTGCCTGGAGGGAATGTATTTCTCTCTACATCCGTTGTTTCGACAAGAGATATTTTGGGAGAAAAAAGTCAAAATTTAATTCAAACCTAGGGACTACATGGAGTCATATATTTTAGAGTTGTATCGGGAGTATATAGGAGAGTATGACCATTTGTAGGGAATGTCTGATAATGTCTTAGAGAATGGGGCTATCAGGTCTTCAAGTTATTTAAGTGGACATTGTGGGAGTGACAATCCCTTTGTTATACTAACAACACCTCTGTGATTGTCACGTTGCTCCCATTGTTTCATGTGGGAAAAAAGTCTTTGTCAGAAGCATATTTAAATATTCAAAGGTATTTTGTAGTGACCTGAAACATTTGTTATTACCAGTCTATTTTCAAGCCATTCCCTGCAGATGCACAATAATGATGCTGTGATTCCTCAATGCCTGTGCCACTCACAGATCTTCCATAATCCAGAGCTATAGGTCTCTGTAATAACCAGGGACTAAATGGACAGCACCTCCGTCTTGCTGACCCATATGATCAATTGTCTCCACAGGAAGAAGAACAAGGTAACTTACCATTGCTAATGCTCTGAGCTGCCTTTCCCACCGGAATGTTCCCAGGTGTTCAGGTACAGCTCCCAAAAAACTGGGCTTTCTGGAAAGCAGGGGAGGGAGAGGCCCTGGGGAAAGGCCAAGTCAGTGAACACTTTCTCTTCAGTGAGGGCAGCAGCTACTCAGTGCATGTCTCTGCCCTGCACCATCGATGCCACTTTCCTCTTTGACTCTTTAGCAGTATGTGGGGACATCATCCTTACCCAGACGCCAGCCTCCTTGCCTCACTTCCAGGAGAGAGAATCTGCATCTCCTGCCAAGCCACCGCCCATGTACGTGAAGAAATACTTGGGATCTGGATAAAACTTGGAAACAGATTTGAACCCCTATACCTCACATGTCTGCCTCTGCCCAGGCATCCCAGCCTGGTTGTGCAGCAAGGGAAGTGGAATCAACTACATCGACATGAGAAGACTAGAACCTGGGGAGTCCAGGGAGCATTACTCACGCATCACTAAGAGTGAGCAGACCACAGTGGTATAGCCTGTACCCAGATCTCCTGCTGCTTTCCAGGGGCCTGAATTTCAAGGGAAATTACTGGCAAACTGCTTGCTAAGATTTAGGTTCAGAGAGAAGAAGCTCTGGATTGAAATACACACATTTTTTTTGTGCGGGGAGGTGAATGTAGCAGTCACTCTTGCTACCCTTTGCCTTTCCCCTTTGCTGTACTTCTGCTGACTCCCCATGGCCATATCTGTTCCTCACTGCTCTATGTCAAACTGGAGAAGGCAGCCCTGCCTGCACACATGGCCTTTCACAGCACCTGGAATGAGCATCCTCTCAGAAAGCCCTCAATCAGTGAGGACAGGAGAGGTGTATATACCCCAGCTCCCTCTCTTCTCAGCTGGAATAATACTGAGACATTTTCCCCTGTTTCCACGTGGGCTTGAGCTCCAGCCATCCTCAGCGGTAGCTCTTTGCTGAGGAGACTTTTGGAGTCCCTCCTTTCTTTCCTCCTTCACTGCCTTGTTTCCTCCCCGTGTTTCCTGTGCATTATAAACATGCTGCCTGCATAGGCATCATTATCCCTGAAAGAGCCAACCTAAGAAAGCAGAAAAACATTCTTTCTTGGACGGTATGGTCTGAATTCTTGTCAAATCTTTTTTTTAACGCATAGGGATATTTAGAAAATTTAGGAAACACCTGAATTATCTTGGAATGGTCACCCTCCGTTCTTCAAAATGGCTCTATCTTGTCATTTTTTAGTGTCAGTTTTAACAAGACACACAGGCATTTCACTGTGAAGAGGGCTAGCAGCAGAATACTTCTTATGTGTAAAAGCTCTTGGATAAATCCTTTAAACTCTCATACTCTCTGGGTATGTGATTAGCTCTTGTGTTCTCTGGAGATGACAAAAGTAGGGGGCTATTTGTTCATTTGTTTTCACATTAGGAGAAGAAATCAGATTGATAGGACACATTTTGAGAGGGAAGAGCCGGCTCAGGGAGATGAGGATGGTAGAAAAGAAGCAAAGTGTTCAGGGCAATGCGAGATGTGCTCCTGCCCTCAAATCTGAAAGAAAGACATTTAAATTTTAAAGACTTGGAGGAAGTTTTGCTATGTGGACAAAACTGCAGAAAGGCCTGAGTTTATAATTGTGGTAATCATGGCAAGGTTCAGAGGTAGCAAGGCGCTTGCTGAGAATTCCACACCACCCTTCCGGCTTTGTCTCTTCTCTGAGTTTAAAAGCCATTCATTCCTCCATGGAACAAATGTGGCCATGTGGAAGCGACATATTTAAGCTGGGTTCCAAGCTCAGCCCTGATAATTGCTGGCCATGTATCTTTGGGCAAACCACCCCTGTGCTCTGATGAACAGTTTACTCACCTGTGAAAAGTAGCACCAAGGATATCAAGGGCTGTCCTGAAGGTTTCTCTAGTTGATGCACCAGGAAATGTATCTATGCATATATATGTATGAAAAGACTACTTAGGGCCCCTTTTCTGCATCCTTGAATATCTTAGAATGAAGATTCTAGATAAGATATTACTACCCAGATGTCATGCTCTACTAAGAATTATCAACATTTATTATATAATTAACAGATGCTCCAGTATACACCGTGGGGTTTCCTGTACGCTATTTCCTCATAAAATCTTCTAATATGTGTAACATTAGAGAATCGAACGTGGAGATTCCCAATCATTATACTACCTTTAGGCTGGATTTATTCTAAGCCCCATTTGTATTAGTATTTTTGGGCTGCTATAACAAATTACCAAAACTTTGGTAGCTTAAAGAAATAGAAATATATTCTCTTATAGTTCTGGAGGCCAGAAGTCCAGCATCAGTTTCAGCAGCCAGGAGCAGGCTGTCATCAGACAAAGCTGCTCCAGGGTCTCCAGGGGCAAGTCTATTTTTTTTTACTTCTCTTAGCTTTTGTTGGTTTAAGCTTTCATTGGCTTGAGTCCAAATCATTTCAATCTCTGTTGCTGTCTTCAGATGGCCTTCTCTTCTGCAGGATTTTTAAAAATGACATTTAACAAAGACAGGCCCCTTTAGGGCCCACCTGGTCAATACAGGATAATCTGCCTGTTTTATAATCCTTAATTTCATGTGCAAAGGCTCTTTTCCTGTGAAAGGTACCTGTATAGTTTCCATGGAATACAGCCTGATCATTTGAGCACCATACTCAGCACTAAACCATTATAGAATGACTCTTCAGTGTTGGTACTATACACACATCACACGCTCTTCTCTCTCTCTCTCCTCCTCTCGTTCCCTCTTTCTTCCTTCTGATTATAAATCTCCTCACTTCCCTAAGCGTATCCAGTGCCACCTATGTCTAGGTTAGAGCAGCACACATAGGAGGGCCTGCATAGGTATCATTGTCCCTGAAATGTTGTGGTTTGGCTTAGAGACCTGCTCTATCCCTCATTATCACTCAGAAAGAAGGACACAGCCAAAGATAGTCCTCAGCCATCTGGGGAGAAGCTGTCTTCACAGAGGACAGTCAGGGGCTATCATTCTCTGGACCTCTGCTTATCTTCAGATGCCTGTGGTCCTCAGCCCTCAGTGAGGGTCTGTGTGGCCCCTGATTCGAGTAGGATCCAACAGGATCCTTATCAGAATATCTGATTCACAGAAGGCAGCGAGTGTAAGGTAGGAGATCATCAGGACTTGTGTTCTGAGCACCGATCCCAACATTGGTCATGACAACGCTGACTGGAACAGGATCTCGACAAAAGAGGATGCGCTACAGAAACTGGCCCAAACCAGCTAGAACCAAGATGGTGACAAAAACGACCTCTAGAGCACAGTGTGAGTGGATCTTCCCCCGGGGGCTCCCGTCAGACAGAGTGGCAGCCATGGCTCAGTGCTGCATGATCATAGTATGAAACCCCCCCCCACGGTCTTTTCACAGCCCCCCTCTGACTGCAGTGATGTGGGATTTCTCTGTCCAACTTTCATGGCTCAAGCAACTTCTGGGACTCTGTTCACAATGGGAGGTCATGAAGGTAGTTAGGCTGTTGATGGCCAGAGTGACGTCTGTCCAGACTCACCCCCTTGACCCAGGCGGGCATCGTGTCCAGGGGGCAGTGGGAGCCAGCAGGAGATCAGCGTCAGCCCTTATTTCCTGTGGAGCTAGGCTAGGACACTGTTATTTCCGTGACTGGCTCTGCTGGTGACAGTGACCCTGTCTCCTGGAACACAGGGAGGGGCCTGGAGATGAGCACCGCACAATATCCCAACTGTCACATAAGTGGGGAACAATTATGAACATCCCCAAGTGTTAATTCTAAATAACTACTTCATTCAGTTTGACTGAATTCTGATGAACAAGCAAAATGGGCGACAGACTTCATCTTGAAGGATGTTTAATGCAAAGAAACTGCATTAAATTCATGTTTAATACACAGAACTGAAACTGAAGGTGAAGCCCGAGTTCTCCCTCTTCACCAGAGAATTGGAAAAGCAGGAGGAAGAGGAGCAACACCAGGTCCCCACGTCCACGAGGGTCTCCTGAGGCTGATCCTGCTCAGAGAGAGTGGGAAAAGTGGATGAGTCAGCTTGCATTGCCACACCAAAAAAACTGGATTGGATGGCAGAAACCACAGAATTTAATTTTCATATTTCTGGTGCCTGGAATAGCCCAGATCGATGTCCAGCAGGGTTTGCTTTCTGGTAAAGACCTTCTTCCTGGTTTGCAGATGCCACCTTCTCACGGTGTCTTCACACAGCCTTTCCATAGAGCGGAAGGCAATTAGAGAGAGAAGGGAGAAAGGAGAGCTCTCTGAATCTTATAAAAACACGAATTTGCCAGGCGCAGTGGCTCACGCCTGTAATCGCAGCACTTTGGGAGGCCGAGGCGGGCAGATCATGAGGTCAGGAGATCGAGACCATCCTGGCTAACGCGGTGAAACCCCGCCTCCACTAAAAATACAAAAAATTAGCCGGGAGTGGTGGCGGGCACCTGTAATCCCAGCTACTCGGGAGGCTGAGGCAGGAGAATGGTGTGAACCCGGGAGACGGAGCTTGCAGTGAGCTGAGATGGCGCCACTGCACTCCAGCCTGGGCGACAGAGCGAGACTCTGCCTCAAAAACAAACAAGCAAACAAACAAAACAAAGCAAAAACAACAAAACACGAATTCTACTGGATCAGGGACCCCCCTTATGACCTCAATTACATCTTTAGAGGTCCTAATTTCTACAGTCATATTGAAATTAGGGTTTCAACATGAATCTGAGGGCACAATTCAGTCCATAGCAGGTGGGACACAGCCGGGGCCTTGCTTCCAGTCTCAGAGAATGGGGCAGGTTCCCACAACTCAGCACATGGGTGGCTCCTCCCCGGTGCCCAGGTCACAAGAAAGACCCGCCTCTACCTTTCGGGCTCCCTGTTGAGAATGGGACACCAGCACTCCTACTTTCCCAGTGTTCCTGAGACCATGGTGTTGTCTTTTGTTTATTGTGGAGTGTTTTTGCCATCTTCAGACAGGTCTTTGACATAGCAACTTATCGGACATTTGATTCTGTGATTGTGAAAATTAATTGATTAATTAGTCATAAGTAAAAAATTAAACAATACATTGAATCAGAAAAAAGGAGGGCCAGATGAAGAGCTTAAAAGGAATCTGAGTATCTTAAAAAGACGTATTCCTTTCAAACAAGAACAGTTAGAGTCACGGATTTTTTAACAAATGACTTTTTAGCAGCAATGATGAAATAGTAAATGACAACTTCAAATAGGCTACCACATATGGAAGTTTCTTGTCAAAGAATATCTTCAAGAATCATGTAAACACATTTTCAGATTAAAACAAACAAACAATGAACGTGGGTTTACCAGCAGACCCGCTCAATGGAAAATTTCTCAAATCTGTGACTGAGTCAAAAGTACATTTGTCCCTGATGGAAAGCTAGAGGTTTTATTTGTTTCTGTATTTATTTTTGATCCTTAGAAGAAAACAGCTTTCTCTCCATTCAGTTCCACCTCATGCTGTTGAGGATGACCATGGGGGCAGTGACTGTGAGGAAGGAGGAAGGCTGTGCTCTCAGGGTGGTCGTGCCTCCTGTCCACCTGAGTGACCTCATGGAGCAGAGCCACCCACACCACCAAGGCCACGTGCCTGCCTCTGCACTGCCATGGCACAGACACAGAAACCTTGTCACATTTAGTCCACCATATTTTGAGGTTTCTTTGTAATAAATTTAATTATGCTCTGATTCTCCTTGTGTCTCTCTCCTTTCAGATTTGGAATCATTTACTTTTCACCATTTTGACTTGAGAATATAGACCTTTGGGATATCAGCATCAGGTAGGTTGTACATTTGTTTGCTTTTCCTAAGAATATATCTAACCGCCTTGAATGGGTTTTGATTTTATCTTCTGTCTCACAGAAAAGCAGAAACTCAAGGTGACTAGGTGCTGTCAATCACAGGAGGGCTAACGTGACAACGGAATTGCTGTATCTCCTGCTGTTGCTACTTACATCTTATTTTCTTTTACTGCGTTCTGTAATAACATTTAGGCTCAAAGAAACATTAATTAGTATTTTTGAATAACATATTAAGTGCTTATGTTTCTTAATTTGAGGGCTATGGTCTACTAAACATCTATATACATTTTGCCATGCAACTTTTCAACCCAACAGAAATGACACATGGGAATTTTAATTGCACTTCCTGTGGAATCCGTTATCTTGACATAAATCATCTCAAGTATAATTTAAGCTGTTAGCCTGCATCAGATTCAATGAGCCTTTTGTGTCTCTACACAGTGTTTTCACATGTAAAAGACATCACTCATTACTCGGGTTCATGTAAATTTATTTGGCAGAACAATCAGATCACGGAAGCAGGCAAGTGGTAACACAAGTGAAATACATGTTAGAAACGACTGGTTTGGGGATAGTTTTATACATGGTAACAGGTGGTCATATTGGGAAATTGCTGTCTTCCCACTTTCCAAACTTGCTCCTTTACCACTCACACGAAACTGCCCTCTCTAGTATTATGGTGAAGAAAGCACTATTGCTTTTTTAACGGAAAGCATTTGTTAGGTTTAAAAGTTCCATGGCAAAATGTATACAGATATGTATCAGACCGCAGCCCTCATATTAAGAAAGCATATAAATTTAGAACATTATTGTCAATAGAATCTATTTATTTATTTATTATTTTAATTTTAATTTTATTATTATTATACTTTAAGTTTTAGGGTACATGTGTACAATGTGCAGGTTTGTTACATATGTATACATGTGCCATGTTGGTGTGCTGCACCCATTAAGACACATGCACACGTATGTTTATTACGGCGCTATTCACAATAGCAAAGACTTGGAACCAACCCAAATGTCCAACAAAGATAGACTGGATAAAGAAAATGTGGCACATATACACCATGGAATACTATGCAGCCATAAAAAATGAAGAGTTCATGTCCTTTGTAGGGACATGGATGAAGCTGGAAACCATCATTCTCAGCAAACTCTGGCAAGGACAAAAAACCAAACACCGCATGCTCTCACTCATAGGTGGGAATTGAACAATGAGAACACATGGACACAGGGTGGGGCACATCACACTCCGGGGACTGTTGTGGGGTGGGGGGAGGGATGAAGGATGGCATTAGGAGACATACCTAATGCTAAATGACGAGTTAATAGAATCTATTAAGGGCATAATTTTTCTATGCATTTACAACTAAAATAGACGATTCAGATTTATTTTCAGGAAAAAAATAGGGTCATGTAAAAATAATGCATTTATTCATTCTTCGAATGATTTTCTTATGACAACATAGTACTAGATATTTCCTCTCTAAAGTACTATGTCAGTAAAATACTTTTAAAATTCTAAGAATTTGAGAAGAAAATAAAAATCTCATGCAATTCTGCATTGTTCCTGTGATATGTTATATAAACTTTATGTTTTCCTCCTGAGTTATTTTGTTTATTTTCAAATCCCACTTTTGGAATTGTAAGAACTCCATTTTCAGTCAGCAAAAGGTAATTGAGGTAAATCAAACTATTTCGGGATTAGGATTTATATTTCCCCTGGATTTTAAAAATCTATAAGTAGTAAAAAACAATCAGACATTATAACTAATTATTCTTAGCCATACTCCCGTGAAAATAGCTGGTGCAGAATGCTTTCTCCACCATAGTACTAGGGAGGGCAGGTTCGTGTGAGTGGTAAAGGAGAGAGAAAGTTTGGAAAGTGGGAAGATAGCAATTTCTCAACATGAACAACTGTTACCATGTATAAAACTATCCCCAGACCAGTCGTTTGCAACATGTTTTTCACTTCTGTTACCACTAATCTGCATCCATGATCTGATTGTTCTGCAAATAAATGGACTCAACAAATGTGGGCCAGACAAGGAGGGTGAAGATGAGCTTCATTCACTCTTCCTTCATCAGAGCTGGCTGTTCCCAGAGCAGGTGGCTACATGTGGCAGCTGATGGAGCCTTAACATGTGGGACTGAGGTGCAGCTGAGGCTTTCATGGGCCAGAGTCCTCAGCAGCAAACTCTGTCCTGAATTCTCCAACAGCCTCCTCTTCTGCAGACTGAGAGACCCTGCTGAGCTGCTCCCCAGACAAGCAGTGCATGTGAGCAGCTGGGACACCCCAGAAGGGAGGTTTCTCTATGGGGCTGTACCACTGTGGGAGGAAGCTGCAGAGCCTGCATGCAGTAATAAACCCCAACATCTTCAGCTCCACCCGGCTGATTTTCAGTGTGAAATCAGTGCCTGACCCACTGCCATTGAACCTGTCTGGGACTCCAGAGGCCCGGTTTGAAACAAAATAGATCAGGAGCTGTGGAGACTGGCCTGGCTTCTGCAGGAACCAATACGAATAGGTGTATCCATCACTGGACAAGAGGCTCTGACTAGACCTACAGGATATGGGGGTGGCTCTCTAGAGGCGACAGGCCAGGAGAGTGGAGTCTGGGCCATCACAGTATCACCACTGGATCCTGAAATAATAACAGAGAAGTGCAAGTTTGTATAGACACATTATGAGCAGCTTTCATGATTTCTCTATGATACTGATTTACAGTTACATATATTTTCAAGTTTTGATTTATATCATGGAAAGTAGACTTTCTAAAATGAACCCATTATTTACCAGCCAGCAGGGAACTCTTTATTTTCAAGATCTTAATCAGAGGTCATTGTTCCTTGGAGGTGAATCCTGATTATTCTTAAGACAAAAATATGAATTCTCTTTCCTGGAGCATAGACCATGTGCCTCTAACACATGGTTGAAATAAATATGGGAAGCTATGGAGCTCCCAGAACTCACCTTCCAACCCCATTTTCCCACCTCATATTTTTTCTATCTTGAGCATTAGCCGCCCCAGGAGCTGAGCAGGGAGCCTCATTGTGAGATGGACTGAGGAGTCCTGATCTGTCGAGGCAAGGTTAGAGCTGAGCTTTTACCTCAGACTCACAAGGGAAGGTCCTCCCCTAGGGTGCAATATGCAAATCACCTGGTGGGTGCAGCAGTGTGGAAAGGGTCAGTGGTGGAGGGGGTATGTCTCTACTGTGAACAATGTGACATAAAATGTTCAATGGAGCAAAACAAACATAGTTCAAGTCAAGTATGCCTGTAGCAGTTGAGGATGGGACACACTAGGGTCTCCTCCCAGTGATGTGACTGAGCATCCCTGCAGCCATGACGACAGCAGGAAACCTTAGCGGCTGGTCCAGTGAGGATGTGGCAGCCAACACTGGAGGGTCTGTAGGGCTTGAGCACCCCAAGGAGTTAGGAAGGAAGAGGCTCTGGAAGGTGCCCTGGAGAGACCTGGCCCCTGTTCACACAGAAGAGGAGCATGTACCTGTGACTGAGGCCTCATGTCCTCTTCCTCAAAGACTCTCCAGGCAACTGCCTGAGCCCACCTGACTCGACTCTCTGTGGACACATCCCCTGGCACCGCAGCCTCTCCTTCCACGCTGAGAGGCGGAGCTTCCTTGAGAGCTTTATGTTTGGGGCCATCACACTGTGCAGGGTCCCAGTGAGTGTTCTGCTCACAGGAGGATGTGCAGCATCTCCAGGCTCCAAAGTAGTGTTTGTGATGGTGAAATCCCTAGAATTTTGGTTAGATGTGAGTCCCTGCTTGTGAATACCTTCTACAGACATGTCATTCTTTGTTTTGCAAGATATTTTCTATGAAGCATCCTTTCTTTGTTTTTGAACCTTTTTTTGGTTAGGAATGTAATTTAAATTGCACTACCTTTAGTCTCCACACTAGTGATTATGGGAGTGAGACCAGTAGATTTTGGGTTGGATGTGTGTTCTCACTCATGAATGGAAAACTACTCTAAAGACTTGTCATTCTTTGTACGTGTGACAAATTACTTGCTATATTTCATGATTTCCTTTTTTTTTGACATTTCTGCTTGGAAATACAATTTTAAATTCATTCACAATGGGATCCATCATCTTAGAATAGACAATAATTTCTGATGTGATTCATTTTTTTAACCAGAAAAAAAGATATTTTGTCCTTTTGATACGAACATTACTTTAATCATATCACCTCACGGCAGTAACAGACATGCTCTTGAATAATTCATAAATATTTTTGGAGCATTATTTTAAGTGACTATATGCAAATCATACATTTTTCTATACCATTACTGTTAGAATATGGAAATCAGATTTATTTTTAGGCAATGACCACATTGTGTAAAAATAATACATTTACTTATTTCAAAACCTTTTATTGTTTTTTATGACAACTTAATATCAAAATTGTCATTTATCAAAACCTGCTGGATTACGTCTTGCTGGGCCTTCTGCTCAGCATGTCAGTGCTTCTGACATCTCCCAGACCCAGACGGTGGTCTCTGCTAGACCTCCTCTAAGGATAGAATAAGTTTCAGAAGCTCTGCTTGGCTGCTGTGATTTCACTAAGACTGAGTGACATGACCTCAGGTCTCCTTGTACAGGGACTTCACTAACCCTTTGGTGATTACACACCTAAAGCCCTACTCACGACATTACTTTCCTGTGAGACTCCCAGTGGCACAGGCTCCGCCCAGGAAGCCACGCAGCAGTGCCTTCAACTCTGTGATTCTTCGCAAGAAACATATTTGGCTCCTTTGTGGGTCCACATCAACTGCCATCACCACCACCATCCACATCCCACCCACCGTAAACCAAGGGCAGTTTAATTGAACAATAGCCGACCTCTCCTGTACCCCTAAGGCCCCTATTCCTGCAGTCTGTCCAATCTTGAATTCTGAACTTTGGGAAATAAAAAAGTTTCCATCATCCTTTATTTTCCCAGTGATCCATGGAAAATACTACATCTTTAGTATACTACATCTTCCAGGATTTGCTTTTTATTTCTAAAACCAGCTTTTGGAGTTTCAAGAACTCCATTTTTCTATCAGTGAGAGATAATTGTAATTAAAAAAAGGTTCAGTATTAGTATCTTGTATCTGCTATGAAATTACAAAATCTATTTGACGCTCACTACCAAGATTTCACTGACTGTCCTCAGCCAGCTCCCTCTGAGGAGAACTAGTGGAGAATGCTGTCTCTCCTGTCTTACGGAGTGGGCAATGAGTGCTAAATAGAAGAAGCGGAAGTTAAAACAAACTAGGAAAATGCCAATTTTAAATATAACCAAATATTTTCTTGAAAATATGGCCGGGTGCGCTGGCTCATGCCGTAATGCCAGCACTCTGGTAGGCTAAGCCCAGTGGATCACTTGAGGTCAGGAGTTGGAGACCAGCCTGGCCAACATGGTGAAACCCCGTCTCTACTAATAATACAAAAATTAGCTGGGCATGTTGGCGAGAGCCTGTAATCTCAGCTACTTGAGAGATGAGGCAGGAGAATCGCTTGAAACTGGGAGGCAGAGGTTGCAGTGAGCTGCGATCATTGCTCCACTGCACTCCAGCCTGGGCGATAGAGGGAGACTCTGTCTCAAAAAAAATCTATATCAATCCATATCTATGTCTATGTCTATATTTATATCTATATCTCTATCTATATCTATCTATCTATCTATCTATCTATCTATCTATCTATCTATCTATCTATCCCAAACTGTTAAACCCTAAGATGTATTCAGTGTGTCTTGCCAGAAATGATCAATTGTCTGGCTGTTTTGCTGAATAAATTTAATAAACAACTGTAGGCAAGGAGGGAGGATGAAGATGAGCTTCCATTCTCCTTTCCCTTTCATCCTGATTTTTAACTCACAGGGCCCTAGAACCTCCTCATACCCCTGTTACTTATGACTGTCAAGGCTGTGTCAGGTGACAGGTACATCAGCAAGAGCGGGAATTGGGCCCGATGGCTCATGCCTCTAATCTCAGCACTTTGGGAGGCCGAATTGGGTGGATGACTTGAGCCCAGGATCTCAAGAGCAGCCTGGACAACATGGCGAAACCCCGTGACTACCAAAACTATATACAAAAATTAATCAGGCTTGGTGGCATGCCCCCTGTGATTCCAGCTACTCCGTAGGCTGTGGTAGGAAAATCACTTGAGCTTGGGATTTCACGGTTGCAATGAGCCATAATCACACCGCTGCACTTCATGCTGGGTAACAGAGTGAGACCCTGTCTTGAAAACATAAAGAAGTAAACAAACAGGTAGTGCTTGAGGTACAGCTGAGGATTCATGGCCCAGAGTCCTCAACAGCAAACCTGCCCCTGAGTTCTCCAACAGCCTCCCCTTTTGCAGACTCAGAGACCCTGCTGAGCTGCTCCCCAGACAAGCAGCACATGTGGGCAGCTGGGCAATCCCAGCAGAGAGGTTTCTGTTCCAGGATGTAGCACTGTGGGGGACCAGTGTGTAGCTTGCATGCAGTAATATAAACCCCAACATCCGCAGCCTCCACCGGGCTGATTTTCAGTGTGAAATCAATGCCCGACCCACTGCCACTGAACCTGTCTGGGACCCCAGAAAACCGGTTAGAAACCTTGCAGATTAGACACTGTGGAGGCTGGCCTGGCTTCTGCAGCTACCAATGTAAATAGGTGTTTCCATTACTATGCAGGAGGCTGCGACTAGACCTGCAGGAGATGGAGGCCGGCTCTCCGGGGGTGATGGACAGGGAGAGTGGAGTCTGGGTCAACAGAATGTCCCCACTAGATCCTGGAATGATGACAGAAAAGGGCAAAGTTATGTACAAATATTGTGCATCATGTTCATAATTTTCCATTTATTATTTCAGCCTGTATAATTTCTTTGCAATTTCAGGAATATCCAATTTCAAAAAGAACTCAACAGATGCAAGGCACAAAGTGGTCTCCCATACCATCATCCTCTTTCTAAGACTTGTGTTTCTTCAGGGCACATATCCTTCCTTCTAAAATCTTCCTCCCTCTCAGAGATCAGTACATCATATGCCTCATGCTGCAGAAAAAGACCTGCATATCTAACACGTGGACTGAACACACATGGGAGACATTGGGCCCCCAGAGCTCACCCTCCCACCCCATTCTCCTCCCTCATCTCCCTGCTGTCCTTACCGGGGACCCGGAGCATTAGCAGCCCCAGGAGCTGAGCAGGGAGCCTCATCGTGAGAAGGTGCCCTGAGGAGTCCTGATCAGTCAAGGCAAGGTTAGAGCTGAGCTTTTATCTCAGACTCACAATGGAAGGTCCTCCCTAGGGGACAATATGCAAATCCCCTGATGGGTGCAGTGGGGTGGAAAGAGCCAAGGGGATGGTGGGAGCCTCTCTTGAGGGCAAAATGACTTAAATATTGTCTCTGTTTAGAGAGAAACCAATAGAGATAAAATCTGTGCTGCATGAGTAGGATAAATTCCCTTTTCTCTTTGTCTTCTCTCTTAGATTTCTCGTTACTTAGAATTTCCCAGGTGCATTTCTCACTTCTCCTTAGCAAGGTTAAGATTCCGTAAACATATGATGATTCTTATTTTTAAATTCATATTGGATTCAGGGTGCAGGATTGGCTTCTTACACTTTTTAATTGATATAAAACACTCACAAAGGATGGAAATGTTAAATATGCAACTAAGTTTTACGTATGTTCGCCATCCAGATGAATCTCTAGAATATTTCAAATTCTCCAGATTCATCCCTTGTGCACCTTCCCAGGCATCAACTGCTCCCCCATCCCAATCAAGGTAACTGGTATTCAGATATTCATTATAATAATTTGGTTTTCCCTGTGCTACAATCTCATATAAATAGAAGTGAACACGTTTGTTTGGCTGTCTCTTGCTTCTTTCTTGTTTCTTTATTATTTTTGAAGTCTTCTTTTCTCGCTGTGCGTTCAAGCTACGATCTGCTGTGATTTCCTGTGATTTTTGAAGAATTTCCTCTTGAATTTTTTATAGAGCACATCTCTGCAAGTAATCATTTCTCTTCATTTTTTAATAAAGAAATGTTTTTACTTTACCTTTATTTTTGAAACATGTTTTAACTGGATATTGAACCCTTTGCTGAGTCCCCCGAACCTGGCATTTAAATATGTAATCCCGCTGTCTTCTAGCCTCTATCAGTCTTGTGAACAGTTAGCCAATTATTCTATTATTGTTTTTCTGGTAAAATGAGCCCGTTTTTTCTTGATACAATTGAGATTTTCTCTTTGTCTGGTTCAGCGTTTTAACTATAATATGTATAGTTGTAGTTTATCCTGAGTGGTTACACTATCTGTTAAATAATATAATAATTATATAATATGTATAGTTATATAATATGTATAGTTGTAGTTTATCCTGAATGGTTACACTACCATTTAGGATAATGCATGGCATTTATCCTGAATAAGTTTCATTATTTTTTCAGTGATTTTTGTCTTGATCTTATAGACCAACGTCTTTTATTACTCTTGATGTATTTGCCATTATTTCTCAGCACTCTCAAGTATGCCATCTCCCAGTGATCATTTCTGTGTGGTTTTTCTCTGCATTTCACTCCACTGTGTGGCTGTATATTGTTTTATGTCTTAGGCAATTTCCACAGCAGCCACAGGGCCAGGCTGCTGGTGCACTTGGAGTGACAGTGCAGTTGGAGTGTCAGCAAATCTGGGCATGGGCCTGGGCTGGTCCACATGGAGGTGGCTCGGTGTCTGAGTTGCCAGCCACGGATGAGGCCCTGGAGCCTGGGTTTAGGGCAATGAAGCCCCATCCTAGGCAGCACAGAAGGGGCTGCTTCTTGAGAGAGTGTGGGAGGAGGGTTTCACAGCATCTTCCTCTCTGGGGTGATATGATTATAGCTGCAGGTTACCTTAATGCCAAAAGCACCAGTGTCCTCTGGAGCAGGCTGCTGTAATCCTCAACAATGAATCCTAATGGGCATCCACTGGGAATGTTGTAGGGTCGGGGCTGCCTGGGGGTTTACTTAGGTCATTAGCTGCAAAGGCTGCAGCGTCCTCCACAGAGCAGGCCATGGGGAGTGCAGTGACCCTGCCTCCTGGCTGATAACAATTGCCTCCTGCTTCTTTCATTTTAGAGGTCTCAGGACTCTCAGGCATGCCGTCTTCTGGCGATGCTTTCTGTATGGTTATTCTGGGCGTTTTTTCTAATTGTGTTCCTGCACATTCTTAACTGGGCTCTTGAACACTCCAAGGGCTATTTTCCATCTTGGATAGCTGTCCCATTGTTGGTCTTGCTTTTGTTTTTGTGTTTGTATTTTTTGGGGTAGGCAGGCGAAGGCTGGTGTCTCCTAGTCAGTCATCTTGCTGATATCACTCCCCTAGGACATCATTTTGATGATGCGGTAACACTATCATGGAATAATACTTGGGCATGTTGAGGTAAGAATTAGAGTGTTCAGCATGTGGGAGGAACGTGAATTGCTTTGGTCACAGGGTGGACTGATGCCTGTTGTATTCTCCAACAAGGCTGTGACAAGATCTCCTATCCTACATTTTTTTCTAACAGGGTGATCTTGACTCTCCTCCCATTGAACCTACTGCCTTATGCTTCCTTCTGTTGAATTTTGGTAGGCATGCAACTGTGTAGAAGCAATGCTGTTTGTCTTCTGAGGCTATAAGAGGTCATCGAGGCTGCATAACTTCTGCCTGCTCCTCCTCTGGAAGTTTCAAGTAAACCAAGCAGCCACATGAATTGGCAAACAACTCCAGCTGAGAACCTTACGTCTAATGTCATCCACCTTTGAGATGACGCCTACCCTAGCCACTCACTGACTGCATCCTTAGGAAAGCCTGGCAGGAACCTTGTGGAGCCCAGGAAACATCCAGAACCATAGAGATGATAGGCAGTTGATTGCAGTTTTCATGTGTTATTAAGTTGGTGGGTAGTTTGTTTCGTGTGTATTAATAGTACCCAGAATACCAACTTACAGAAGGAATATGGAAGTAGAAAGTCAACTATTGATAGTAGATGAATCTGGGTCCAATTTATATTTCTTACAGTGTTTTTCCAACTTGTCACTGTTTGATATTATGGTAAAATAAAAAGTTATAAAGAGTATGTGCAAATGTACAAAAGGTTACTGAGAGAGAATCAAGGAGACTCAATAAGCGAAAGGTTTTACCATGTTCTTGTATTAGGAAACTTAATATTGTCAATATAATAACTCTCTCCAAATTAATTGAATACTGTGACAATCAAAATCCTGTGAATTTTGTTGAAATTTAAAAGCTGTTTCTAACTTAGATGGGCATTCGAAGAGGCAGAAAACAACAACAACAACAAAAAAAAAACAAAAAAACAACCATGGTAATCTTACATAATAAGAACAAGATTGGAAGATTAACACTTCCCAGTATTGAAGCTTATATTAAGCAACAGGAATGAAAACAGTATGGTATCGGTGAAGGCTGAGACAGATAACCCTGTGCAATGAGTCAGAGAATCTAAAACCAGATCTGCATGTATATATAGTCACTCAATTTACAATAAAAGTGCTACAGCAATTGTCTCAAACCATTTGTACAAAAAAAAATAAACACTTTAGATTGGATAATTACAAACAACATAAATTTATTTTTTTCATGGTTATAAAGGCTGTGAATTCCAAGGTCAACATGCTGGCAATCTCAGTGTCTGGTGAGGACTGTTCCTGCTTCCAAGATTGCACCCTGTGGCTGTGTTGTCACATGTTGGAGGTGGAAAGGCAAAAGTGGCAAGTCTGTGTAAAGCCACCTTATTAGACAGGAATCTCACTCACCAGTGCTGAGCCCTCATGACCTAATCACCTCCCAAAGGGTCTACTTTCTAATACTGTTGCCTTGAGATTCAGTTTTAACAGGAACTTTGGAGGTGACGCAGACATTCAGGCCATAGCAGTGATGTAGTAGAAAAAAATTCTAATAACTGAATTATATTGGATCAATTAGATATCCATATTACATCAAAATAAATCTTAACCTCTTCATTTTACTTCTACACTGATACAAATATCAACTCTAAATTAGAAACTGAAATGTGAAAGGCAAAAGAAGAAAGCTTTTAGAAAATAGTATAAAAAGATATTTCATGAATATGCATGTAGGAAAGATTTCTTGAAGAGAATATGCAAAGCACTAAGCATGAAAGAAAAGACTAATAAATTAGTTTGCATTAACATATTTTTGTAGCTTTAAAGAAATAAATGACAAAATGTTATTTGATACATACATATAAAAGAAATAAACTGCATTAGGAGATAGGAATGTGCGATTGTGGATAACCTCAAATGAGATATAAGTTATTGCCCCAACTTGCATTTTGTGAGTTAGAGTCACAGGAGCTTATCACATTGCTACTAATCACCAAATGAATGACTGAGTTTCGAATAAATAAACAACAAATAGCCATAGATGAAACTGCGTCATGATCAAGACGTTATAATTAACAGATTATCATTGTTGAGTATTATTAATTGAAATAAACAAATGTAATTGCTTGATTTTTAAAAGATTAGAGAGAAAAAAACAAAATTAAATACCCTGCCAATTTTCAAAGAAAATTTCTACAAAATATTTTATGTAATCAATAGAATGAAGAAAAAATATCAGGACCCGGATGAAAATGGAACGAACATATTTCTTCATACTCATTTCACTCAGATGTAACGAGTGAAAAGGTAATCTATCAACACTGCTGATACATGAGAAAATAAAAATCTAAATGTACTTGTTTAAAAAAGCAACTAAGGGGCGGGACCATAGCAACCAGAACTGGCCCTGCCAATGAGCAAATAAGTAATATAAAAGTTGGAAGAACAGTCTCAGTTCATGAAGTAGAGGTATATGAGATTAAATAAAGAAAAGAAAGAGTGAAACAGACAGAAAAACAGGATTGAAAGTCAAGCCCAATAAGGAAATATTTCCCTATATACTAGTCATTAGAACAGGGGTGATAAAGAGAAACATAATTTAAAATATTTATGCCTCTGTTATATATTCATGAGTGCAAATTTAACAGACTCGGAAATCTAGGCAAAATTAGGTAGCAAACACACAGGTGATTTTTACATGTTAAAAAATCAGGATCCAATAAAAAACCAAAATCTAAGGGAGGTTCTTTCTTCAGAGATAAAAATCAGGCTTGCTTCAGCAATGTAGTTTACAAACTCTGTTCCCAGAGAACAATGTAGTGATAGCTACATAACCACAAAAAGTCATTATGCCCATGCTTGCGAACTAAGGAAATGATCAAATATGAAGGAAATGTGCAATTTTGAAAATACACACCAACATAAATTTCATGACCATGTAAAAAAATAGAAAATCTTGAAAGATTTATTTTGATTCATCAAGAGTTTAAGCAGCATGCTCCAGTAAAGGAAGCTGTGCCTTGTGATTTTAAAAGGCTGTTGGTGGCTGGGAGCAGTGGCTCACACCTGTAATCCCAGCACTTTGGGAGGCCAAGGCAGGTGCATCACTTGAGGCCAGGAGTTTGAGACCAGCCTGGCCAACATGGTGAAATCCCGTCTCTACTAAAAATACAAAAATTAGCCGGTCTTGGTGGTGGGTGCCTGTAGTCCCAGCTACTTAGGAGGCTGAGGCAGGAGAATCGTTTGAACCCAGGAGGTCAAGGTTGCAGTGAGCCAAGATGGTGCCACTGTGCTCCAGCCTGGGAGACAGAGCAAGACTCCATCTCAAGAATAAAAATAAAAATAATAAATAAAAAAATAAAAATAAAAGGCTGTTAGTAAAACCTTTGGGTTTGGTAAACACATTGAAGTGCTGGCAGGTGGCTGCCTAGAGAGGACATGGAAGCTTTGCACCATCTCACCCCGTCTCAACCTACCCCGTCATCTTGCCATATGCATCTCTTCAGTTAGGCACTTCCTGAGTTGCATGCTTTATAACAAACCAGGAAATGTAACAAACAAAACAAAACAAAACAATCTTGCTGGAAGGAATCTTGCTTGATTAGTAGAAATGATTAAACCAAGAATCTAAGTCAGTTGAAAATTCACTTACAAATGCAAGTCACTGTATAGGAATAATTCTTGAAATATAAGGTATGTAATATGATACCACATAATTATAATCTAAAAAATCTAAATAAGAATGATAACATTCCTTATGCAAAAACATAAAGCAGAGTCAGGGTGAAGACAATAAAAGGAGCAGTTTTGCTGTTACGCTAATTAAGTATATGGTGAAAATTAATCACCAATTTTTTCTTGACTTTGGAAATACAGAATTGTAGATTCATGTAGGCTTAATAAAATTAAAGTATGCATATATCATTTTCTTCGTGATTATCTTTAAAGGAAAATTTAAGACAAATAAAATAAACTATATTAAAATATGAGTAAAACAAAAACACAAAGTGTGAAAACAAAATCATAAAAAACACCACAGTGGCATTAATACCAACACTTCTGGATTCCACACTGTTGTGAAGGCCTGAGTAAAACCTGTATTCACTCCCCAAGGGAAGAGAATCCATGTTAAATCAGGACAACTGAAGCACTAATATTCTCTTAACAAAACTCCTCTCATCAGACTAACCACTGACCAGATGTTCAGGAGGGACTAATTGCTCTCTCTCCCCCATGATAAAAAATGCTGTCTGACAGCAGAACAGTTGGCGGAAAATAAAATGCAAATATTTTAAACTCAATTTGTGAAGGGCAGTAAATAAATATCTCACAAGACATGGTAAGGATGTTAAGGGCTTCCACCCTGGTCTTGGGGTCCCAACCTGGTTCCATCTCCCTGGATCTGGAACTCATTTCACTGTCACCATCAACACCATGGAGGCTGAGGAGGCTGCAACGTCTTCCTCTCAGCAGGAGGATGAGTTTCCTGAAACAGAGACACAGGCCTGAAGGCAACTTCCTGTGTTTACTTTAAGACTGTAGATGCGCGTGCAAAACGTATTTTCTTTGCATTTTGATCCTTCGTATATTTTCCCTTTGTTTTGGTTAGAACTCACTCACAGTGGTTGTTTATTAATAAAATATTTTTTCCTGTTATATGAGATTCATGGGATTTATTCAACCAGGCATAAAAAAAAATCTGCCTTCTTGAGGTTCTTCTACTTTATGTGAGGAGTTTCGACAGCCAATGAAACAGTTAACTAGTAAAAGGAGTAGACATTAGTGTCCCAGTAACTTCAAATTGGGGGTTCTTGTCCAGAAGTTTAGGAGCCCAGAAACCTAAAGATAGGCACACAGCATAAAGACAAGGCATTCCTTCTCAATTTCTTGTTCCTCCCACAGGAAGTTCTCATTTTTCCTTATTCAGCTCCCCATTTTAATTTTGTTTTGTTTTTCCTAGCTTGTGTCTTGAGCAAATTCCTCCTTCTGTGACCCAACTTCCCCGTGTGGTTCTCAGCCTGTACCGTCCTCTCAATAACTCTGGGAGTGAGTTGGCATCTACAAGGCAGAAATTGGAGACCCTCATTTATGAAGAGCGGGAAAAATTAAAAGAGTAATGAATGAGCGTCTCTGAGCTACCTCAGATTTATTTTTTACACCCTCAAATATTTCAGCTGTTCTCAATACTCATTCACTAAGAGATTCTTTCTTCTTATTACACAGGCTAATGTTACGGCCACTTTGGGAAACGGTCTGGCAGTTTCTCAAATGGTAAAACATGCAATTGCCATATAATCCAGCAATTCCACTTATAGGATTATACACCCCCAAATGAAAACGTTTGTCTACACAAAAAAGTGTATGAATGCCCGTAGCAGTGATACTCAAAGAGACAAAAACTAGAAAAAAACCAAATATCCATTAACTGATACATGGAAAAGCAAAATATGGTATGTATATGCAATAGAATATTATTAGGTCATAAAAAGAAATTAAGTACTCACAGACATGACAACATAGAAATACTCGGCATACCTTTTGGTCGGTGAACTAAGCCAGTCACAAAAGACTACATGTAGTCTGAATGTATTTATGAGAAATGTCCACAAGAGGCAAATTTTAAAAATGTAGAAAGTAGACTCTTGTTTGCCTGAGGAGTTGGGCAAAATCCAAGTGACTTCTAATAGGCACAGGGTTTCTTAAGGCTGATGGAAACGTTCTGTAAGTGATTCATGTTATAAACCCCGAATATCTGAGACAAGTCTCAGTTAATTTAGAAAGTTTTTTTTTCCCAAGGTTAAGGAAATGAGCCTGTGACACAACCTCTGGTCCTAATGACATGTACCCAAGGTAGTTGAGGCACAGCTTGGTTTTACACATTATAGGGAGACATGAGACGTCAGTCAATATATGTAAGATGTATATTGGTTCCGTCCAGAAAGGCGGGACAACTCAAGCAGGGAAGGGGCTTCCAGGTCAGAGGTAGGTAAGACAAACAGTTGCATTCTTTTGAATTTCTGATTAGCGCTTCCAAAGAGGCAATAAGATATGAATTAATCTCAGTGAGCAGAGGGATGATTTGAATAGAATGGGAGGCAGATTGGCCCTAAGAATTTCCCAGCTTGACTAATCCCTTCAGCTTAGTGATTTTTGGGCCCCATGGTTATTTTCCTTTCACAATGTGATTATTGCATAACTCTGTGAATATACTAACACAATTAAATTGTTCAATTTAAATTGAGGAAACATATGGTGTATCAATTATATCACCAGAAAGAGGCTCATTTTAACCGTAAGATTCTAAGAGCAAAGAGAAGTTGGGCAAGAAACATGAAGACTGTATGCAAAAGATCTATTTATTGGGTGTGCCTGGGACCCATTGTTCTGAGAAAAGGTTTGCAAATATTGATATGATCCAACTTTAGAACTAGTGACTGACAGGTTTGTCTTTAAATGGGGTCACCAGAATTCTCCGTGAGGCTCTTCTTCAAGGTGAATGACGATGAACAACTCTCATCACGTATCTACTTGAATTTTACTCATCTCATTTCTATGAATGATATAGCAAGTAGGAAAAAGACTATGTTTTAGTTTCACCTTTCAATGAGTAAAATTGCCAGAGGCTTCAGTGCAGTCTTGGGGGTAGAAAATACTTTGAAGCAAATTGTTCTTGTTCTGTGAATATTACCTAATTTGTTTCATAAATTTAGAGGCACTAAGAATCATTGTTAAGTACGATTCATTTTCAGTACATAGGAATTTCAATTTTTTGCAGTACCAGAAAGACAGGGTGGTGATTCATGTGTCCCTGAGGTCATTTAGACTTTGTGAAACTTGTACGTGGAACCTCTTATATGTGGTGAGATGGACTTATACCTAACATGTGAAAATGAATCTATGATATTATGAAATATAATTTGATGAGATCTTTAAAAAATTCATTTGAAGTTGATTAGTTGAAATGACATTATGCTTTTATAGATTAATTTATTTAATATTTTTGTAGGGTAAATCCCACATATAAAAAACATAACATATTCATAGTATGTACATTTACAAGTCATAAGTGCACAACTTAATGACTTTTCAGACTGAACACACATGGGTGACCACCAAACATACCATGAAACAGAACATCGGCAGTCCACAATTACCCATCTCCCTTCTTATAGTCCTGGCCAGAGAGCCCTAAATTCACACTGGTGCCCTGTGCCCTCCTTTGAAACCATTCCACTCTCAAGACCCTGGCATGCTAGGCCTGTGATGGGAGTGGTAGCCTGATAAATCTCCTAAATGCCTTCAGGGACATTCTTCATTGTCTTGATGAATAGTATCTGGCATCCTTACATGCCCACTATTTTCTGTATCAAAAGTTCACTTGGCCACATCCTTGGTTGTACTCCCTCAAAAAAGCTTTTTCATTCTTCACGATCTGGCGAGACTGAGAAATTTTCCAGTCTTTAAGTTCTGCTTTCCTTTTGATTTTCTTTAATTCATATCTCTCTTGTCACCTTTTATGGTAAGCAGTCAAGAGAAGCCGTGTTGCACCCTCAACACTTTGCTTAGAGATTTATTCTGCCAAACATTCCATTTCATCACTCTTAGGTTCTGCCTTCTACAAAACACTGGGACACAAACACAATTCTGCCAAGTTCTTTACCACTTTATGACAAGAAATGTCTTTCCCCTACTTTCCAGTAGCGTGTTCCTCATTCACCTCTATTCCCCAAAGTAATGCCCTTTATTGTCCATATTTCTGCCAACATTCTCTTCTCATCCATTAGACAGTCTCTAAGGAGACTGAGGCTTTCTCTACAGCTCTGCTCTTCCTCTAAGCCCTCACCAGAGTCACCCTTTGTGGTCTGTTCGTGGCAATACAGGCTTTGCCAGCGCACACTTCCAAACTCTTCCATCATCTACCCATAGCCACTTCCACATTTTAGGAGTTGTGACAGCAGCACCACACTTCTTAGTAGCAATTCCTGTCTTAGTCCATTCTTGCTGCTATAACAAAATACTTAGACTGGGAAATTTAAAAACGTTAGAATTTTATTTCTCATAGGTCTGGAGATGGAAGTTCAATATCAAGGCACTAGAATATTTGGTGTCTGGTGAGGGCCTATTCCTTGTAGATGCTCCCTTCTCTGCATCCTCACATGGAAGAAATGTAAAAAATAATCTAGCAGGCTTTTTTGTGCACTTTGATAAGGGTGCTCATCTCATTTATAAGGGGAGAATGAGATATTTCCTTGTTGCATGAGGCATGAGAAGTATATTTTTCAAGCATCCACACCTGTGAGTCTGATCAAATGTTGTTGGCAATAAAATTGTTCTGAAACCTGGCTGTGCAGCTGAGTCTGAGGAAAAAATCAAGAATCACAATAAAATGTTTGCGGCAATTTACTCCTTACGACTTCCAAATTTTCAAAGAGAGGTAATAATGTTAAAAACCCAGGGGTCACCAAAGCAGTTGTCCACAAAAGCAGCAGCTGGCTTGATCAAAAGAAAAAAAAAATACCTATGGTGTTTGGAAAGGTTTTGTTTCATGCTGAATGAACGTTGTGGGACACACACTGCTATACTGATAAAGTGATAAAGTGCCAAATCTTCAGGCTCCGGCTTGCTGATGGTTCTCCCATGGAGGACCTACTTCCCCATGTCTTGGATCTAGGCTGGGCTCTGGCCTTGTTTTGGCCAGTAGAATGTGGTAAAAGGAAGTCTGTGCCCAAGAGCTCAGACCTTGCAGCTTTCACCTCCCGCTTGGAGTGTAAACTCATCTAACCTATTAGTAGAGGTCACAGAGTGGAGACCCAGGTGCCAAGCAACCACCAGCACCAATGGCTAAATGTAGGTAAAGCGGTTAGTGACATAAAGAGACATTGGGGGATGGTGAGCAGTGGAAATGGTCAGTAGGAAGAAGTATTTCATCTGATATTTATCTGATATTGTTCAGAATTGCCCATGCGTGTTTCTAACAAGAAGCACTTTTTAAAAAAAAAAGACCTTTTTTTGGTGGCAAGACACATTTTTTTTGTCTTAAAATCTTATAGACAGAGACTCTGTGGTCCTCAGGGTGGCTGATAACAGATTCACGGCTGTGGACACCTCTGCCTCCTGGTTAGCCCTGGACACCTGTGCCTCAGTTTCCTACTGAGAGTTAGGCAAAACACCTCACCACGTCACAATGTAATTTCCAAAACTCACTGAGGTCATTATCGCTGTGTCCAGGGTTAAGGCCCCTGCATGGTCTGCAGTGGGAAATGTACTCACCTTGAAAGCCCAGCACCAGGAGGCAGACGAGCAGGGCCAGGAAGCGCATCTTGGAGGGTCCAGGAAAACTGCTGCTTCTGGATCTAAGGGCGAGGAGAATGTGGTTGGGCTGGTCATTCAAGTCTGGGTTTCTCCAGAAGCGGGGCCCAATAAGCACAGGTTTCCTTGGAGTCGATTTGCATGTCTGATGACCTGAACCAGAGCCCTTATCCAGGGCTTCCCAGGGCAGGCAGGCTCATTCTACCTTCAGCTGCCAGGAGGTGGTGGAGGTGATGTTGTGCCTCAGGCCTCATAGTGACTGAGGCTGGGCAGAGCGGGGCCAGTGATGCTGCTCTGTTCACAGGGCTCCTCCCCAGGGGCTGGGACAGAGGTCACCCAAGAACCAGACAGATGTCTGCAGAGAGGACACTGAGCATTCTATTTTTATGGAGATGAGGCTTGTTCTACTTTATGTTCTAAGTAGATGCCAAGTTAAAAGTTGCTCTGAGCCCAGATAAGGCAGAGATCCTAGGAGCCCTCAGCTCTCCTGTGTTCATAGGGAAGCCTCTGGGCTCCGCTGGCCTGCTCTATCACAAGAATCTGTTAGGATATGGATGCAAGAAGTGGGTGGGAAGTGAGTCTCCCTAACAGCTGTCAGCAGTAGCTGAGGCCAGGGGAGGGGCAGATGAGCCAACATTTGATTCTTCTGTCCCAATTTCTAGAGATGATTGGGTATTATATTCCTAAATTAGGGATTTCTCCCATCTACTGTGTCAAAATATGACTAGCAAATGGATTCTTATATACTTTGCAAAACATTTCAAAATGTCTCACGGACTCAACTAAGAAAAAAGGAGACAAAATTATAGACATAGTCATTTCTTTACTTTGGACAATTTTGTCACCTCATTCAGCCCACACCAAATATACTTCCCTAGTCAGTAAAAAGGAGCAAGTGGGAGGCCAAGGTGGAGCTTATCTGAGTCAGGGGCTACCAATCCCTCCATGAGAGCTGAAAACAATCCGAGGTCAAGAGACTCACAGCCCATGACTATGCTCCGTAGAGGCAGCTTCTCCCAGATGGCTGAGGGCTGTCTGTGGCTGTATCTGTTCTCATACATGACAATGAGGGATAGAGCAGGTCTCTATGAAATCCTGAGCAAGGCCATCCTTGTTGTGCCCCTCTGACCTGGACATAGGTGGCACTGGATTCACTTAGAGAAGTAAAGTGACTTGTAATCATGAGAAAAACGAAAAGAAAGGGAGATGGGGAGAGAGCCTGTGGTGTGTGTATGAACAGAAAGAGTTGGTATTTTAATAGTTTAATACACTGAATATGGTCCCTAAGATGCCAGGTCCTCTTCCTTGGAACTTGTGAGTGTCTTTCTTACTATTTAGAGCACATTTGTAGATGTAAATTAAGGATATTGAGATGGAGAGATTATCTGGATTAACCAGGTGGGCCCTAAGTGCAATCACAAATATCCTTATAAGAGAAGCAGAGACAGATTTAACCAAACAGAAGAGAAGACAATGTGAACTCAGAGACAGAGACTGAAGGGAGGTGGCCACAGCCATGGAAACCTGCAGCCACCAGAAGCTGGAAGAGGCAGGGCAGCCTCCCCCTAGAGCCTCTGGAGGAGCCTGGCGGCTAACGCCCAGGTCTCGATGCAGTGAAACTGATTCCAAACTTCTGCCCTCCAGAACTAGGAAAGAATGCATTTCTGTTGTTTTAAGCCAACAAATTGTTGGCCATTTGTTACAGCAGTTCTAGCAAAATAACACAAAATGTGCTCTGGATTTTTCCAAAGTGCAATGGTTGTGTGCAATCTTCTTGTTCAACTTTCTAACGCTATACGTAAATGGATTGGTGGAGGATTTTATGGTGAAAAAAATGCACATGAAACCCATACCGCATAGTGAGGCACCTGTCGTAGAATAAATAATGATGACTTTTAGTTGAAAATGACATCTGGCAAGTAATATCTTACACAGCCTCTTAATTCTAGGAGATTCAGAGGTGCATAAAACAGAACACTGAGTACTTCTCGCTAAAAAGAACAGTTACATTTCATGGCATATCATCTGGTTAAACCCTCAGGACAGCCCTTGATATCTGTAGTGCTCCATTTCACAGATGAGAAAATCTATCATTAGAGGGCATGGGTGGTTTCACCAAAGTCTTATGGTCAGCAAGTGCTAGAGTGGGATTTGAATCCAGGTGTGTCTGACATCAAGTCTGTTCTATCCACAGATGGATCCCACAGCCTGTAAAATGGGAGAAGAGACATTTTCACAGGATGCTGTGAAATTCATAGGTCCCTGCCGCCTCTGCCCCATACCATGTGAACCCTAACATTAAGCTGAGCCTCTTCTGCAGTTTCTTCTATAAAATGCAACTTTCTCCAAGCTTTTACAACTCTGAACAGCTTTATTTCAGACGTGGAGGCAGAAGCACATCTTGCCTTGTCCTGACCCTTCCTCCCCTCTTCTACTCATTTCCATCTCTGACCCTGTCCTTCCCTCTCAGACTGTGTCACAGATCTAATTTGTTCTCCTACTATGAAACCCCAACCTCTCAGTAGCAGTGAAATCTGACCTCTAGGCTCTCACAGATACCCAGAATGTACAAAAGTTAATTGAAGGACTTACCCAGGAGGTTTTCTCCCTAAGAGGAATTCTGGTGCTAGCTCTCCTCATAGTAAACTATACTCTGTCTCTTGTCCAAATTGACTCCAAAGGCTGACAAGCTGGAAAGGGTTGGGAGATCAGAGAGAAACTATCCCCTCAGAAAGACAAATGCCATTCTCTCCCCATGTGTGAGTTTCCTGTAGCTGCTGTAAAAAAATCACCATATCCTTACTGGCTTCAAATAGCATGGGCTTATTCTCTTATGATTCTGGAAGGGAGCAATCTCACACAGGTCTCTCTGGGATAAAATCAAGCTTCCCTGTGGACACCATGGGGAAGAGCTTGTTTCCTTGCCTTCTCCAGCTTTTAAATGCTGCTGTCTCTCCTTCATCATGGCCTTTCCCTCACATCACTCAGCCTCTCCCTCCATAGTCACATCTCCCCAAATTTGACCTTCCTCCTTCCCTCTTATGAGGACAATAATGATTACAAGGAGCCCACGATATACTCCAAGATAGTCTTTCTATCTTAAGATGCTTCATCATATTTGTCAAGATCCTTTTGCCGTATAAGGCAACCTTCACTGGTTCCAGAGATTAGCACATGTAAACTTTTTAATGGGGATGGGAGAGGCAGAGTGCTTTACAGCCTACCAATCCCCCTTATCACCCCTCAACTGTCCTCCCCTAAGGAAGAATCCAGTGTCAGGTGGCTGGGAGAAGGAGAGATCAGGGAGCAGCCAACAGCTTTATAAAGTGAGAGCTGGAGGGATCTGAGTCAGGGCCCTCTGGTCTGGGGGTTTCCTGGGCTGGGGGATTCTTCTTCTGCTGCTGCTCTAATGCAGACATCAGAGTGTGGGGTATTTGTTAGAGGCTCCTCTGATTTTGTGACCCAGAAGAAAGGAATTGGTACTTAATCAGAATCTACGAGAGATTGGTAGAGGAAAATTAAATGTTTTTTTAAATTTTCTGAAGTTCTCTACTCACTATTGTAAGAGTTAAAGAAGGAAGAAAGAAACACGAAAAGTGGCTCAACAGTGAAAGACAGGTTTATTTTGGAGAATAAGCCTGAGAGGGGTGTCTGGTCGAGTTAGGTCAGGAGCACTCTCTCTTACAGACTAAGAATAGTTAAGGGTTCAGGGCAGGAGAGCTTATCACAGGCTTGGAATGTTTCTGTGTCTCTTTGTCTTGCCTATCTGGGAGGCAGAGTTTTTGTGTCTGTTCCCATGCATCTTCCTGCAGCTGCGGGCATACCCCCCAAGTCTGCTTTTAGCATCCCTTTCTTAGTGTACCAAAAGGGAAAGGAATGTGCTTATTAGGGCCCACCATTTTACTGGGGCCCAGTATATGAATGTGAAGTTTGGTGGTTACCAAGAAACTTTCCCTGCTCCTGTACCCAAGCTGTCTTATCTGTGTTTTACTGTCTTGGAGTGAGTTTGCATGTCTGATGACCTGAACCAGAGAAGTGATTTCCTTGAAATGCATGAGGTTAGAAAGGGAGCTGGAACTTTAGATGGTGGTGTTTGTCCAAGATGACGATGCTTCTGCTCTGTCAATTATAAAAGGAGAAGTGGCAAGAATTTGACAGCAGACACCACCACAATTGAGGATTTGCCTATAGTCTTAGGTTAAGTTTCTAACAACAAGGATTCTCATGGAAGTACCTTAATTACAAGCGGCAGGAAACCCTGAGACAGAAGGTGGAACGTGAGAGAGGGAAGAGATGATGGATGGTGAAAGGCCCATCAGCAAGCAGCTACCCATGAGGACCACTAGAGCTCGAGCCCAAGGGGAAACACAAGAAAACGTCTCTGGGCTATTCCACCTGAAAGGTGAGGGAGCTGGGGTATTTATATACCTCACCTTTTCTCACTGATTGAGGACTGTTCTAGGGGATGCTCATTTCAGGCCCTGAGGTCTGCCACATGTGCAGGCAGAGCTGCTTCCCCAACTCCAGCGACAGCAGTGAGGCACAGACATGGCCATGAGGGGTCAGCAGAAGTACAGTGAAGGGGAAAGCCTGCGAGTGAAGACAGACTGCACCATCCATGCAGAAAAGGTGTGGATGTAAAATCTGGATCATCCACTTGTGTTAGCTCTCTATGGAATAGGACCTTGACTGGTCAGTTATAAGCAGATGCCCTAGAAGATCAGACAAGTCTTCCAGGCAGAGCATCAACACCCATAAACCTGGGCTTCCCAGACATGTCTGAGGACCACATGATTGGCAATTATACCTTCTGTGGCAGATGCATTCTGGATTTATGTGGAGATCAAGAGAATCCTTTTTTTTCTAGTATTTGGATCTTTGCCCCCAAGCCTTTTAAAGGCTGTAGTTTAGATTCTCATTCTCTGTATTTAGAAAAAAAAAAATCCTACTTGGAATTCCAAGAGTGGCTTCTCCTTTGTGCTATTAATTCCAACTCACACAATAACTCAGACTCAGGTGTAATCATATCTTTTCCTAATAAAATCAGGAGAGGCATTGCCATGTCTGTGCTGCTGAGGATGCGGAGAAGGAAAGACTGTTAAGGTATAGAGGAAGCTTCATGGCTCCTTCTGCCAAAACTTTCCAGTGATGTCCAAAGCATGGCTGCAATTTGAAAAATGCTCTCTGCAGATGGAGGCACCAGGAGAAGCATCCGTGGCAGCCCACCCTCATACATCTGCTTCCCTTGATGGTTTATGTTATGACTTGTAACACTGTGGGAGTTACTGTTGACAGTAGTAAGTTGCAACATCATCAGGCTGCAGGCTGCTGATGGTTAGAGTGAAATCTGTCCCAGATTCACTACCACTGAACAGAGATGGAACCCCCGTTTGCAAACTGGATACCCTATATATCAGGAGCTTAGGAGCTTTCCCTGGTTTCTGCTGATACCAGGCTAACTGATTGGTAAAACTCTGACTCGCCCGGCAAGTGATGGTGACACTGTCTCCTACAGATGCAGACAGGGAGGATGGAGGCTGGGTCATCTGGATGGCACATCTGGCACCTGAGATTGGAAACATAAAAACAAATTTCCACACAATCAATCATGTTGTAAGAAGCCCTTCCTGAAGACCCAGACAGTACTGAGCACACTGGCTGAGTAAATTCCTAGTGTTCTCCTTCCTTACCTCAGAGCCAGAGCAGCAGGAGCCCCAGGAGCTGAGCGGGGACCCTCATGTCCATGCTGTGTCCTGACTGGGACTGACTTCTGCACAGAGTGTGACCAGTCAATTAAGAAGTCTTCAGGGCAGGGGCCTGTGCTGTAGGACATGCAAATCAGCAGGGGATGGGGCAGGCTGGGCACAGCTGCAGGGCTGGCTCATCTCAGTAACTCAGCACAGGGGAAGTGTCCCCAGGGTCCCAGGTCAGACCAGGGCAGCCCAGATTTGTCTGTAATGAAGCTGTTTTTTCCTGAAGGCCATTTTGTAATGAAGAACCTTTTCTTGATACTTGTCAAAATTTGAAATACTCCTGATTACTTGAGGGAGTAATGTATTCCATTGGTGTATGGCAATTACATAGGTGAATATTCTTCCCTTTCAGAAACACATAGTAAAGTTTTAGAAGGTGGGATCATGAGGTCTTCAATATACTCTGAAAGGGAGGGGGTGTAAAATTGTTCCTTCTTAAAAAAAAAAGAAAATTTATCAAGATAATGCTAAACATATTTGAAAATGTTTTGTAATGACCTTAAGCCATTCTCATTATTACTATAAGGTCAAGCAATTCACTGTAGGTACACAAAGATTATATTGTAAGTCCTCAAAGTATGTTTCACTCACAGATCCACCATAATGCAAGTAAGTAGACCTCTTTAATGCTGGGGATTTTATGGGTTGCATTTTATTTTTGGTGTGGGGACCTCCATATTCAACCCCCTTTTCTGTCATCGGGTATTATTTCCCAAGATTCCTCAACATGAAGGGCTGACTAGTGATGCCAGATCTGATTACTTCAAAATAAGACACTTAATTCTTCTTTCAATTTTAGGAGCCTGGATTAGGATAAACTTGAAATTATCCAAGGATCAATTATCTTAAAAGTATGAAGACCAAGATCATATCCCCTGGGTAATGCTCTGAGCTGCACTCCCCGCCAGCAGGTTCCTTGGGGCTCAGGTGCAGCTTCTCTGGAACCTGAATTCCTGGAGAGCAGGTGAGGGTGAGACCTTGGGAAAGACCAGGACATTGAAGCCTCTCTCTTATTGAGGGCAACTGCTACTTGGTGCATGTCCCTGCCTTGCACAATCAATGCCATTTTCCTCTTTTACTCTTTAGCAGTAAGTAGGGACATCACCGTAACTCAGATGCCAGCCTCCTGTCTCATATCCAGAAGAGAGAATGTCCATCTCCTAAGAAGCAAATGGCCAAGTACATGAAGAAATCACTTGGATCTGGATAAAACTGGACACAGATTTGTACACATTATATCACATCTCCAATGTGGTCCAGGGCATCTCAGCCTGGTTCAGCAGCAGAGGAAGTGGATTCAACTACATCAGCATCAGTGGGCTGCAGCCTGTGGTTCTGGGGCGTATTAATGATGCTTGAGTTAAGAATGGCCAAATTACTGTGGTGTAGCCTGTGCACACACCCTCATGCTGCCTATTCATAGGCTTGGGTTTTAAGGGAAATATCTTGTGTAGAGGGAAAAGTTTCTTTTGCCCTCTAAACGTTTGCTGAAAATATAGAAAAAAAGACAAATTATACTAGAAACAGGCAAATACATTTATTTTGCATGCTTGGAAAAAAATCACAGAAGAGGGATTACCCAGATAACTCAGTGAGGTCTAGGTGCTTATATATCCTTCACAGGGGAGAGGGAAGTGGGGAGTGTCGGCAACCTAGGGAGAGTAAATGACTCAAGAAAAGAAATGGATCCTCAAAAGAATACGTAAAACCCTGCCTGGATGAAGTCAACTTCAAATTTCTTCTGGATTTAATTTCTAGTGCATGTTAATATTCTCTGGTAGAAAAACATTCCCAGAGAGGGTTTTAATGACAATTGGCTTGTTTCTGGAGGATCTGCCTTTAGGAAGATAAGGGCGATTTAGGAAAAGCCCTTTTGTGCATTTGCTCTTTTCTAAACAACTTCAGTTTGAAGTAGTCGCCCTACCAATGTAGCTTATCTTGAGATGTTACTTCCCAGATTCCTTCAGTTGCAACTGACCTGCCAGGAAACACCATTCTAGAGGGATACAGCTCCAGGTGGAAAGTACAGGTGCTTTTTTCTAAATGGTTGGAGCAGTCCCTCTCTGCATCCCATGCCTTTCCCTTTCATTGCGATTCTGCTGATTCCCCATGGCCATCTCTGCCCCTCACTGCTCTCTCTGAGAAAGGCAGCTCTGCCTGCACGCATGGCAGACCACGGGGCTTAGAATGAGCCTTCCCTTGGATGGTGCCATGATTTCACTGTGTCCCCTCAAGTCTATCTGCTGTTAACTTAATCCCCAATGCAAGAGAATTGAGAGGTGGGGTCTAATGGGAAGTGTTCAATCATGAGGGCTCTGCCCTTATGAATGTATTAATGCTACTATAAACAGAGCTTGTGTTATGGATCCACAAGGTATTTGACTGACTTTGTGCAGCAAAACCGGTTATCCATACTGAGTTTGCAGCAGAAGACAGGAAGGCAGGGCAGCTAGCAAAGAGGACCAGGCATCTAATGCTTAAGTCTTGACCTCCCTTATGCCTTACAGGTAAGGGTTTTTAAAAGCAGGGGTAAACTTCAGTAAATCAGAAGTTATAGACAAAATTGTAAATCAATAAATACATAGATAGAGGTCATGTAAGATATTACTAGTCAGGTGTCAATTTCAAATCAAATTCTTCATCTTGGAGTACTTACCCAAAAAGCTGGTAGAGACCAGATTACCAGGAGAACCTCAGCCCGATGACATTGAAGTTAGCCAAATGTCAAAAATCTGTTAAGATCCTGATTTTAGAATTCACCAGCTCCTCAGAAGTTTGGTGAAATATGAGTTATTCAGACTACACTCAGATCAAGTTAGCAGCTAGTCTGGTGTGACAACCTGTTTTTAATCAATGACTCAAAGCTGTGATCACCCTGATGTCAAATCAAATTCTTCAATATTTATTCTACATCTAACAAGTACATCACTAAAGACAGTGAGGTTTCATGCACGTTGCTTCTGTTACCAGTGCATGGTGGCCAGGTTCTTGGCATTTTGAGCAAAGAATTGGACAAAATGCACAAACAAAGCAAGGAAGGGATTTATTGAAAATGAAAGTACACTCCACAGTGTGGGAGAGGGCCTGAGTATAGGGGCTCAAGGGCCCCATTACAGAATTTTTTGGGGTTTAAATACCCTCTAGAGGATTCCATTGGTTACTTGGTATATGCCCCATGTAAATGAAGAGGAGGGAGTAAAGTTACAAAGTCATTTACTTGGTGTAAGCCCTATGGAGAGAATATTTCCTATCATAGCTGAAGTGTGAATCGGCCGTATGTTCCCTGCCTCCAGACCCTATTTTCTTGCCTCATTTCCATCATAGAAACTTCTACCTATCTTTTGCTGCATAGCATGAGAAAGATAAGCAAGATGACAATTGACTATAACACTCTTGTTCTGGGTTGTCCTGGAGCCCCATTTGTGTTATTGTCAACTCTTGGTATCCTAAGACTATGGCCACAGGTCTGAGTTCTAAGTTCCTTCTCACACCCACAGCCTTTCCCAGGAATCACTTTGGCTTCCTTCGTGCTGGGACCCAACCTCTTGCCACCCTCCCTGGAATCCAGCACTAACTACTTGGAAGCTTTTCTAAGAACCATTATTAGTTCATTGATTTTCAGTAGGCTGGAATTTCAATGCTTTCCAGGACAAAAAAGAGAGTGGTGATTCATGTGTCCCTGGGGTCATTAAGATGTTGTGGAACTTGTGGTTACCCAAGAACCTCTTACATTGGATGAGATGGGCTTATATATGACATGTGAAAATGAACCCATATTATTACTAAATATAATTTGATGGGACTGCAGAAAAAAGTTCATTTGTGGTTAATTAGTTGAAATGAGATTATGCTTTATAGATTATTTAGTAAATTTTTGGTAGAGAAAATCTCACATATACATATACATCCACAAACCATAACACATATATTGTATGTACACTCACAAATCATATATGAACTATTTAATGAATTTTCAGCGTGAACACACCTGAATGACCACCAACCATACCATGAAACATAACATTGGCAGTCCCCAAGTACCCACCTCCCTTCTTATAGTCCTGGGCAGAGAGCCCCCAAATCACACAGGTACCCTGTGCCCTCCTTTGAAACTGTTCCACTCTCAAGACCCTGGCATGCTGGGCCTATGATGGGAGTGGCAGCCTGGTAAATTTTCTTCAGGATCATTCTTACATTGTCTTCATGAATAGCATCTGCAGTTCTTAAATCCCTATGATTCTCTTTATCAAATGTTCACTTGGCCACATCCTTGATGTTCTCCCTCAGACAAGCTTTTTCATTCTTTATAATCTGGCCAGGCTGAGAGATTTTCAAAACTTTAAGTTCTGCTTCCCTTTTAATTATAAATTGTGTCTTTAATTCATCTCTTTATTCTCACCTTTTATTGTAAGCAGTCAAGAGAAGCCATGCTGCTTAGAGATTTCTTCTGCCAAACGTCCCACTTCATCACTCTTAGGTTCTGCCTTCCACAAAACACTGGGACACAAACACAATTCTGCCAAATTCTTTACCACTTTATGACAAGAAATGTCTTTCCACTAGTTTCCAATAGCATGTTCCTCATTCCCCTCCATTCCTCAAAATAATGTCCTTTATTGTCCATATTTCTGCCAACATTCTCTTCGCAACCATTAGACAGTCTCTAAGGAGACTGAGGCTTTCTCTACAGCTCTGCTCTTCCTCTAAGCCCTCACCAGAGTCACCCTTTGTGGTCTGTTCGTGGCAATACAGGCTTTGACAGCGCACACTTCCAAACTCTTCCAGCCTCTACCCATAGCCATTTCTACATTAGGGGTTGTGTAGGGGTTGTGAGAGCAGCACCCCACTTCTCAGTAGCAATTCCTGTCTTAGCCAATTCTTGCTGCTATAGCAAAATACTTAGACTGGGTAATTTACAAACAATAGAATTTTATTTCTCATAGTTCTGGAGATGAGAAGTCCAAGATCAAGGTACTGGAATATTTGGTGTCTGGTGAGGGCCTATTCCTCATAGATGCTCCCTTCTCTGCAGCCTCAGGTGGAAGAAATGCAAAAAATAATCTAGCAAGCTTTCTTGTGCACTTTTATTAGGGCACTTCTCTCATTCACGAAGCGAGACCCCCTCATGAACTAATTATCTCTTGAAGGCCCAACTCTTAATATTGCTTTAAGGATTAAGTTTCAACATGAAATTTGGAAGAACACAAACATTCAGGTCATAACTACTTTCTCTGTAACATAATTTGCAATTTTCTCTGTACATAATCTTTTTATTTATGAATCATGATAGTTTTAATTCTTTCTTTTCACTTCTCATTTTTTTGTTTTTTTGTTGTTGTTGCCTTGTTGCATGAAGCATGAGAAGTATGTCTTTTTAAGCACTCACTCTTATGAGTCTGATCAAATGTTGTTGACAATAAAATTGGTCTAAAAGCCTGCTGTGCAACTAAGTCTGAGAAAAATTTGGGAATTAAAATAAAGGAATCAAAATTAAGAAACATTAAAATAAAATAAGTTCAGAGTAAATTACTCCTCAGAACTTCAAAGTTTCCAAATAAAGGCAAAGATACTACAACTGAGGGGCCACTAAAGCAGCTACTCATGAAGGAAGCAGCTTGTTTGAGGGAAAAAAAAGTACCTATGGTGTTTTGAAAGGTTTTGTTTTATGTTGAATAACTGTGAAATTCCAACTACTATACAGATAAGAGTAATCAAGTGCAAAATCTTCAGGTTCCAGGTTACTGTTGGTGAGAGTAAAGTACATCCCAGATTCACAGCTACTGAGCCCCACTGGGATGTCAGTGGCCCTGGTGAATGCACCATGCTTGAGCAGCTGGGGATCCTGCCCAGGTTTCTGCTGGTCAGTCAGAGCAGCCAGTGCTCTGAATGATCCTGCAGATGAGGGAGGCTCTTTGCCCTGGAGACAAAGACAGAGAGGTGGGAGATTGGTCAACGTAATTTCTCCAGTATTCTGACATTGGAATAAAACAAACAAGTCACCTATATAAGCTGCATCAAACCCAGTGTCTTCCCAGTACAGCCAGAATCACTGCTACACTGAATTTTAATTAGGATCCTTGCTCAGCAGTGGTGCCAGGTCAGAGGAACCCACAAGGTTGAGAGAGTTTCACTGATATGCAGCACCATTTCCTTCTCCCCTCACCATGTCCCCCTCATTTGACACCCAGAGTAACAAGAGACAGAGAGGCTGAGCTGGGGCTTCCGTGGTTCCCTATGGGTCCTAACTGAGCAGCTCTTCCCCTGAGCTCTTATCCAGGCATTGATAAGGGTTCTGATCAGCAGGGCAACCGGGAGGGACATGCAAAGCAGCTGGGGCAGGCACTGGGCTTCCAGCTGCAGAGACCACCTGCCTCCTCCTGTCTGCACTGAGCAGCCCCTGCCCAGGTGGTCAGGTCGGGAAAGGCCATTGGCTCAGCCTGAGGGTAGAGCTTCCCTGTGGCTACAGAATTTAATCCCTGTCCTCCTGCCTCACCAGTCACCTACACTCAGCCAGATGGTGTTTTGCACAAGCATGTTGAGCAGAGGTCCCCAATCTTTTTGGCACCAGGGATCAGTTTTGTGAAAGACTATTTTTCCACAAACTGGGGGGTGGGGATGGTTTCCAGATGATTCAAGTGCATTACATTTATTGTGCACTTTATATATTTATTTATTTATTTATTTATTTATTGCGGCAGAGTCTCGCTCTGTCGCCCAGACTGGAGTGCAGTGGCGCGATCTCGGCTCACTGCCAGCTCCGCCTCCCGGGTTCACGCCATTCTCCTGCCTCAGCCTCCCGAGTAGCTGAGTTCAGGTCATCAGACATGCAAATCGACTCCAGGGAAACCTGTGCTTATTGGGCCCCGCTTCTGGAGAAACCCAGACTTGAATGACCAGCCCAACCACATTCTCCTCGCCCTTAGATCCAGAAGCAGCAGTTTTCCTGGACCCTCCAAGATGCGCTTCCTGGCCCTGCTCGTCTGCCTCCTGGTGCTGGGCTTTCAAGGTGAGTACATTTCCCACTGCAGACCATGCAGGGGCCTTAACCCTGGACACAGCGATAATGACCTCAGTGAGTTTTGGAAATTACATTGTGACGTGGTGAGGTGTTTTGCCTAACTCTCAGTAGGAAACTGAGGCACAGGTGTCCAGGGCTAACCAGGAGGCAGAGGTGTCCACAGCCGTGAATCTGTTATCAGCCACCCTGAGGACCACAGAGTCTCTGTCTATAAGATTTTAAGACAAAAAAAATGTGTCTTGCCACCAAAAAAAGGTCTTTTTTTTTTTAAAAAGTGCTTCTTGTTAGAAACACGCATGGGCAATTCTGAACAATATCAGATAAATATCAGATGAAATACTTCTTCCTACTGACCATTTCCACTGCTCACCATCCCCCAATGTCTCTTTATGTCACTAACCGCTTTACCTACATTTAGCCATTGGTGCTGGTGGTTGCTTGGCACCTGGGTCTCCACTCTGTGACCTCTACTAATAGGTTAGATGAGTTTACACTCCAAGCGGGAGGTGAAAGCTGCAAGGTCTGAGCTCTTGGGCACAGACTTCCTTTTACCACATTCTACTGGCCAAAACAAGGCCAGAGCCCAGCCTAGATCCAAGACATGGGGAAGTAGGTCCTCCATGGGAGAACCATCAGCAAGCCGGAGCCTGAAGATTTGGCACTTTATCACTTTATCAGTATAGCAGTGTGTGTCCCACAACGTTCATTCAGCATGAAACAAAACCTTTCCAAACACCATAGGTATTTTTTTTTTCTTTTGATCAAGCCAGCTGCTGCTTTTGTGGACAACTGCTTTGGTGACCCCTGGGTTTTTAACATTATTACCTCTCTTTGAAAATTTGGAAGTCGTAAGGAGTAAATTGCCGCAAACATTTTATTGTGATTCTTGATTTTTTCCTCAGACTCAGCTGCACAGCCAGGTTTCAGAACAATTTTATTGCCAACAACATTTGATCAGACTCACAGGTGTGGATGCTTGAAAAATATACTTCTCATGCCTCATGCAACAAGGAAATATCTCATTCTCCCCTTATAAATGAGATGAGCACCCTTATCAAAGTGCACAAAAAAGCCTGCTAGATTATTTTTTACATTTCTTCCATGTGAGGATGCAGAGAAGGGAGCATCTACAAGGAATAGGCCCTCACCAGACACCAAATATTCTAGTGCCTTGATATTGAACTTCCATCTCCAGACCTATGAGAAATAAAATTCTAACGTTTTTAAATTTCCCAGTCTAAGTATTTTGTTATAGCAGCAAGAATGGACTAAGACAGGAATTGCTACTAAGAAGTGTGGTGCTGCTGTCACAACTCCTAAAATGTGGAAGTGGCTATGGGTAGATGATGGAAGAGTTTGGAAGTGTGCGCTGGCAAAGCCTGTATTGCCACGAACAGACCACAAAGGGTGACTCTGGTGAGGGCTTAGAGGAAGAGCAGAGCTGTAGAGAAAGCCTCAGTCTCCTTAGAGACTGTCTAATGGATGAGAAGAGAATGTTGGCAGAAATATGGACAATAAAGGGCATTACTTTGGGGAATAGAGGTGAATGAGGAACACGCTACTGGAAAGTAGGGGAAAGACATTTCTTGTCATAAAGTGGTAAAGAACTTGGCAGAATTGTGTTTGTGTCCCAGTGTTTTGTAGAAGGCAGAACCTAAGAGTGATGAAATGGAATGTTTGGCAGAATAAATCTCTAAGCAAAGTGTTGAGGGTGCAACACGGCTTCTCTTGACTGCTTACCATAAAAGGTGACAAGAGAGATATGAATTAAAGAAAATCAAAAGGAAAGCAGAACTTAAAGACTGGAAAATTTCTCAGTCTCGCCAGATCGTGAAGAATGAAAAAGCTTTTTTGAGGGAGTACAACCAAGGATGTGGCCAAGTGAACTTTTGATACAGAAAATAGTGGGCATGTAAGGATGCCAGATACTATTCATCAAGACAATGAAGAATGTCCCTGAAGGCATTTAGGAGATTTATCAGGCTACCACTCCCATCACAGGCCTAGCATGCCAGGGTCTTGAGAGTGGAATGGTTTCAAAGGAGGGCACAGGGCACCAGTGTGAATTTAGGGCTCTCTGGCCAGGACTATAAGAAGGGAGATGGGTAATTGTGGACTGCCGATGTTCTGTTTCATGGTATGTTTGGTGGTCACCCATGTGTGTTCAGTCTGAAAAGTCATTAAGTTGTGCACTTATGACTTGTAAATGTACATACTATGAATATGTTATGTTTTTTATATGTGGGATTTACCCTACAAAAATATTAAATAAATTAATCTATAAAAGCATAATGTCATTTCAACTAATCAACTTCAAATGAATTTTTTAAAGATCTCATCAAATTATATTTCATAATATCATAGATTCATTTTCACATGTTAGGTATAAGTCCATCTCACCACATATAAGAGGTTCCACGTACAAGTTTCACAAAGTCTAAATGACCTCAGGGACACATGAATCACCACCCTGTCTTTCTGGTACTGCAAAAAATTGAAATTCCTATGTACTGAAAATGAATCGTACTTAACAATGATTCTTAGTGCCTCTAAATTTATGAAACAAATTAGGTAATATTCACAGAACAAGAACAATTTGCTTCAAAGTATTTTCTACCCCCAAGACTGCACTGAAGCCTCTGGCAATTTTACTCATTGAAAGGTGAAACTAAAACATAGTCTTTTTCCTACTTGCTATATCATTCATAGAAATGAGATGAGTAAAATTCAAGTAGATACGTGATGAGAGTTGTTCATCGTCATTCACCTTGAAGAAGAGCCTCACGGAGAATTCTGGTGACCCCATTTAAAGACAAACCTGTCAGTCACTAGTTCTAAAGTTGGATCATATCAATATTTGCAAACCTTTTCTCAGAACAATGGGTCCCAGGCACACCCAATAAATAGATCTTTTGCATACAGTCTTCATGTTTCTTGCCCAACTTCTCTTTGCTCTTAGAATCTTACGGTTAAAATGAGCCTCTTTCTGGTGATATAATTGATACACCATATGTTTCCTCAATTTAAATTGAACAATTTAATTGTGTTAGTATATTCACAGAGTTATGCAATAATCACATTGTGAAAGGAAAATAACCATGGGGCCCAAAAATCACTAAGCTGAAGGGATTAGTCAAGCTGGGAAATTCTTAGGGCCAATCTGCCTCCCATTCTATTCAAATCATCCCTCTGCTCACTGAGATTAATTCATATCTTATTGCCTCTTTGGAAGCGCTAATCAGAAATTCAAAAGAATGCAACTGTTTGTCTTACCTACCTCTGACCTGGAAGCCCCTTCCCTGCTTGAGTTGTCCCGCCTTTCTGGACGGAACCAATATACATCTTACATATATTGACTGACGTCTCATGTCTCCCTATAATGTGTAAAACCAAGCTGTGCCTCAACTACCTTGGGTACATGTCATTAGGACCAGAGGTTGTGTCACAGGCTCATTTCCTTAACCTTGGGAAAAAAAAACTTTCTAAATTAACTGAGACTTGTCTCAGATATTCGGGGTTTATAACATGAATCACTTACAGAACGTTTCCATCAGCCTTAAGAAACCCTGTGCCTATTAGAAGTCACTTGGATTTTGCCCAACTCCTCAGGCAAACAAGAGTCTACTTTCTACATTTTTAAAATTTGCCTCTTGTGGACATTTCTCATAAATACATTCAGACTACATGTAGTCTTTTGTGACTGGCTTAGTTCACCGACCAAAAGGTATGCCGAGTATTTCTATGTTGTCATGTCTGTGAGTACTTAATTTCTTTTTATGACCTAATAATATTCTATTGCATATACATACCATATTTTGCTTTTCCATGTATCAGTTAATGGATATTTGGTTTTTTTCTAGTTTTTGTCTCTTTGAGTATCACTGCTACGGGCATTCATACACTTTTTTGTGTAGACAAACGTTTTCATTTGGGGGTGTATAATCCTATAAGTGGAATTGCTGGATTATATGGCAATTGCATGTTTTACCATTTGAGAAACTGCCAGACCGTTTCCCAAAGTGGCCGTAACATTAGCCTGTGTAATAAGAAGAAAGAATCTCTTAGTGAATGAGTATTGAGAACAGCTGAAATATTTGAGGGTGTAAAAAATAAATCTGAGGTAGCTCAGAGACGCTCATTCATTACTCTTTTAATTTTTCCCGCTCTTCATAAATGAGGGTCTCCAATTTCTGCCTTGTAGATGCCAACTCACTCCCAGAGTTATTGAGAGGACGGTACAGGCTGAGAACCACACGGGGAAGTTGGGTCACAGAAGGAGGAATTTGCTCAAGACACAAGCTAGGAAAAACAAAACAAAATTAAAATGGGGAGCTGAATAAGGAAAAATGAGAACTTCCTGTGGGAGGAACAAGAAATTGAGAAGGAATGCCTTGTCTTTATGCTGTGTGCCTATCTTTAGGTTTCTGGGCTCCTAAACTTCTGGACAAGAACCCCCAATTTGAAGTTACTGGGACACTAATGTCTACTCCTTTTACTAGTTAACTGTTTCATTGGCTGTCGAAACTCCTCACATAAAGTAGAAGAACCTCAAGAAGGCAGATTTTTTTTTATGCCTGGTTGAATAAATCCCATGAATCTCATATAACAGGAAAAAATATTTTATTAATAAACAACCACTGTGAGTGAGTTCTAACCAAAACAAAGGGAAAATATACGAAGGATCAAAATGCAAAGAAAATACGTTTTGCACGCGCATCTACAGTCTTAAAGTAAACACAGGAAGTTGCCTTCAGGCCTGTGTCTCTGTTTCAGGAAACTCATCCTCCTGCTGAGAGGAAGACGTTGCAGCCTCCTCAGCCTCCATGGTGTTGATGGTGACAGTGAAATGAGTTCCAGATCCAGGGAGATGGAACCAGGTTGGGACCCCAAGACCAGGGTGGAAGCCCTTAACATCCTTACCATGTCTTGTGAGATATTTATTTACTGCCCTTCACAAATTGAGTTTAAAATATTTGCATTTTATTTTCCGCCAACTGTTCTGCTGTCAGACAGCATTTTTTATCATGGGGGAGAGAGAGCAATTAGTCCCTCCTGAACATCTGGTCAGTGGTTAGTCTGATGAGAGGAGTTTTGTTAAGAGAATATTAGTGCTTCAGTTGTCCTGATTTAACATGGATTCTCTTCCCTTGGGGAGTGAATACAGGTTTTACTCAGGCCTTCACAACAGTGTGGAATCCAGAAGTGTTGGTATTAATGCCACTGTGGTGTTTTTTATGATTTTGTTTTCACACTTTGTGTTTTTGTTTTACTCATATTTTAATATAGTTTATTTTATTTGTCTTAAATTTTCCTTTAAAGATAATCACGAAGAAAATGATATATGCATACTTTAATTTTATTAAGCCTACATGAATCTACAATTCTGTATTTCCAAAGTCAAGAAAAAATTGGTGATTAATTTTCACCATATACTTAATTAGCGTAACAGCAAAACTGCTCCTTTTATTGTCTTCACCCTGACTCTGCTTTATGTTTTTGCATAAGGAATGTTATCATTCTTATTTAGATTTTTTAGATTATAATTATGTGGTATCATATTACATACCTTATATTTCAAGAATTATTCCTATACAGTGACTTGCATTTGTAAGTGAATTTTCAACTGACTTAGATTCTTGGTTTAATCATTTCTACTAATCAAGCAAGATTCCTTCCAGCAAGATTGTTTTGTTTTGTTTTGTTTGTTACATTTCCTGGTTTGTTATAAAGCATGCAACTCAGGAAGTGCCTAACTGAAGAGATGCATATGGCAAGATGACGGGGTAGGTTGAGACGGGGTGAGATGGTGCAAAGCTTCCATGTCCTCTCTAGGCAGCCACCTGCCAGCACTTCAATGTGTTTACCAAACCCAAAGGTTTTACTAACAGCCTTTTATTTTTATTTTTTTATTTATTATTTTTATTTTTATTCTTGAGATGGAGTCTTGCTCTGTCTCCCAGGCTGGAGCACAGTGGCACCATCTTGGCTCACTGCAACCTTGACCTCCTGGGTTCAAACGATTCTCCTGCCTCAGCCTCCTAAGTAGCTGGGACTACAGGCACCCACCACCAAGACCGGCTAATTTTTGTATTTTTAGTAGAGACGGGATTTCACCATGTTGGCCAGGCTGGTCTCAAACTCCTGGCCTCAAGTGATGCACCTGCCTTGGCCTCCCAAAGTGCTGGGATTACAGGTGTGAGCCACTGCTCCCAGCCACCAACAGCCTTTTAAAATCACAAGGCACAGCTTCCTTTACTGGAGCATGCTGCTTAAACTCTTGATGAATCAAAATAAATCTTTCAAGATTTTCTATTTTTTTACATGGTCATGAAATTTATGTTGGTGTGTATTTTCAAAATTGCACATTTCCTTCATATTTGATCATTTCCTTAGTTCGCAAGCATGGGCATAATGACTTTTTGTGGTTATGTAGCTATCACTACATTGTTCTCTGGGAACAGAGTTTGTAAACTACATTGCTGAAGCAAGCCTGATTTTTATCTCTGAAGAAAGAACCTCCCTTAGATTTTGGTTTTTTATTGGATCCTGATTTTTTAACATGTAAAAATCACCTGTGTGTTTGCTACCTAATTTTGCCTAGATTTCCGAGTCTGTTAAATTTGCACTCATGAATATATAACAGAGGCATAAATATTTTAAATTATGTTTCTCTTTATCACCCCTGTTCTAATGACTAGTATATAGGGAAATATTTCCTTATTGGGCTTGACTTTCAATCCTGTTTTTCTGTCTGTTTCACTCTTTCTTTTCTTTATTTAATCTCATATACCTCTACTTCATGAACTGAGACTGTTCTTCCAACTTTTATATTACTTATTTGCTCATTGGCAGGGCCAGTTCTGGTTGCTATGGTCCCGCCCCTTAGTTGCTTTTTTAAACAAGTACATTTAGATTTTTATTTTCTCATGTATCAGCAGTGTTGATAGATTACCTTTTCACTCGTTACATCTGAGTGAAATGAGTATGAAGAAATATGTTCGTTCCATTTTCATCCGGGTCCTGATATTTTTTCTTCATTCTATTGATTACATAAAATATTTTGTAGAAATTTTCTTTGAAAATTGGCAGGGTATTTAATTTTGTTTTTTTCTCTCTAATCTTTTAAAAATCAAGCAATTACATTTGTTTATTTCAATTAATAATACTCAACAATGATAATCTGTTAATTATAACGTCTTGATCATGACGCAGTTTCATCTATGGCTATTTGTTGTTTATTTATTCGAAACTCAGTCATTCATTTGGTGATTAGTAGCAATGTGATAAGCTCCTGTGACTCTAACTCACAAAATGCAAGTTGGGGCAATAACTTATATCTCATTTGAGGTTATCCACAATCGCACATTCCTATCTCCTAATGCAGTTTATTTCTTTTATATGTATGTATCAAATAACATTTTGTCATTTATTTCTTTAAAGCTACAAAAATATGTTAATGCAAACTAATTTATTAGTCTTTTCTTTCATGCTTAGTGCTTTGCATATTCTCTTCAAGAAATCTTTCCTACATGCATATTCATGAAATATCTTTTTATACTATTTTCTAAAAGCTTTCTTCTTTTGCCTTTCACATTTCAGTTTCTAATTTAGAGTTGATATTTGTATCAGTGTAGAAGTAAAATGAAGAGGTTAAGATTTATTTTGATGTAATATGGATATCTAATTGATCCAATATAATTCAGTTATTAGAATTTTTTTCTACTACATCACTGCTATGGCCTGAATGTCTGCGTCACCTCCAAAGTTCCTGTTAAAACTGAATCTCAAGGCAACAGTATTAGAAAGTAGACCCTTTGGGAGGTGATTAGGTCATGAGGGCTCAGCACTGGTGAGTGAGATTCCTGTCTAATAAGGTGGCTTTACACAGACTTGCCACTTTTGCCTTTCCACCTCCAACATGTGACAACACAGCCACAGGGTGCAATCTTGGAAGCAGGAACAGTCCTCACCAGACACTGAGATTGCCAGCATGTTGACCTTGGAATTCACAGCCTTTATAACCATGAAAAAAATAAATTTATGTTGTTTGTAATTATCCAATCTAAAGTGTTTATTTTTTTTTGTACAAATGGTTTGAGACAATTGCTGTAGCACTTTTATTGTAAATTGAGTGACTATATATACATGCAGATCTGGTTTTAGATTCTCTGACTCATTGCACAGGGTTATCTGTCTCAGCCTTCACCGATACCATACTGTTTTCATTCCTGTTGCTTAATATAAGCTTCAATACTGGGAAGTGTTAATCTTCCAATCTTGTTCTTATTATGTAAGATTACCATGGTTGTTTTTTTGTTTTTTTTTTGTTGTTGTTGTTGTTTTCTGCCTCTTCGAATGCCCATCTAAGTTAGAAACAGCTTTTAAATTTCAACAAAATTCACAGGATTTTGATTGTCACAGTATTCAATTAATTTGGAGAGAGTTATTATATTGACAATATTAAGTTTCCTAATACAAGAACATGGTAAAACCTTTCGCTTATTGAGTCTCCTTGATTCTCTCTCAGTAACCTTTTGTACATTTGCACATACTCTTTATAACTTTTTATTTTACCATAATATCAAACAGTGACAAGTTGGAAAAACACTGTAAGAAATATAAATTGGACCCAGATTCATCTACTATCAATAGTTGACTTTCTACTTCCATATTCCTTCTGTAAGTTGGTATTCTGGGTACTATTAATACACACGAAACAAACTACCCACCAACTTAATAACACATGAAAACTGCAATCAACTGCCTATCATCTCTATGGTTCTGGATGTTTCCTGGGCTCCACAAGGTTCCTGCCAGGCTTTCCTAAGGATGCAGTCAGTGAGTGGCTAGGGTAGGCGTCATCTCAAAGGTGGATGACATTAGACGTAAGGTTCTCAGCTGGAGTTGTTTGCCAATTCATGTGGCTGCTTGGTTTACTTGAAACTTCCAGAGGAGGAGCAGGCAGAAGTTATGCAGCCTCGATGACCTCTTATAGCCTCAGAAGACAAACAGCATTGCTTCTACACAGTTGCATGCCTACCAAAATTCAACAGAAGGAAGCATAAGGCAGTAGGTTCAATGGGAGGAGAGTCAAGATCACCCTGTTAGAAAAAAATGTAGGATAGGAGATCTTGTCACAGCCTTGTTGGAGAATACAACAGGCATCAGTCCACCCTGTGACCAAAGCAATTCACGTTCCTCCCACATGCTGAACACTCTAATTCTTACCTCAACATGCCCAAGTATTATTCCATGATAGTGTTACCGCATCATCAAAATGATGTCCTAGGGGAGTGATATCAGCAAGATGACTGACTAGGAGACACCAGCCTTCGCCTGCCTACCCCAAAAAATACAAACACAAAAACAAAAGCAAGACCAACAATGGGACAGCTATCCAAGATGGAAAATAGCCCTTGGAGTGTTCAAGAGCCCAGTTAAGAATGTGCAGGAACACAATTAGAAAAAACGCCCAGAATAACCATACAGAAAGCATCGCCAGAAGACGGCATGCCTGAGAGTCCTGAGACCTCTAAAATGAAAGAAGCAGGAGGCAATTGTTATCAGCCAGGAGGCAGGGTCACTGCACTCCCCATGGCCTGCTCTGTGGAGGACGCTGCAGCCTTTGCAGCTAATGACCTAAGTAAACCCCCAGGCAGCCCCGACCCTACAACATTCCCAGTGGATGCCCATTAGGATTCATTGTTGAGGATTACAGCAGCCTGCTCCAGAGGACACTGGTGCTTTTGGCATTAAGGTAACCTGCAGCTATAATCATATCACCCCAGAGAGGAAGATGCTGTGAAACCCTCCTCCCACACTCTCTCAAGAAGCAGCCCCTTCTGTGCTGCCTAGGATGGGGCTTCATTGCCCTAAACCCAGGCTCCAGGGCCTCATCCGTGGCTGGCAACTCAGACACCGAGCCACCTCCATGTGGACCAGCCCAGGCCCATGCCCAGATTTGCTGACACTCCAACTGCACTGTCACTCCAAGTGCACCAGCAGCCTGGCCCTGTGGCTGCTGTGGAAATTGCCTAAGACATAAAACAATATACAGCCACACAGTGGAGTGAAATGCAGAGAAAAACCACACAGAAATGATCACTGGGAGATGGCATACTTGAGAGTGCTGAGAAATAATGGCAAATACATCAAGAGTAATAAAAGACGTTGGTCTATAAGATCAAGACAAAAATCACTGAAAAAATAATGAAACTTATTCAGGATAAATGCCATGCATTATCCTAAATGGTAGTGTAACCATTCAGGATAAACTACAACTATACATATTATATAACTATACATATTATATAATTATTATATTATTTAACAGATAGTGTAACCACTCAGGATAAACTACAACTATACATATTATAGTTAAAACGCTGAACCAGACAAAGAGAAAATCTCAATTGTATCAAGAAAAAACGGGCTCATTTTACCAGAAAAACAATAATAGAATAATTGGCTAACTGTTCACAAGACTGATAGAGGCTAGAAGACAGCGGGATTACATATTTAAATGCCAGGTTCGGGGGACTCAGCAAAGGGTTCAATATCCAGTTAAAACATGTTTCAAAAATAAAGGTAAAGTAAAAACATTTCTTTATTAAAAAATGAAGAGAAATGATTACTTGCAGAGATGTGCTCTATAAAAAATTCAAGAGGAAATTCTTCAAAAATCACAGGAAATCACAGCAGATCGTAGCTTGAACGCACAGCGAGAAAAGAAGACTTCAAAAATAATAAAGAAACAAGAAAGAAGCAAGAGACAGCCAAACAAACGTGTTCACTTCTATTTATATGAGATTGTAGCACAGGGAAAACCAAATTATTATAATGAATATCTGAATACCAGTTACCTTGATTGGGATGGGGGAGCAGTTGATGCCTGGGAAGGTGCACAAGGGATGAATCTGGAGAATTTGAAATATTCTAGAGATTCATCTGGATGGCGAACATACGTAAAACTTAGTTGCATATTTAACATTTCCATCCTTTGTGAGTGTTTTATATCAATTAAAAAGTGTAAGAAGCCAATCCTGCACCCTGAATCCAATATGAATTTAAAAATAAGAATCATCATATGTTTACGGAATCTTAACCTTGCTAAGGAGAAGTGAGAAATGCACCTGGGAAATTCTAAGTAACGAGAAATCTAAGAGAGAAGACAAAGAGAAAAGGGAATTTATCCTACTCATGCAGCACAGATTTTATCTCTATTGGTTTCTCTCTAAACAGAGACAATATTTAAGTCATTTTGCCCTCAAGAGAGGCTCCCACCATCCCCTTGGCTCTTTCCACCCCACTGCACCCATCAGGGGATTTGCATATTGTCCCCTAGGGAGGACCTTCCATTGTGAGTCTGAGATAAAAGCTCAGCTCTAACCTTGCCTTGACTGATCAGGACTCCTCAGGGCACCTTCTCACGATGAGGCTCCCTGCTCAGCTCCTGGGGCTGCTAATGCTCCGGGTCCCCGGTAAGGACAGCAGGGAGATGAGGGAGGAGAATGGGGTGGGAGGGTGAGCTCTGGGGGCCCAATGTCTCCCATGTGTGTTCAGTCCACGTGTTAGATATGCAGGTCTTTTTCTGCAGCATGAGGCATATGATGTACTGATCTCTGAGAGGGAGGAAGATTTTAGAAGGAAGGATATGTGCCCTGAAGAAACACAAGTCTTAGAAAGAGGATGATGGTATGGGAGACCACTTTGTGCCTTGCATCTGTTGAGTTCTTTTTGAAATTGGATATTCCTGAAATTGCAAAGAAATTATACAGGCTGAAATAATAAATGGAAAATTATGAACATGATGCACAATATTTGTACATAACTTTGCCCTTTTCTGTCATCATTCCAGGATCTAGTGGGGACATTCTGTTGACCCAGACTCCACTCTCCCTGTCCATCACCCCCGGAGAGCCGGCCTCCATCTCCTGCAGGTCTAGTCGCAGCCTCCTGCATAGTAATGGAAACACCTATTTACATTGGTAGCTGCAGAAGCCAGGCCAGCCTCCACAGTGTCTAATCTGCAAGGTTTCTAACCGGTTTTCTGGGGTCCCAGACAGGTTCAGTGGCAGTGGGTCGGGCATTGATTTCACACTGAAAATCAGCCCGGTGGAGGCTGCGGATGTTGGGGTTTATATTACTGCATGCAAGCTACACACTGGTCCCCCACAGTGCTACATCCTGGAACAGAAACCTCTCTGCTGGGATTGCCCAGCTGCCCACATGTGCTGCTTGTCTGGGGAGCAGCTCAGCAGGGTCTCTGAGTCTGCAAAAGGGGAGGCTGTTGGAGAACTCAGGGGCAGGTTTGCTGTTGAGGACTCTGGGCCATGAATCCTCAGCTGTACCTCAAGCACTACCTGTTTGTTTACTTCTTTATGTTTTCAAGACAGGGTCTCACTCTGTTACCCAGCATGAAGTGCAGCGGTGTGATTATGGCTCATTGCAACCGTGAAATCCCAAGCTCAAGTGATTTTCCTACCACAGCCTACGGAGTAGCTGGAATCACAGGGGGCATGCCACCAAGCCTGATTAATTTTTGTATATAGTTTTGGTAGTCACGGGGTTTCGCCATGTTGTCCAGGCTGCTCTTGAGATCCTGGGCTCAAGTCATCCACCCAATTCGGCCTCCCAAAGTGCTGAGATTAGAGGCATGAGCCATCGGGCCCAATTCCCGCTCTTGCTGATGTACCTGTCACCTGACACAGCCTTGACAGTCATAAGTAACAGGGGTATGAGGAGGTTCTAGGGCCCTGTGAGTTAAAAATCAGGATGAAAGGGAAAGGAGAATGGAAGCTCATCTTCATCCTCCCTCCTTGCCTACAGTTGTTTATTAAATTTATTCAGCAAAACAGCCAGACAATTGATCATTTCTGGCAAGACACACTGAATACATCTTAGGGTTTAACAGTTTGGGATAGATAGATAGATAGATAGATAGATAGATAGATAGATAGATAGATAGATATAGATAGAGATATAGATATAAATATAGACATAGACATAGATATGGATTGATATAGATTTTTTTTGAGACAGAGTCTCCCTCTATCGCCCAGGCTGGAGTGCAGTGGAGCAATGATCGCAGCTCACTGCAACCTCTGCCTCCCAGTTTCAAGCGATTCTCCTGCCTCATCTCTCAAGTAGCTGAGATTACAGGCTCTCGCCAACATGCCCAGCTAATTTTTGTATTATTAGTAGAGACGGGGTTTCACCATGTTGGCCAGGCTGGTCTCCAACTCCTGACCTCAAGTGATCCACTGGGCTTAGCCTACCAGAGTGCTGGCATTACGGCATGAGCCAGCGCACCCGGCCATATTTTCAAGAAAATATTTGGTTATATTTAAAATTGGCATTTTCCTAGTTTGTTTTAACTTCCGCTTCTTCTATTTAGCACTCATTGCCCACTCCGTAAGACAGGAGAGACAGCATTCTCCACTAGTTCTCCTCAGAGGGAGCTGGCTGAGGACAGTCAGTGAAATCTTGGTAGTGAGCGTCAAATAGATTTTGTAATTTCATAGCAGATACAAGATACTAATACTGAACCTTTTTTTAATTACAATTATCTCTCACTGATAGAAAAATGGAGTTCTTGAAACTCCAAAAGCTGGTTTTAGAAATAAAAAGCAAATCCTGGAAGATGTAGTATACTAAAGATGTAGTATTTTCCATGGATCACTGGGAAAATAAAGGATGATGGAAACTTTTTTATTTCCCAAAGTTCAGAATTCAAGATTGGACAGACTGCAGGAATAGGGGCCTTAGGGGTACAGGAGAGGTCGGCTATTGTTCAATTAAACTGCCCTTGGTTTACGGTGGGTGGGATGTGGATGGTGGTGGTGATGGCAGTTGATGTGGACCCACAAAGGAGCCAAATATGTTTCTTGCGAAGAATCACAGAGTTGAAGGCACTGCTGCGTGGCTTCCTGGGCGGAGCCTGTGCCACTGGGAGTCTCACAGGAAAGTAATGTCGTGAGTAGGGCTTTAGGTGTGTAATCACCAAAGGGTTAGTGAAGTCCCTGTACAAGGAGACCTGAGGTCATGTCACTCAGTCTTAGTGAAATCACAGCAGCCAAGCAGAGCTTCTGAAACTTATTCTATCCTTAGAGGAGGTCTAGCAGAGACCACCGTCTGGGTCTGGGAGATGTCAGAAGCACTGACATGCTGAGCAGAAGGCCCAGCAAGACGTAATCCAGCAGGTTTTGATAAATGACAATTTTGATATTAAGTTGTCATAAAAAACAATAAAAGGTTTTGAAATAAGTAAATGTATTATTTTTACACAATGTGGTCATTGCCTAAAAATAAATCTGATTTCCATATTCTAACAGTAATGGTATAGAAAAATGTATGATTTGCATATAGTCACTTAAAATAATGCTCCAAAAATATTTATGAATTATTCAAGAGCATGTCTGTTACTGCCGTGAGGTGATATGATTAAAGTAATGTTCGTATCAAAAGGACAAAATATCTTTTTTTCTGGTTAAAAAAATGAATCACATCAGAAATTATTGTCTATTCTAAGATGATGGATCCCATTGTGAATGAATTTAAAATTGTATTTCCAAGCAGAAATGTCAAAAAAAAAGGAAATCATGAAATATAGCAAGTAATTTGTCACACGTACAAAGAATGACAAGTCTTTAGAGTAGTTTTCCATTCATGAGTGAGAACACACATCCAACCCAAAATCTACTGGTCTCACTCCCATAATCACTAGTGTGGAGACTAAAGGTAGTGCAATTTAAATTACATTCCTAACCAAAAAAAGGTTCAAAAACAAAGAAAGGATGCTTCATAGAAAATATCTTGCAAAACAAAGAATGACATGTCTGTAGAAGGTATTCACAAGCAGGGACTCACATCTAACCAAAATTCTAGGGATTTCACCATCACAAACACTACTTTGGAGCCTGGAGATGCTGCACATCCTCCTGTGAGCAGAACACTCACTGGGACCCTGCACAGTGTGATGGCCCCAAACATAAAGCTCTCAAGGAAGCTCCGCCTCTCAGCGTGGAAGGAGAGGCTGCGGTGCCAGGGGATGTGTCCACAGAGAGTCGAGTCAGGTGGGCTCAGGCAGTTGCCTGGAGAGTCTTTGAGGAAGAGGACATGAGGCCTCAGTCACAGGTACATGCTCCTCTTCTGTGTGAACAGGGGCCAGGTCTCTCCAGGGCACCTTCCAGAGCCTCTTCCTTCCTAACTCCTTGGGGTGCTCAAGCCCTACAGACCCTCCAGTGTTGGCTGCCACATCCTCACTGGACCAGCCGCTAAGGTTTCCTGCTGTCGTCATGGCTGCAGGGATGCTCAGTCACATCACTGGGAGGAGACCCTAGTGTGTCCCATCCTCAACTGCTACAGGCATACTTGACTTGAACTATGTTTGTTTTGCTCCATTGAACATTTTATGTCACATTGTTCACAGTAGAGACATACCCCCTCCACCACTGACCCTTTCCACACTGCTGCACCCACCAGGTGATTTGCATATTGCACCCTAGGGGAGGACCTTCCCTTGTGAGTCTGAGGTAAAAGCTCAGCTCTAACCTTGCCTCGACAGATCAGGACTCCTCAGTCCATCTCACAATGAGGCTCCCTGCTCAGCTCCTGGGGCGGCTAATGCTCAAGATAGAAAAAATATGAGGTGGGAAAATGGGGTTGGAAGGTGAGTTCTGGGAGCTCCATAGCTTCCCATATTTATTTCAACCATGTGTTAGAGGCACATGGTCTATGCTCCAGGAAAGAGAATTCATATTTTTGTCTTAAGAATAATCAGGATTCACCTCCAAGGAACAATGACCTCTGATTAAGATCTTGAAAATAAAGAGTTCCCTGCTGGCTGGTAAATAATGGGTTCATTTTAGAAAGTCTACTTTCCATGATATAAATCAAAACTTGAAAATATATGTAACTGTAAATCAGTATCATAGAGAAATCATGAAAGCTGCTCATAATGTGTCTATACAAACTTGCACTTCTCTGTTATTATTTCAGGATCCAGTGGTGATACTGTGATGGCCCAGACTCCACTCTCCTGGCCTGTCGCCTCTAGAGAGCCACCCCCATATCCTGTAGGTCTAGTCAGAGCCTCTTGTCCAGTGATGGATACACCTATTCGTATTGGTTCCTGCAGAAGCCAGGCCAGTCTCCACAGCTCCTGATCTATTTTGTTTCAAACCGGGCCTCTGGAGTCCCAGACAGGTTCAATGGCAGTGGGTCAGGCACTGATTTCACACTGAAAATCAGCCGGGTGGAGCTGAAGATGTTGGGGTTTATTACTGCATGCAGGCTCTGCAGCTTCCTCCCACAGTGGTACAGCCCCATAGAGAAACCTCCCTTCTGGGGTGTCCCAGCTGCTCACATGCACTGCTTGTCTGGGGAGCAGCTCAGCAGGGTCTCTCAGTCTGCAGAAGAGGAGGCTGTTGGAGAATTCAGGACAGAGTTTGCTGCTGAGGACTCTGGCCCATGAAAGCCTCAGCTGCACCTCAGTCCCACATGTTAAGGCTCCATCAGCTGCCACATGTAGCCACCTGCTCTGGGAACAGCCAGCTCTGATGAAGGAAGAGTGAATGAAGCTCATCTTCACCCTCCTTGTCTGGCCCACATTTGTTGAGTCCATTTATTTGCAGAACAATCAGATCATGGATGCAGATTAGTGGTAACAGAAGTGAAAAACATGTTGCAAACGACTGGTCTGGGGATAGTTTTATACATGGTAACAGTTGTTCATGTTGAGAAATTGCTATCTTCCCACTTTCCAAACTTTCTCTCTCCTTTACCACTCACACGAACCTGCCCTCCCTAGTACTATGGTGGAGAAAGCATTCTGCACCAGCTATTTTCACGGGAGTATGGCTAAGAATAATTAGTTATAATGTCTGATTGTTTTTTACTACTTATAGATTTTTAAAATCCAGGGGAAATATAAATCCTAATCCCGAAATAGTTTGATTTACCTCAATTACCTTTTGCTGACTGAAAATGGAGTTCTTACAATTCCAAAAGTGGGATTTGAAAATAAACAAAATAACTCAGGAGGAAAACATAAAGTTTATATAACATATCACAGGAACAATGCAGAATTGCATGAGATTTTTATTTTCTTCTCAAATTCTTAGAATTTTAAAAGTATTTTACTGACATAGTACTTTAGAGAGGAAATATCTAGTACTATGTTGTCATAAGAAAATCATTCGAAGAATGAATAAATGCATTATTTTTACATGACCCTATTTTTTTCCTGAAAATAAATCTGAATCGTCTATTTTAGTTGTAAATGCATAGAAAAATTATGCCCTTAATAGATTCTATTAACTCGTCATTTAGCATTAGGTATGTCTCCTAATGCCATCCTTCATCCCTCCCCCCACCCCACAACAGTCCCCGGAGTGTGATGTGCCCCACCCTGTGTCCATGTGTTCTCATTGTTCAATTCCCACCTATGAGTGAGAGCATGCGGTGTTTGGTTTTTTGTCCTTGCCAGAGTTTGCTGAGAATGATGGTTTCCAGCTTCATCCATGTCCCTACAAAGGACATGAACTCTTCATTTTTTATGGCTGCATAGTATTCCATGGTGTATATGTGCCACATTTTCTTTATCCAGTCTATCTTTGTTGGACATTTGGGTTGGTTCCAAGTCTTTGCTATTGTGAATAGCGCCGTAATAAACATACGTGTGCATGTGTCTTAATGGGTGCAGCACACCAACATGGCACATGTATACATATGTAACAAACCTGCACATTGTACACATGTACCCTAAAACTTAAAGTATAATAATAATAAAATTAAAATTAAAATAATAAATAAATAAATAGATTCTATTGACAATAATGTTCTAAATTTATATGCTTTCTTAATATGAGGGCTGCGGTCTGATACATATCTGTATACATTTTGCCATGGAACTTTTAAACCTAACAAATGCTTTCCGTTAAAAAAGCAATAGTGCTTTCTTCACCATAATACTAGAGAGGGCAGTTTCGTGTGAGTGGTAAAGGAGCAAGTTTGGAAAGTGGGAAGACAGCAATTTCCCAATATGACCACCTGTTACCATGTATAAAACTATCCCCAAACCAGTCGTTTCTAACATGTATTTCACTTGTGTTACCACTTGCCTGCTTCCGTGATCTGATTGTTCTGCCAAATAAATTTACATGAACCCGAGTAATGAGTGATGTCTTTTACATGTGAAAACACTGTGTAGAGACACAAAAGGCTCATTGAATCTGATGCAGGCTAACAGCTTAAATTATACTTGAGATGATTTATGTCAAGATAACGGATTCCACAGGAAGTGCAATTAAAATTCCCATGTGTCATTTCTGTTGGGTTGAAAAGTTGCATGGCAAAATGTATATAGATGTTTAGTAGACCATAGCCCTCAAATTAAGAAACATAAGCACTTAATATGTTATTCAAAAATACTAATTAATGTTTCTTTGAGCCTAAATGTTATTACAGAACGCAGTAAAAGAAAATAAGATGTAAGTAGCAACAGCAGGAGATACAGCAATTCCGTTGTCACGTTAGCCCTCCTGTGATTGACAGCACCTAGTCACCTTGAGTTTCTGCTTTTCTGTGAGACAGAAGATAAAATCAAAACCCATTCAAGGCGGTTAGATATATTCTTAGGAAAAGCAAACAAATGTACAACCTACCTGATGCTGATATCCCAAAGGTCTATATTCTCAAGTCAAAATGGTGAAAAGTAAATGATTCCAAATCTGAAAGGAGAGAGACACAAGGAGAATCAGAGCATAATTAAATTTATTACAAAGAAACCTCAAAATATGGTGGACTAAATGTGACAAGGTTTCTGTGTCTGTGCCATGGCAGTGCAGAGGCAGGCACGTGGCCTTGGTGGTGTGGGTGGCTCTGCTCCATGAGGTCACTCAGGTGGACAGGAGGCACGACCACCCTGAGAGCACAGCCTTCCTCCTTCCTCACAGTCACTGCCCCCATGGTCATCCTCAACAGCATGAGGTGGAACTGAATGGAGAGAAAGCTGTTTTCTTCTAAGGATCAAAAATAAATACAGAAACAAATAAAACCTCTAGCTTTCCATCAGGGACAAATGTACTTTTGACTCAGTCACAGATTTGAGAAATTTTCCATTGAGCGGGTCTGCTGGTAAACCCACGTTCATTGTTTGTTTGTTTTAATCTGAAAATGTGTTTACATGATTCTTGAAGATATTCTTTGACAAGAAACTTCCATATGTGGTAGCCTATTTGAAGTTGTCATTTACTATTTCATCATTGCTGCTAAAAAGTCATTTGTTAAAAAATCCGTGACTCTAACTGTTCTTGTTTGAAAGGAATACGTCTTTTTAAGATACTCAGATTCCTTTTAAGCTCTTCATCTGGCCCTCCTTTTTTCTGATTCAATGTATTGTTTAATTTTTTACTTATGACTAATTAATCAATTAATTTTCACAATCACAGAATCAAATGTCCGATAAGTTGCTATGTCAAAGACCTGTCTGAAGATGGCAAAAACACTCCACAATAAACAAAAGACAACACCATGGTCTCAGGAACACTGGGAAAGTAGGAGTGCTGGTGTCCCATTCTCAACAGGGAGCCCGAAAGGTAGAGGCGGGTCTTTCTTGTGACCTGGGCACCGGGGAGGAGCCACCCATGTGCTGAGTTGTGGGAACCTGCCCCATTCTCTGAGACTGGAAGCAAGGCCCCGGCTGTGTCCCACCTGCTATGGACTGAATTGTGCCCTCAGATTCATGTTGAAACCCTAATTTCAATATGACTGTAGAAATTAGGACCTCTAAAGATGTAATTGAGGTCATAAGGGGGGTCCCTGATCCAGTAGAATTCGTGTTTTGTTGTTTTTGCTTTGTTTTGTTTGTTTGCTTGTTTGTTTTTGAGGCAGAGTCTCGCTCTGTCGCCCAGGCTGGAGTGCAGTGGCGCCATCTCAGCTCACTGCAAGCTCCGTCTCCCGGGTTCACACCATTCTCCTGCCTCAGCCTCCCGAGTAGCTGGGATTACAGGTGCCCGCCACCACTCCCGGCTAATTTTTTGTATTTTTAGTGGAGGCGGGGTTTCACCGCGTTAGCCAGGATGGTCTCGATCTCCTGACCTCATGATCTGCCCGCCTCGGCCTCCCAAAGTGCTGCGATTACAGGCGTGAGCCACTGCGCCTGGCAAATTCGTGTTTTTATAAGATTCAGAGAGCTCTCCTTTCTCCCTTCTCTCTCTAATTGCCTTCCGCTCTATGGAAAGGCTGTGTGAAGACACCGTGAGAAGGTGGCATCTGCAAACCAGGAAGAAGGTCTTTACCAGAAAGCAAACCCTGCTGGACATCGATCTGGGCTATTCCAGGCACCAGAAATATGAAAATTAAATTCTGTGGTTTCTGCCATCCAATCCAGTTTTTTTGGTGTGGCAATGCAAGCTGACTCATCCACTTTTCCCACTCTCTCTGAGCAGGATCAGCCTCAGGAGACCCTCGTGGACGTGGGGACCTGGTGTTGCTCCTCTTCCTCCTGCTTTTCCAATTCTCTGGTGAAGAGGGAGAACTCGGGCTTCACCTTCAGTTTCAGTTCTGTGTATTAAACATGAATTTAATGCAGTTTCTTTGCATTAAACATCCTTCAAGATGAAGTCTGTCGCCCATTTTGCTTGTTCATCAGAATTCAGTCAAACTGAATGAAGTAGTTATTTAGAATTAACACTTGGGGATGTTCATAATTGTTCCCCACTTATGTGACAGTTGGGATATTGTGCGGTGCTCATCTCCAGGCCCCTCCCTGTGTTCCAGGAGACAGGGTCACTGTCACCAGCAGAGCCAGTCACGGAAATAACAGTGTCCTAGCCTAGCTCCACAGGAAATAAGGGCTGACGCTGATCTCCTGCTGGCTCCCACTGCCCCCTGGACACGATGCCCGCCTGGGTCAAGGGGGTGAGTCTGGACAGACGTCACTCTGGCCATCAACAGCCTAACTACCTTCATGACCTCCCATTGTGAACAGAGTCCCAGAAGTTGCTTGAGCCATGAAAGTTGGACAGAGAAATCCCACATCACTGCAGTCAGAGGGGGGCTGTGAAAAGACCGTGGGGGGGGGGTTTCATACTATGATCATGCAGCACTGAGCCATGGCTGCCACTCTGTCTGACGGGAGCCCCCGGGGGAAGATCCACTCACACTGTGCTCTAGAGGTCGTTTTTGTCACCATCTTGGTTCTAGCTGGTTTGGGCCAGTTTCTGTAGCGCATCCTCTTTTGTCGAGATCCTGTTCCAGTCAGCGTTGTCATGACCAATGTTGGGATCGGTGCTCAGAACACAAGTCCTGATGATCTCCTACCTTACACTCGCTGCCTTCTGTGAATCAGATATTCTGATAAGGATCCTGTTGGATCCTACTCGAATCAGGGGCCACACAGACCCTCACTGAGGGCTGAGGACCACAGGCATCTGAAGATAAGCAGAGGTCCAGAGAATGATAGCCCCTGACTGTCCTCTGTGAAGACAGCTTCTCCCCAGATGGCTGAGGACTATCTTTGGCTGTGTCCTTCTTTCTGAGTGATAATGAGGGATAGAGCAGGTCTCTAAGCCAAACCACAACATTTCAGGGACAATGATACCTATGCAGGCCCTCCTATGTGTGCTGCTCTAACCTAGACATAGGTGGCACTGGATACGCTTAGGGAAGTGAGGAGATTTATAATCAGAAGGAAGAAAGAGGGAACGAGAGGAGGAGAGAGAGAGAGAAGAGCGTGTGATGTGTGTATAGTACCAACACTGAAGAGTCATTCTATAATGGTTTAGTGCTGAGTATGGTGCTCAAATGATCAGGCTGTATTCCATGGAAACTATACAGGTACCTTTCACAGGAAAAGAGCCTTTGCACATGAAATTAAGGATTATAAAACAGGCAGATTATCCTGTATTGACCAGGTGGGCCCTAAAGGGGCCTGTCTTTGTTAAATGTCATTTTTAAAAATCCTGCAGAAGAGAAGGCCATCTGAAGACAGCAACAGAGATTGAAATGATTTGGACTCAAGCCAATGAAAGCTTAAACCAACAAAAGCTAAGAGAAGTAAAAAAAAATAGACTTGCCCCTGGAGACCCTGGAGCAGCTTTGTCTGATGACAGCCTGCTCCTGGCTGCTGAAACTGATGCTGGACTTCTGGCCTCCAGAACTATAAGAGAATATATTTCTATTTCTTTAAGCTACCAAAGTTTTGGTAATTTGTTATAGCAGCCCAAAAATACTAATACAAATGGGGCTTAGAATAAATCCAGCCTAAAGGTAGTATAATGATTGGGAATCTCCACGTTCGATTCTCTAATGTTACACATATTAGAAGATTTTATGAGGAAATAGCGTACAGGAAACCCCACGGTGTATACTGGAGCATCTGTTAATTATATAATAAATGTTGATAATTCTTAGTAGAGCATGACATCTGGGTAGTAATATCTTATCTAGAATCTTCATTCTAAGATATTCAAGGATGCAGAAAAGGGGCCCTAAGTAGTCTTTTCATACATATATATGCATAGATACATTTCCTGGTGCATCAACTAGAGAAACCTTCAGGACAGCCCTTGATATCCTTGGTGCTACTTTTCACAGGTGAGTAAACTGTTCATCAGAGCACAGGGGTGGTTTGCCCAAAGATACATGGCCAGCAATTATCAGGGCTGAGCTTGGAACCCAGCTTAAATATGTCGCTTCCACATGGCCACATTTGTTCCATGGAGGAATGAATGGCTTTTAAACTCAGAGAAGAGACAAAGCCGGAAGGGTGGTGTGGAATTCTCAGCAAGCGCCTTGCTACCTCTGAACCTTGCCATGATTACCACAATTATAAACTCAGGCCTTTCTGCAGTTTTGTCCACATAGCAAAACTTCCTCCAAGTCTTTAAAATTTAAATGTCTTTCTTTCAGATTTGAGGGCAGGAGCACATCTCGCATTGCCCTGAACACTTTGCTTCTTTTCTACCATCCTCATCTCCCTGAGCCGGCTCTTCCCTCTCAAAATGTGTCCTATCAATCTGATTTCTTCTCCTAATGTGAAAACAAATGAACAAATAGCCCCCTACTTTTGTCATCTCCAGAGAACACAAGAGCTAATCACATACCCAGAGAGTATGAGAGTTTAAAGGATTTATCCAAGAGCTTTTACACATAAGAAGTATTCTGCTGCTAGCCCTCTTCACAGTGAAATGCCTGTGTGTCTTGTTAAAACTGACACTAAAAAATGACAAGATAGAGCCATTTTGAAGAACGGAGGGTGACCATTCCAAGATAATTCAGGTGTTTCCTAAATTTTCTAAATATCCCTATGCGTTAAAAAAAAGATTTGACAAGAATTCAGACCATACCGTCCAAGAAAGAATGTTTTTCTGCTTTCTTAGGTTGGCTCTTTCAGGGATAATGATGCCTATGCAGGCAGCATGTTTATAATGCACAGGAAACACGGGGAGGAAACAAGGCAGTGAAGGAGGAAAGAAAGGAGGGACTCCAAAAGTCTCCTCAGCAAAGAGCTACCGCTGAGGATGGCTGGAGCTCAAGCCCACGTGGAAACAGGGGAAAATGTCTCAGTATTATTCCAGCTGAGAAGAGAGGGAGCTGGGGTATATACACCTCTCCTGTCCTCACTGATTGAGGGCTTTCTGAGAGGATGCTCATTCCAGGTGCTGTGAAAGGCCATGTGTGCAGGCAGGGCTGCCTTCTCCAGTTTGACATAGAGCAGTGAGGAACAGATATGGCCATGGGGAGTCAGCAGAAGTACAGCAAAGGGGAAAGGCAAAGGGTAGCAAGAGTGACTGCTACATTCACCTCCCCGCACAAAAAAAATGTGTGTATTTCAATCCAGAGCTTCTTCTCTCTGAACCTAAATCTTAGCAAGCAGTTTGCCAGTAATTTCCCTTGAAATTCAGGCCCCTGGAAAGCAGCAGGAGATCTGGGTACAGGCTATACCACTGTGGTCTGCTCACTCTTAGTGATGCGTGAGTAATGCTCCCTGGACTCCCCAGGTTCTAGTCTTCTCATGTCGATGTAGTTGATTCCACTTCCCTTGCTGCACAACCAGGCTGGGATGCCTGGGCAGAGGCAGACATGTGAGGTATAGGGGTTCAAATCTGTTTCCAAGTTTTATCCAGATCCCAAGTATTTCTTCACGTACATGGGCGGTGGCTTGGCAGGAGATGCAGATTCTCTCTCCTGGAAGTGAGGCAAGGAGGCTGGCGTCTGGGTAAGGATGATGTCCCCACATACTGCTAAAGAGTCAAAGAGGAAAGTGGCATCGATGGTGCAGGGCAGAGACATGCACTGAGTAGCTGCTGCCCTCACTGAAGAGAAAGTGTTCACTGACTTGGCCTTTCCCCAGGGCCTCTCCCTCCCCTGCTTTCCAGAAAGCCCAGTTTTTTGGGAGCTGTACCTGAACACCTGGGAACATTCCGGTGGGAAAGGCAGCTCAGAGCATTAGCAATGGTAAGTTACCTTGTTCTTCTTCCTGTGGAGACAATTGATCATATGGGTCAGCAAGACGGAGGTGCTGTCCATTTAGTCCCTGGTTATTACAGAGACCTATAGCTCTGGATTATGGAAGATCTGTGAGTGGCACAGGCATTGAGGAATCACAGCATCATTATTGTGCATCTGCAGGGAATGGCTTGAAAATAGACTGGTAATAACAAATGTTTCAGGTCACTACAAAATACCTTTGAATATTTAAATATGCTTCTGACAAAGACTTTTTTCCCACATGAAACAATGGGAGCAACGTGACAATCACAGAGGTGTTGTTAGTATAACAAAGGGATTGTCACTCCCACAATGTCCACTTAAATAACTTGAAGACCTGATAGCCCCATTCTCTAAGACATTATCAGACATTCCCTACAAATGGTCATACTCTCCTATATACTCCCGATACAACTCTAAAATATATGACTCCATGTAGTCCCTAGGTTTGAATTAAATTTTGACTTTTTTCTCCCAAAATATCTCTTGTCGAAACAACGGATGTAGAGAGAAATACATTCCCTCCAGGCAAATCTGTCAGGCCTGGTCTGACCTGGGACCCTGCGGACACTGCCCCTTTGCTGAGTTACCGAGATGAGCCAGCCCCGTGGCTGTGCCCAGCCTGCCCCATCCCCTGCTGATTTGTGTGTCCTAGAGCGCAGCCCCCTGCCCTGAAGACTTCTTAATAGGCTGGTCACACCCTGTGCAGGAGTCAGTTGCAGTCAGGACACAGCATGAACATGAGGATCCCCGCTCAGCTCCTGGCCTTCCTGCTGCTCTGTCTCCCAGGTAAAGAAGGAGAACACTGGGAAGTTAGCCACCCAGTGTGCTCAGTACAGCCTGGCTCTTCAGGGAAATCCTCGCATAACATGGTGAAAAGTGTAAATATTTGTTTTTGTATTTCCAACCTGAGATGCCAGATGTGACATCCAGATGACTCAGCCTCCATCCTCCCTGTCTGCATCTGTAGGAGACAGAGCCACCGTCTCTTGCCAGGCTAGTCAAAGCATTTACAACTATTTAAATTGGTATCAGCAGAAACCAGGGAAAGCACCTAAGTTCCTGACCTATAGGGCATCCAGTTTGCAGAGGGCGATGCCATCTCAGTTCAGTGGCAGCGGATATGGAAGAGATTTCACTCTCACCGTCAGCAGCCTGCAGCCTGAAGATTTTGCAACTTATTAATGTCAACAAGAGAGCATTTTCCCTCCCCCAGTGTGACAAGTCATAACATCAACTGCTAGGATAGCAGATGAGTGAGGCCGGGTTGCCCTAGATGCCCCTCCTAGTGCCTCAATCTGCTGAGTTGTTTTCCAGATGCAGCCAAGTTTTGAAGGTCGTCTGGAAATTTTGGTAAATTGTGATGAGGTGGCTCCTTTGCACCCACTCTCTTTCCTCCTCATCCCCAGAAGCAAAGACATGAAATGCGAGTCCTGATTTAATAAAGAGATTTAACCACCTGAGGAGTCTGTTATGGGATGATTGGAATTCTTGTAGCAAAAGAGAAGCCACTCTAGCCCTTCCAAGCAGGAATCGTTTTAATTTATGAAATCAGTGTCTAAACTACAGCTTTTCAAGGCCTGGTTGATGTTAGTCACGGAAGCAGATACTAGAGACATGATTCTCTGGTGCTCCTGCAGAAACCAGGGTGCACCCTACCCTGCAGGTGTGAGCTGCCTAGCCACATGGTCCTTGGATCTGTCTGAGAAGCCCAGAGTGCAGGTGCTGATGCTCTCAGCCTCCTGCAGTATGTCTCTAGGTGATTCTCTAGGTCTCAACTAAGTCCACTTGTCTGTCTGCAGGTGTCAATGAGCATTGAATCATTCTCTTCTGACTTCCAAATCTCGTGGAAGGACCCCTCAGTGAACAACTCTACAGGAAAGTATAGAGGGAAAGGTGGTTCTGAAGAATGCGCTTTCAGAAGTGATGGTGATAATGAGGAACTGACAGCTGAAAGCCCAACATGGTCAGTATTTTCACAAAATAGTGAAAACTTTTGCCAGTTATGCATGGCCTCAGAATACATTTGAATATACTTGCACTTGTCACATAGCAACATAACTTTATTAAGTCATAGACACAGCTTAAAAATCAGGAAATTGTATGACATACATAACAATCATTTTACAAACAAATGAAAAATATTTCTTAACAAAGAAACCAAAACAACAGAAAAACCTGAACATTGGTGTAACCTTTTTTAAATTATGAAAATTCTTTGCTACTCAACATGTATCCAGAATCCAGCAGGATCATTAGCACACTGAGAGCATGATACATATGCTAAATAGCAGAACGACCTTCAGTTCACTGAATGAGAACCTTTGTTTAGCCATGGTAGTTGATAACAGGTGACCTATAAAAGGTTTAAGAAGCTATGTTCTATGTGATATTTGTTTCAGCTAAAGAGATACCGTGGTGGTGGGCACCATTGGCCCCAGCTACCAGGGAGGCTGAGGCAGGAGAATCGCTTGGACCCAGGAGGTGGAGGTTACAGTGACCCAAGATCATGTCACTGCCCTCCAGCCTGGGTGACAAGAGCAAACTTCTGTATACTATTATGGCAATGAGGCTATTTTTAAAAATTTCAATGGAAAGCCACATGTTGCAGCCACACCCAGCTTTATTTTCTAATCCATGCAACATGACATTTGAAAACAATTGGAAGATTGTAAAGTTGGAGAAACATAATGATCTGTCCATGGAATAATAAAATGCTTTGATGTTTAAATGGAGGAAAAGTTTGTAGGAACCATAATAATTACCAAGGTGAAAGAATAACTTAAAATTGTGTGTATCTGTGTTCAAAATTATTAGACTTCATTCACCATTTCAACTTGGTTTGGGGAGGTTGCCCACTCCTGCTGCCTTCATCAGAATATGGTGCCTGGGTAGATACTGCCCTTTAGCCTTGACCTCAGATGAACACAATCCATAGGTTAGAGACAAGCTCTGCTCCCTGCAGCAAAACCACCCAGCTGAGCCCTGTCTTGAAGAGTCATGTTAATACTAAAATGATCATCCAGAAACACGATAAAACTTGATGTAATACACTGACTTTTAAGTAGTTGGTTATCAATCATCATTGTGCAAAAAAAGTGACCAATGTAATACTTACACATTCACCCATATAGGATGTATCTTATTATAATTAGTGGCAGAAGTATAAATATTTGGTAATGTATTTATAAAGCTACCAATGAGAAATTTAAAAAGAAATTTAAAAAATTATATATAAATAAAAAGTGTAAAATTTACCTTATTTATGGAAACTCCACATATATATATATAAACATTAATGTAGGTACATATATATATATTTATTTGATAAATAGTTGGGTGCGTGTAGTTCCATATGCATATATTCATGTCTAAATAAGGCCATTTACATATATATATGAGAAACATATGCATATTTACAAAATGTTTTAATAAATTAAATCTCTTAAGATAATTCTATTTATTCCTCATCAAAATAGTTGGTTTCTAGAACCAGATATAGTACCTGCTCTGGCTATAGGAATGTCCTTGAAATTTGATGTATTTCTAAAACACTCACCAAATTCATGTGTCACCTTAAAATATTTTTCTAACTTACTTGAGGTGCCAAAGAGTATGAATGGAGATGATTTTCCCTAATGTTAAAAATTATATCCTTGTCTCCTAGGTAAGTCCTCATTCTTTGTATGTCTACAATGATGCTATTCTGGACAGAGTTCTATCCATGGATGCTGGGCTGATGTCACATCATTCTCACAGTCAAGGATGGCCTGGAGAGTAAAAATCATAACAGTGAGCAAAGTGCAAGTGTTATATCCTTGTTCATTTTGCAGAGGGAGATCAGCCATTCAATGACATTGTCTATGGGTTTGAACAAATCATCAGACCTTAGAAAAAACAGAACAGAGGATTAGAGACAAAGTCATGGTGGAAGAGCCATGAGTAGACCTTTCAAAATGGGCCAAAAGTTGCCTAATCTATGGGGTAGAGAGCAAGTTGATCACGTAACTTGCTCAGGAAGAGCTTTTTGGGGTTGTGAAAATACTTTATATCTTGACTTTGGAGGTGGTTAGAAGGATTATTTATTTGCAAAAATTCATAAAAACTGTACATTTAAAAATCAATGTGATTTATTTTAACTATTATTATCCTCAATAAAGATAGTTAACTATATGTAGTCAGGGAGCTCAAGGTGCAACTGAGTAATGCTGTCCTCACATCTTCTATTCTTGCAGTGGACTGCAACTGTGTGAGCAAGAATGTCTGGGAGATTGCCTCAGACCTAAGAGTAAAGAGCTGTGTCTCTCTGGCAAGAGCCCAATTTTCTTTTTACTTTGATTTTGTCTTCTATTGGATGAGAATTTAAATAATTCTCATAGATTAGATCAAAGTAGCGGCTTTTTCATGTACACTTATTATTTATTGAAGCTAAAATTCCAAGCAAAATAAAAACTTATTCCAAAAGTGAAGAAAAGTTTTCACCTGTGAATTGCCACTACTCTTCAGCTTGGGAAACACAGCAAATCCTTGTCTCCAAATTAAAAGAAAAAAGGAAAATAAAACATTTAAATAAAACAATATAAATTTTTTTCTAAAATTAGTTAACTAAGCCTGTCATACCTTTCGTTTTATGACCATCACTCAGAAATTGCTATTATTAAAATTTACCTGAGTTTTAAGCATAAGAGCTGTAATGTGGCTTGCTACACCTGTTTATTAAATAGATAGAAATATACTGACATTCAATTTTATAGGCATACATAATTCAATATAGGGCTACATACATATGTAGCTATATACAGATATGCATTCATATATACATATATGTGCATTAACACACATATATGTACATTTACATATATACAGATATAGATATATTTAGATATCTATAAATACCTATATAGATAGATAGATATTTCAAATATGTATATATATATATGAACTACACATTACACATATATGTGCTTTTTATGCTTTTTATATCTGTGTTCATGTCAGATGCAGGAATTAATTTTTGTTTCTAATGCTTTTATTCGTTTTGGAAATGAAGTTTATTGTGACCACATATAATAATTCTGGAAGCATTTCCTTCTTTTTAATTCTCTTGAAGTTTGTGTAATTTTCACAAGGTTGGTTCCAGTAAACGAAACATAAGATGGAAATTTTCCTTATAGAAAAGTTTTCATTATAGAGTTCCTTTTAGTTTAGTGAAAATAGTTGCCATAATTTATTTCATTGTATTCTACTTTTATGTGTTTGCTATCCTGGGCTCTGTAATAATTTTCCCTTTTTAAATTATAGATTGTGTATTTTGCATCTTTTCTCTGTCTTTTTTATCCACCTTTCCTGCTTCATGAAGCAGCCATGGGGTTTAACTCCTTCCGGGTAATTTTTCTGAACTTTTACGCTCTGCTTCCCTTTTAAACGTAAGTTCCAATTCCAAACCATAACTTTGTAAGTGCATAAAACTGAAGGCTTTAAAGGGCACCCAAGTCATCACTTGAAGGTTTTGCTGCTTTGAAATTTATTTGGCCAGATACCTTAAATTAGGTCTCTCAGGTTCAAAGTTCCACAGATATTTAGGGCAGGGACAAAATGCTGCCAGTCTCTTTGCTAAAGCATAGCAAGAATCATGTTTATTCAAGTTCCCAATAAATTTCTCATCTCCATCTAAGACCACCTCATCCTGGACTTCATGGTCCATATCACTATCAGCATTTTGATCAGAGCCCCTCAACAAGTCTCTGGGAAGTTCTGAACTTTGCCACATCTTTCTGTCTTCTGAGTCCTCCAAACTGTTCCAACCTCTGCCCATTACCCAGTTCTAAAGTCGCTTCCACATTCTCAGGTATCTTATAGCAATCCCCCACTACCTTGATACCAATTTACTGTATTAGTTCATTTCCACGCTGCTATGAAGAAATACCTGACACAGAGTAATTTATAAAGAAAAGAGGTTTAATAGATTCACAGTATGACCCAGGAATTCCACTCTTCTCTATAGACCCAAGAGAACTGAAAACATATAGTCAAATAAAACTTGCACATGAATTCTTATAACAATGTTATTTATGATAGCCAAAAAGTGGAAACAACCCAAATGTCCATCAGTGCATACATGCAACAACGTGGATGAACCTTGAAAACATTAAGTTAAATGAAAGAAGCCAGTCACAAAAGGTCCCACAGTAAATTATTCCATCTCTATGAAATGCCCAGAATAGGCAAATCTATAGAAGAAGAAGGTAAATTAGTGGTTGTCAGGGGCTAGGAAGGAAGAGGATGGGAAATGGCTGCAAACAGCGTGAGGTGTTTTGGGTGGTGATGGAAACATTCTGCAGTGACATTGTGGTGATGGCTACACAACTCTATAGTAAAAGCCAACGAGTTGTTTACTTAAAGTGGGTGAACTTTATGCCATACAAATTATATCTCAATACAGATTTCTTTAAGTCTTCAAGAAGCCCTCTGGTAAAGAAATCAGCCTAACCCAGCCCTGAACTCATCTGACCACCAAAGCTTTTCCTCACATTGGCACCCTGAGAAACTGGTATTCTGAAGAACGCGCTTTAGGAAAAACTGCTTTAGACAACAGGAATTTGGTAAGAAGAACTTTGTTTCTGTGAACACATATTTGCATGTCAGGGTACATCCTTTTGTATTTTATTTATATTTAGTGTGTCTATGTCTTGTCTTCTTGGTAGCTTTACAAGAATTTCGAGGAGAGAAAGTATGATTTTGTCTCTTTGAATTCCTACTTCTCACCACCCATAATGTGGTGCACACATAAATATCTGTAAATATGCAGTTAGAACTTTGCATCACTAATGAGTTAATTAAACTATTCAACAAAGCCAAAAATACATATCATGGACCCTCGAGTGCCAGGCACAGTTTCGGGCACTGGGGATACAAAAATGAGGGAGCTTACGGTTTAGTCTGAGACCAGGCCAGGAGCCGCGCAGTAGAGGCACCTCTCCCTGGGGTGTCTGAAATCATTCCTGTGAACTCTAAATACCTGAGACAGGGCTCAGTCAATTTAAGAAGTTTACTTTGCCAAAGTTAAGGATGCTCCTGTGACACAGCCTCAGGAGGTCCTGACGACATGCACCCAAGGAGGTCAGGGTACAGCTTGCTTTTACACATTTGAGGGAGACACGAGCCATCAATCAATATGTGTCACATGTACATTGGTTTGGTCTGGTAGGGTGGGACAACTCAAAGTTGGGGCTTCCAGGTCAGAAGTAGATAAGAGACAAAAGGTTTCATTATTTTGCATACTCGATCAACCTTCCACTGAATACACAATTTAGTCTGGCTCAGTGAATCTGCATTTTTACATCAACAATAGGGCAGAGGAAGCAATTAGATATGCATTTGTCTCAGGTGAGCCTCAGAGAGATGACTTTGAACAGAATGGGAAGTAGGTTTGCCCTAAGCAGTTCCAAGCTTGACTTGTCCCTTTAGCTTAGTGACTTTGAGGTCCCAAGATTTAGTTTCCTTTCACATTCCCAAAGCACATTTGTCATGTAGTAGAAATTATTGAACACCTTAATGGAGGCACCGTGTTTGAGATTCACTCCCTTGCTATTGAAAAGCAGACACAACCAATTTCTTCTTCATTGTTGGAAAAGGTTGCTTTCCCTTTGGTTGGGCACCAGTGGAAGACTTGCACTGAACAGCTATTTTGGCCAAAACTATGTCTCTCAAAGGTGAGTCCCACTGGGGCAAATCCAGGTGCTCCTGGTCTGAGCAGCCTGTAGGAAGGACAGGCGCAGATAGAGCAAGGGATGCACCCTCCTCTACCCTCCACTCCGCATCCACCCTGTGGTATATCTAGGGTGGCACACAGAATGAATGGCACTGCCTAAATGACTTTTTCTTTATTTAAAAAATTTACTGCATTTGCTTAAGCATGTACGTGAGCTTGTCCTGTGACTCCCCAGTCCCGAAGCTCAGCTGAATATCTGAACACTGGGCTTTGAAAAAAAGAAAGTGACCCTGGAGACCAAAAGGACAGCTGGCTCATAGGAAAGCTGCTCATGGCAGGCAAAACTGGAGGGCAGAGAAACGCACTAACCTTGGTTGATACAGTTTAGATATTTGTTCCCTCCAAATCTCATATTGAAATGGGATCCCCAGTGTTGGAGGTGGGCCCTGGTGGGAGGTGTTTGGGTCATGGGGGAGGATCCCACATTTGGGCATGAAAGTACAAATGCCTGTTCCCATTTAGGGCTGCGGGTTTCCAGACTTGAGGGTGGGGGCGTTTGCTGGGGAACTGCCCTCTTCCACCCAGTATTTCCTTGACTCTTGTCTGTATCACCAAGATAACACACTACAAATATGGGAAGGAGCTTGGAAAGAACCATGGGAAGAAACTTGATGTGATCACAGCACCCCCAGTGAGGGCAGGCGCTCAGCAGGGCAGCTGTCTCTGAGTTAGCAGCATCAGGAAGCCTCCCCTGGAAGACACTGGCTGCAGGACGAGGCTGCCAGCCTCCACCAGGGACATCTGGAAGCCACTCTTGCTGGCTTCTGTGGAGGCCAAGGGCAGCCTTCTTGGCAGGCTGCCAGCTCTCTGGAGGCTCTTGGGGCCCATCCTACCCTCAGGGGACCTGGCAGGAAGGTCAGCTGACTGCTCCTGGGTCACTCACGGATGCCCCCTTTTTATGCCCCAAAATGAATCTGAAGAGAAGAAATCCTAGCCTCTGCCAAGCGCTGTCACCCAGCATTGCAGCCTGAACACATCCAAGGGGCCTGATGAGCAGCACCTGGTCCCCCACTGGCTCAGACGCTTGAAGCTACTGAATTTACATGTAATTAAAGACTCGAGTGCAGACCGCATTTCAAAACAGACACTTGGTCAGAGATAGGAGGCCTTCCCCATCAGATGGTTTTGTTTTGCTTTTTCTCTGCATATGGGCCTTATAATTTGCCAAGGTAAGGTTACAGGGGCCACAGTTGTTTTGTTTGGAGATGAGAAAGCTCAAGAATGACCTAACTCTGTCTTCAAATATGCGGAGGCATTTATTACAAGGAGGGAATGGCTGGCTGTTTTCTTCTTAAACTGCAAGAAAAGGTGGCTCAGCTGAAATCCTGAAGACCTGCACACATGGCCGCCACACGCAGCCCTTCCCCAGAGCACCTTGCATGTAGGAAGCACTTCTTGCCCTAAAGCCTAGGACTGCCTGCCTTTGAGAAGGAAGCTTAGGCCTTGACCATGGTTGAGGAAGGAGGCCCCAGTATCTATTTTGGAGAAGTCTAGTAGGTTCTGCCTGGTGGCTGGCAGCCAGGACACTGACTTTATGGCAGAGGCTTCATTATTTTAAAAAATTAAGGATCCTCAGTGAGGGAGGCCTTATTCATGGCAGGGCCCTTTGTGTGGCTGATAGGTGGGGCATCAAAGCTCTGGCACAGACGTGGCTGAGCTGAACTCCTCTGAATCATAGAGGTGGGGAATATGGAAGCCTATAGCTATGAGAAAGTCCAGGAGGAGACAGGAGAAGCTTTTACCCGTCCAGAAGGAGGGGCAGCCGAAGGAAGGAGAGAGGGAAGAGGGTGGTCCAGTGCAGGCACAGAAGGTTCCAAACAGGCTGCACCTGCACTGGACCACCCTCTTCCCTCCTTCTTTCAGCTGCCCCTCCTTCTGGACAGGTAAAAGCACTTCCGTCTTTTCAGTGTCATGGAGGGAGCCCGAGAAGAGCAAACATTGACATCACCACCGCTGCCCACAGCAGTGACACCACGGGCACACTTTTAAAAGGGTCGTATCCTGGACCGGCACTTCCTCAACTCTCTCTGTCCTAAAGCCTCTGGAGAGCCCTTAAATTTGTGGTCCTTGAAGCTATTGTAAAGGTAAGATCTTTTTTCTCCCCAAGTCCTACTCATCCTGACTTTTCAAGTTTGTGGTGTCTCTGATAATCTCTGCTCCTGTTCTTTGAGACCATCCCCGTCACTCTCCACTCTCCCACGTGACACCTGTAAAGTCTCTTCCAGGGATCTGGGGCTGCATTCCAGGGTCTCTTTGCTCTGAGCTCTCTGAGGCCTCAGGCTGTCATAATAAATCAAATGGCAGGGATCTTCTCCAACATCATCCTTCTTCCTTCTGCTTTCCTACGAGGGTGGCAGGTTCAACGTGTCTGTAGAGGCCTCGCTGTGTGAGGGTCTGAAGGGAATTTCCAATTTGATGCAGGGGAAGGAAGGGAGAGAGAGACTAAAAATTGGTTGATGGCCACCATGTGCCAGGTGCTCCCAATACAGTCTCAAACTCATGACATCTCCCAGCCAATGGATTCACCCCCTTTACCAGTTCCACCTGGAGCTCCATCTCCCAGACAAGCAAAGGCCATGTTGGGGGGCTTTGGAGTCAGCTGCCTGCCATTTCATCTCAGGTGTTACCGTGGGAAAGTTGTTTAACCTCTTTGAGCCTCAGTTCCCTCACATGTAAAATGGACCTACGAGTTTCTCACACAGGGTTGCCCTGGGGCCAGGATTGCCAGATAAAATATAGGATGCCTGGTATAAAAGTTGCATGGGACAGACTTATACTAAATATGCTCCCCAAATTGTTATAGCTCTAAAATATTATGGCTCCAAATCAAATGTCTGAACTCTATGAGACAGAGCAAAAAGCACGAACACAAAGAAGTAACAGGGTCAAGAGAAAAGAGCATGCACTTGGAGGGCAGACATCCAGGAACACCATCTCTGCTCTGTGTCAAGCCAGGCTGTCACTTTAACTGATAATTAAATGCTTCTGTGCCTCGCTGACTCCTCTGTGCCATAGGGACCTAAAGAAAGGCCCTACCTCCCTCACACGGCACAGCTAAGTACTTTGAAAACATTAAAAGCATGAAAACAGTATGTTTTACTCTCTATCTGGGATGGGCCAGGAGCAGTGGCTCACACCTGTAATCCCAGCAGTTTGGGAGGCTGAGGCAGGCAGATCACTTGAGGTCAGGAGTTCACGACCAGCCTGGCCAATATGGCGAAACCCTGTTTCTACTAAAAATACAAAAATTAGCTGGATGTGGTGGCAGGCTCCTATAATTCCAGCTCCTCAGGAGGCTGAGGCAGGAGAATCGCTTGAACCTGGGAGGCAGAGGTTGCAGTGAGCTGAGTTCGCACCACTGCACTCCAGCCTGGGTGACAGAGAAAGACTCCATCTCAAAATAAGTAAATACATAAATATAAATACACAGGATGTGTGCAGTGATATGCCAGGAAGTTCATAGAGTGTCAGTTTTCATCTCTCCCTCCTGCACCAAAAAGCAAACTCATCCATCTAAGAGCACTCAAGACTGAAGGAAACCTTTACAGAAAAATCTAGCCTGTTCCTTCTAATCAGCAGGACTGCACTGAAACCGTCATGGAGATTGGCATCCTTTTCTCTTTCTGAAGACCTCTGGGGAGGCAGATTCTACAAACAGCCTTGGCAGCTGATGTGCTAGCACAGTGTAGGATAACTTATAAATACAGTCAGAGCCAAGGAGGGCCTCCAGAATGCAGCCCAGCATGGTGTGCACTCGTGGAGCCCTGACATACAGCTAAGGAACATTCTGAAAACTCAAGCCATCCCTCTCATCACTCCTCTTCCTTTTAATTGCAATTGACCCTTCAGAAATCAAGTAAATTAAGGGGGAGGGGAAAGAAGAATTTGTGCTAGTAAGACAGATTCCGAAGAATGTAAAATGAAATAATACCAAACACACAGAAATAGAATACTTTAGGCAGAAAGAAAGGGATGAAGAGGTAGAGGGAAGCATTTTTCCTCCCAGTACATAGTAGGTCCTCAATAAACATTTGTTAAATGAATGCATTCTTAGGAAGGACAATCTGCTCATCCATATGAATGAGAAATGTTTTGCTGATACACTATTTGGAAGTGACTGTACTACAGCTGATTTAATGGTAAAGCCATCAAGTCTGCATTTCATCCTTCTACCTGGGTACTGGCTCCAAGAATCTGTTCTCTATCAACACATCAAGACCCTTGACTTAGAGAGCCTCATATACACAGCAGGAATAAAAGGAGAGGAGAAATAGAGAATGAAACTCAGCCTAACCTTCCTCATCTAGCCCTTTTCTAATTCATCCGGTACCTTTTCTAATTCTTCGCAAAGATACTGCGTAAGTTTTCAGAAGCTTTAGCTGGGCCACACCTCCAGGCTTCCAGGATTTGAAGAATTATGTCAATATAGAAACCAGTTTCTGGACAGCGAATAGCAAATCCAAAATCACTCTAAATTGGTGATTGTCAACCAGGATGGTTTTGCTCCTAGGGGACATTTGGCACCACCTAGAGACATATTTTTAAATGGTCACAACTAGCAGTTCTTATTGGCATTTAGTGGGTAGGGGCCAGGGATACTGCCAAAGTGCCTGTAATACACAGGACAGTGGCCCACAACAGAGAATTATCTCAATATCTCAGCAAGGAATTATGTCAACAAAGCCACAATTGAGAAGCACTGTGCTAGATTCAAATCTCTTCTACCGTGTCTTCTCAGACCAAAGTCTTACCCGTGACAACTTATAGTAACCTCTCTGCTTTGGTGTCCACACCTTAATCTACCAAGTCAACAGATATGTACCAAATGCCTATAGCTCTCTACCAGGCATGCAAGCAAGGAAAAAGCAGCAACTTTCCTCAAAATAAAACCACAGAAGTTAGTCAGAAAAGAAAGCGCAAAACAGTGGGTACCTTCTCAAGGAAATAAACCAAACAAAAAATCCAGACAGTAGCCAAGCACAGAAATGCATATAGTGTTTTCATCATTTCTGAGGAAATGAGTTAGAATATGGATGGCTCAGGCCTCCCGGGTTCAATCTGAAGTCTTTTTTTTTTTTTTCTTTTCTTAAGGAAGCTAATAGACAAGAAATTGAGAAAGAATGAGTGGAGGCCGTTTGGTTTAGTATGTTCTCTGGAACACTGTTGCGTTTCCCCCGTAGAAAGAGTTTACAAATGGTAGTTCAGTTCCAGGTCAGCCCAGAAGAGCTTACTGGACAATAGTCCAGCTGAGGTGCCAAAACCACAGGAGTCCGGGGATACACAAGCCCTGAGTTTTCTTGGAAGAAAGAAGGACAAAGGGATTATCTGTTTCTTTTCTCCTTAGACTCCCTAAGTCCCCTTCTCTACACCACCTCTCTCAGAGGTAAGAGTAATCCTAGAAAACCTTCAACTAGTTTTTTTGTTTTAATTTATAAGTAAAGTACATACAAATTAAAAATGTGCTCCTGGAAAAAAAAAAATCCCATCTCAGACCCATATCCTCAGGCTCTTTTCAAAGAGACAAAGTCACTGTTTATTACATTTCTTCCAGAAATACTCTCTGCATATACTCAAACGTATGCATGCATATATCACCTTTCAAATTATAGGCAGAAATGGAAGCATGCAGTCTGTTGTGTACTTTTTTTTCAACTATTTTAAGTTCAGAGGTACACGTGCGGAATGTGCAGGTTTGTTACATAGGTAAACGTGTGTCATAGTGGTTTGCTGTATAGATCAACCCATTACCTAGGTATTAAGCCCAGCATCTATTAGCTGTTTTTCCTGATGCTCTCCCTTCCCCCACCCCCGTGAAGGCACCAGTGTGTGTTGTTTCCCGCCCATATGTCCTTGTGTTCTCATCGTTCAGCTCCCACTTATACATGAGAACATGAGGTATTTGGTTTTCTGTTCCTGAATTAGTTTGCTGTGGATAATGGCTTCCAGCTCCCACCACGTCCCTGCAAAGGTCATGATCTTGTTCCTTTTTATGGCTGCATAGTATTCCATGGGGCATATGTAACACATTTTCTTTATCCAGTCTATTATTGATGGGCATTTGGGTTGATTCCATGTCCTTGCTATTAGGAATAGTGCTGCAATGAACATACGCGTTCATGTATCTTTATAATAGAATGATTTATATTGCTTTGGGTATATACCTAGTAATGGAATTGCTGGGTTAAATGATATTTCTGCTTCTAGATCTTTGAGGAATGGCCATACTGTCTTCCATAATGGTTGAACTAATTTGCACTCCCACCAACACGTATAAAAGCATTCCTTTTTCATTGCAACCTCTCCAGCATCTGTTGTTTCTGGACGTTTTAATAATTGCCATTCTGACTTGGCATGAGATGGTATCTCATTGTGGTTTTTAATTTGCATTTCTCAAATGATCAGTGACGTTGAGCTTTTCTTCATATGTTCGTTGGCTGCATAAATGTCTTCTTTTGAGAAGTATCCATTCATGTCGTTTGCCCATTTTTAATATTTTTTTCCTTGTAAATTGGTTTAGGTTCCTTGTAGACCCTGGAAATTACACCTTCGTCAGGTGGAAAGATTGCAAAATTTTTTCCCCATTCTGTAGGTTGTCTGTTCACTCTGATGATAGTTTGTATTGCTGTGCAGAAGCTCTTAAGTTTAATTAGATCCCATTTGTCAGTTTTTGCTTTTGTTGCAATTGTTTTTGGTATTTTTGTCATGAAATCTTTGCCCATGCCTATGTCCTAAATGGAATTGCCTAGATTTTCTTCTAGGGTTTTCACAGTTTTGGGTTTTACATTTCAGTCTTTAATTCATCTGGAGTTGATTTTTGTATAAGGTGTAAGGAAGGGGGTTACAATTTCCCACATATAGCTAGCCAGTTCTCCCAGCACCATTTATTAAATAGGGAGTCCTTTCCCCATTGCTTGTTTTTGTCAGGATTGTTGAAGATCAGATGGTTGTAGGTGTGTGGTCTTATTTCTGAGTTCTCTATTTTGTTCCATTGGTCTATGTGTTTGTTTTTATACTAATACCATGCTGTTTTGGTCACTGTGGCTCTGTAGTATAGTTTGGAGCTGGGTAGCATGATGCCTCCAGCTTTGTTGCTTCTGTTAGGATTGTCTTCGCTATTCGGGCTATTTTGTTTTGTTTTGTTTTGTTTTTTGGTTCTGTATGAATTTTAAAATAGTCTTTTCTAATTCTTTGAAGAATGTCAATGGTAGTTTAATGGGAACAGCATTGAATCTATAAATTACTTTGTGCAGTATGGTCATTTTCATGATATTGATTCTTCTTATCTATGAGCATAAAATGTTTTTCCATTTGTTTGTTTCCTCTCTGATTTCCTTGAGCAGTGGTTTGTAGTTCTCCTTACGGAGGTCCTTCACTTCCCTTGTTATCTGTATTCCTAGGTATTTTATTCTTTTTGTGTCAATTGTGAATGGGACTTCATTTATGGTTTGGCTCTCTGCTTGCCTGTTGTTGGTATAAAGGAATGCTAGAGATTTTTGTGCATTGATTTTGTAAGTTGAGACTTTGCTGAAGTTGCTTATCAGCTTAAGAAGCTTTTGGGCTGAGATGATGGGGTTTTCTAAATATAGGACATGTCATCTGCAAACAGGGATAGTTTGCCTTCCTCTCTTCCTATTTGAATACTCTTTATTTCTTTCTCTTGCCTGATTGTCCTGGCCAGAATTTCCAATACTATGTTGAATAGGAGTGGTGAGAGAAGGCATCCTTGTCTTGGTACACTTTCTTTTTACCCATAAATCTACCTTACTTCTTTAACGGCTGCAGAATATCCCATGCTATGAATGTACCATTGGTATCAACATTAGGACAGTGACTAGGAATATTTTGAAAAACCAAAAGTTCATCTTTCTCCTCTTACTTACTACCTCTTGTCCCTACCCTTGTCCTCCATATAGAGCTGCCTTGAACCCTTCACCTTATCTCTCTTGACTGGTTTTACTCTATCCCCTTTCCCAAAGGAGTCATCCCCCAAAAGCATGGACTTTCTGACTCCAACCCAAAACTCACCTTCTTTCAGAGTGGCTGGCCTGACTTATTTTATTCCAAAAGAAAGTAATTTGATTCTAACTAATTATTATATGAATTACCACCAACTCCTTAACCCTCACATTTAGAAAGGAGATGTTAACTAAGTTGAACTCATCATTGGAATTCCAGAGAGCAACAACTGATTTAAAAAAAAAAACAAAAAAACAGAAGCTGTCAAGAGCATACAATTATGGGTTGGGATCAGCCATATTGGCTATTATCTCATGTCAGAAAATCTAGGCACAGAGAGCTTCCTCTAACTGATGATATTCTGGGCAATTTCTTCATTTCTTCTAGCTAAAAGTCCAATTACTTTTCAAAAGCTCTAAGGTTTTCCACAATACTCTTAGTAAGGGGCCTGGAAAGAGCAGGCCAGCTGTCTATAGGTATAGGCCATTCATAAATGGGTATCCGTAACATATGGACCCACCGTTCTGAGACTGGCCACGAGTCAATTGAGAAAGAGTATGCCATCACTTGCAGATGCCCACAGGAGAACTTGGACATACAGAAGAGGGATAACTGAGTTGAGACTGGAGTTGTGCAGAATATATGTGTGTGTGTGTGTGTGTGTGTGTGTGTGTGTATGTGTGTAACTACATAATATATTAATATACGTACAGACATAATTTTAAAAGAGCACAAATGGAAACACATACATAACACAAACGCAGTTACATTAAGAGTGGGGGCCAGAGGGTCCTTTTATCACCTACTGTCAGTGAAGGGATCCAAAATGGTCACAAGAGTCTTCTCCTGCCAGTTTCCAGGCCCTATCCTGACGGCAAACACCAGGACGGTGTCTTTAATCAGAGCTGGCCCAAGGCCCATCACCCTGTAATGTGAAAGCTGTCTACTTTAGCCAAACTTTTCGATCAGGACAGGTACTCTTCTTTTGAAAATCCAAGGCGGAGAGGAAAAACGGCTAGGTCTGAACCCTCAGGATGTGCCAGGGCAGTACAAGTGTGGATGGCATCAGATGGTAGGGGGCAGAGAGAGTACCAGGCCAGGGCGGAACTGCACTGAGGGCCATTAGGGCCTTTTGGGGGCCAGGTAAGTGGCCTCAGATGGTGACAGCTACATGGTCCTGGGTAAGTCTGTTCTGGTTGGTTTCATTTGGATCTGGAGGGTCCTACAGGGCAGCCCTGAAGAACATCAAACTGGAGGCACACAGAGTACCAGGCTCCAGGGTCTTTGCCATAAACATAAGAAGCAGGGAAAACAAGAGGCTGACTTTGACAAACTCTTGTGCACTCAAATGTAAAGGGCAGGAGAAGAAAACCAGGTCAGTGGGAGACAGTTGAACCCTGCCACCCCCGGTGGATGGATGATGCCTGTCACCTAAATAGGGCCTAGCTTGTGGGGTGAGGCCAGTCACCATGGTGGATGTGAATGGCCCATGTGCAATCTGGAGGCTACAGAGAGAGAGCCCTAGGCACAAGTTTCTCAAACAACAGAAGAAGAAATGACCTGGCATGTGAAGTCCGATGTATAGATGCCACTATCCAAGCACCTATTCTTACTGTAACCTTAAGCTATTATAAAAGCATCAGCCATCTTGCCTTTGAGTTCTTATATTTTGTATGCCTCATATACATTAATAAATCTGCCTGCCTCTCCTTGTATTCATCTGCCTTTTGTGGGTTGATTTTCAGCATCATTTCACAGGGTGAAGTGGAAGTTGGCTCTTGGCCCATGCAACACATCTATTCATAAAGAAATATAGATATATTTAATTACATATATGTATTTATACATATATAAACAACTATATGTACATATAAAACAAACATAAATCACAAACACAAACAAACACACTGATGTAAATGCATTTATGCAGGGGCCACTAGGCCCTCTTGCCACCTGCTGACAGGGAAGGGAAATGCGAAAGCTACAGGAGTCTTTCTCTGCCATATCCACGTGACCTTACAGTGATGGCAAACACTGGCCCAGCATGTTTTAACCAGACCCAGCCCAGGTGCCACCACCCTCCAGTGCGAAAGCTGTCCACATCCCTAGAATCTGGCAATCAGGATAGGTGCTCTCCTTCTGAAGACCTTAAGTAAGCACATGCGTGGAGTTCCGGTTCAAGTGGGTAGAGAAGAGGCTCTCCCCAGAGAGAAAGAAAGGTGAGGTCTGAGACTTCAGGACGTGCTGTGGGACAGTGTAAATATGGCTGAAGTAAGATGGCCAGATGCTGGAAGGACAGCGAGGCTGGGGAAGGCCTGCACTGAGGACCATTTATAACTTTCAGGAACCAGGAAAATGGCCTCAGACAATGAAGCCACCCAGTCCTGAGTAAGCCTGTTCTGGCCTTTTCATCTGGATCTACAGAACCCTACAGGGCAGGCCTAAGGAACACGTAAGTGTCAAGGAGCTGTTTGGGGAGCTAAGTCTATGAGGCTTCTTCCATCTGTATAAAACATATAGAAAACAGGGTTCTGGCCTTCTACACTCCAAAATAGGTGGCAGGTGAGGAAGAACAAGCCAGAGTAAGTCTTTTTCACACTGCCACCCAGGTGGACAGATAATGCCTGTCACCAAACTAAACCCTGGCTTGTGCTGTGATGTGGGGCTATTGTGGCAGATGTGAATGGTGCGTACACAAGCTGGGAAGCTACAGAGAGCCTTGAGGCCCCAAGCTGGGCATCTGGCCTTGGTCAGAAGCATTGCTAGCTTCTCAGCTGGGCTCTGCATTCAAAGGCTAGGCTGAGGAGTGTGTGGCCCTAGAAAAAGCCCTGTGTTTTCTGCTCTTAAAATCTCATGGAAGTAGAGACCAGATAGGACTTGAATGGAAGGCCACCCGATATTACCTGGTTCCATAGGCTTTTGTCATCCCCATTCTCCCCAGTACAGCCAGCCAACTCTCTCTGCTGTATCCTAGAGCACCAGGAGGCTAATAATCAGTGCTGGAGTGGGACACAGAGGATAAAACCAAGTCTCAGAGGTAAGTGGCTAGGCAGGCAGTGGCTCTTCTGCCTCATTCCCTCTGCATGAACATTGTGGGGAGGTGGTCTGGGTGATAGCCACCCTTTGGAATCTCCCTCCTCCTCACTGAGGAATAGCAAGACCCTGACATCTGTGAGGACCCTACCAACATGGCCTCTGTGAGCAGTCACTCAGCAACCCACCACCTCTGCTCTGGATCTTTGGTACAAATTTTGATGATTTCTGGGGGTGCTGTAGGGCCATCACGTGCCTTCACAGTAAATGTGCAGGAACCAGGTTTTTTTTTGGCAGGAAGAGAAGTATTAATAGCAAGAACTCCTCAGCAGCAAAGCCTCATCAAGAAAGAATGAGTTGTGCTCAGGTGTTCCCTTCAAAAGTGCTTCCTCGCTGCTGCTTCTGCACCTCACTTGAGTGGCGAGAATCTTCTGTGAGGCAAGCCTCAGTCCTGTCTGCGTGGACACTCACCACCCAGCTGTCTCCATCAGAAAGTCTGGCCCAGGCCCTTTCCTGGGAACCAGAGACCCCTCTGCTCTTCTCCTCCAGACCCTGTGGAATAGCGGGGAAGAGGGGAAGGTGGAACATGAACTCTCTTCCTGCTCCTCCAGGATGCCAAGCCAGCTTCCGCTGCTTTTACCAACCTCACACTCCACCCCCTTCCTCTCCTTTATAAGCCCCTGGGGCCCTTCAAGAAACAAAACAAAACATTTTTTAAAATGTGCAGGTCCATTTTACTTCCACCCTGCCATGTCGCTTCCCTGAAGTAACACTGCATAAGTTCTTCCATCGGCTTGTTGGGGAGGAAGTTTCATCTGCTTGTGGAAAAGACAAGACAAACAAGGGATACCATTTAATATTTTAAAGACATACTATTTAAGGAAACCTATCATAAAGACACCGATTTACAAAGCCCACTATTTTGGTATAAATTTGTCAACCTAAAATAATCAAAGGACAAGAATCCCATTTTGAAGAGTTTATACCAGTGAAATGCTAGGAATGGCTTCTTAGCCTGTAAAGTGTAAGAGTGGAAGAAATAGTGCACTGAATTGAGTTCATCATCTCAGTTCGTCATTGGAAATCACCTCTCATTTTTCTCTATTTTCCACCGTTTTTTACCTCACTTGAATTTTCTAATTTTTCCACATAGGTTTTTACTGTCATGTGCTTGATATATGGCCCTGGAGATGTCTTTGAAAGTTACATAACGCTGTGCTTTCTGTGCGCATCTTTTATTTTTATTTTTGAGACAGGATCATCTCACTTTGTCACCCAGGCTGGAATGCAGTGGCACAATCTCAGTTCACTGCAGCCTCAACTTCACAGGCTCAAGTGATCCTTTCACCTCAGCCCCCAAAAAGTAGCTGGGACTACAGGCAGGCGCCACCAGGCCTGGCTAATTTTTCTATTTTTAGTAGAGACGGGGTTTCACCATGCTGCCGAGGCTCATATTACACTCCTGGACTCAAGTGGTACACCCTCCTCGGTCTCCTGAAGTGCTGAGATTACAAGTGTGAGCCGCTGCACCCGGCCATGTGCGTATCTTTTAAATATACGTAAGTTATTTATGTCTAGATAGCCATCTGCTTCTTAGAATATGCTTAATGTATTTGCACATCATTTTAAGCCTACCAATGGTGCTTTGTGAGTATGTATTGTGCACATATGTACATAAATATATATTTCATGTGGAATATATAGTTCATATATGCATATTACATCATGAATTTGTTTATAATAGCTGTTCCATGTCTTATGCATGAAATCTCCAAGTAAAGGGCATCTAAATTCAGTACAATTAGAAGTAGAATAAACTGTTGCAAATAAGATCTTTGAAAATGTCCTCTGATAGACTTCTGTGGCTGCTTCTCAGGGGAATATACCCAGGATGTGATGGTCAGGACGTAAAGTATACACATAATAATTTTCCCTAAGTACTAAGAAAATAATCTCCAAAGGAGTCTGCATCCTTGAAGTAAAACATGAACATGCCCATATCCTCACATTGTCACTAATGTTTGGCGTAATCCAAATTTCTAAAGTTAATAAACAAATATAAAGTGTTATTTTGTGTCACTTATTAGGTCACTAATATTTCTGAGTTGCTGTTCACATATTTCTAACCCATTAAAGTTTCCTCTACTTTGAATTACCTCTTCATATTGTGTTCAGAGTCTGCATTTCCCAAGTTTTTTCTAGGTAATATAAGAGTACCTTAAAAAGGTATTATTACTGTTGTAGAAGGAGTATTATGTGTGTCAAAGGATCCTAGTTTCTTTTTAATATTTATTGAATATTAAATAATAAATATTTAATATTTATTAAATCCCATTTTCCCTTAGAACGCCACACAGTCAGCTGAGAACATTATCATTTACGTAAACACTACGTTTCTTAGCCTCCCTTGGAGGTCATTGCGACCATGGAACTAAATTTGGGAAAGTGAGATGAAGGCACGATTATTTGCCTGTGACTTCCAGGGTCTTTCCTTACAGGAGGGTATCTTTTGTCCTTTCTACTCCTCTTTCATTACTGCAGCTTGGATGCACTTACATTTCCTGGAGCTCCAGCAGCTCTATGTGACTATTAGTAAATGAGACATGCCCTAAGTAAAGCTGGGGGAGTGTGGAGTCCCAGTGGCTCATGAGGCACAGCTGCCACACCAAACCCGGATGGCCAAGCCTCTGTCTAATTTTGTGTGAGCAAGAAGTATACTAACTTGTTTAGGTGACTGCTATTTGGGAGCTCTTCTGCCACCTTCAATTGAGCCTCTTTTTTCACAAAATTATTGTTTATTCAATAAGAACACATTTATCTTGAAATACTTTGTTTTTTTTTAAACTTTTATTTTAAATTCAGGGGTACATGTGCAGGATGTGCAGGTTTGTTACATAGGTAAACGTGTCATAGGAGTTTTTTGTACATATTATTTCATCACCCAGGTATTAAACCTAGTATCCATTAGTTATTTTTCCTGATGCTCTCCCTCCTCACCCTCCATCCTCTGGTAGGCCCCAGTGTGCATTGTTCCTTTCTTTGCGTCCATATGTTCTCATCATTTAGCTCCCACTTATAAGTAAGAACATTTGGTATAATATTTGGATTTCTGTTCCTGCATTACTTTGCTAAGGATAGTGGCCTCCAGCTCCATCCATGTCCCTGCAAAGGTCGTGATCTTATTCTTACTTTTTATAACTGCATAGTGTTTCGTGGTGTATATATACCACATTTTCTTTATCCAGTCTATCACTGATGGGCATTTAGATTGATTCCACATCTGTGCTATTGTGAATAGTGCTGCAATGGACGTATGCATGCATGTGTCTTTATAATAGAATGATTTACATTCCTTTGGTTATATACCCAGTAGTAAGATTGCTTGGGTGAATGTTATTTATTTCTCTAGGTCTTTGAGGAATCATCACACTGTTTTCCACAATGGTTGAACTAATTTATATTCCCATCAACAGTATAAAAGTGCTCCTTTTTCTCCATAACCTTGCCAGCACCTGTTATTTTTGGACTTTTTAATAATCGCCATTCTGACTGGTGTGAGACTGCATGTATGTCTTCTTTTGAAAAGTGTCTTTTCATGTCCTTTGCCCACTTTTTAGTGGGGTTGTTTTGAATTTGTTTAAGTTTCTTTTTTATTTTACTTTATTTTATTTATTTTTTCTTTTCTTTTCTTTTCTTTTCTTTTTTGAGATAGAGTCTCACTCTTTTGCCCAGGCTGGAGTGCCGTGGTGCAGTCTCGGCTCACTGCAACCTCCGCCTCCTGGGTTCAAGCAATTCTTCTGCCTCAGCCTCCCGAGTAGCTGGGATTACAGGCATGCGCCACCACGCCCAGCTAATGTTTATATTTTGACTAGAGATGTGGTTTCATCATGTTGGCCAGGCTGGTCTTGAACTTCTGACCTCAGGTGATCCTCCTGCCTTGGCCTCCCACAGTGCTGTGATTACAGGTGTGAGCCACCATGCCCAGCCAAGTTTCTTACAGATGCTAGATATTAGACCTTTGTTAGATGCATAGTTTGCAAAACTTTTCTCTCATTCTTTAGGTTGTCCGTTTACTCTGCTGTTAGTTTCTTTTGCTGTGCAGAAGCTCTTTAGTTTAATTGGATCCCATTTGTCAATTTTGGCTTTCGTTGCAATTGCTTTTGGCATCTTTGTCATGAAATCTTTGCCCATGTCTATGTTCCGAGTGGTATTGCCTAGGCTTTCTTCTAGGATTTTTATAGTCTGGGGTTTTACATTTAGGTCTTTAATTCATCTTGAGCTGATTTTTATATAAGGTGTGGGGCTGGAGTCCAGTTTCAATTTGCACATATGGCTAGCCAGCTTTCCCAGCACCATTTATTAGAGAATCCTTTCTCCATTGCTTGTTTTTGTCGGGTTTGTGAAATATCAGATTGCTGTAGGGGTGTAGTCTTATTTCTGGGTTCTCTATTCTGTTCCATTGGTCTATGTGTCTTTTCTTGCACCAGTGCCATGCTGCTTTGGTTACTGTAGACCTGTAGTATAGTTTGAAGTTGAAGAGCATGATGCCTCCAGATTTTTCTTTTTGCTGAGAATTGCCTTGGCTCTTCAGGCTCTCTTTGGGTTCCACATGAATTTTAAAATATTTTTTTTTCTATTTCTGTGAAGAACTTCCATGGTAGTTTAATGGGAATAGCATTGGATCAATAAATTATTTTGGGCAGTATGGCCGTTTTCATAATATTGATTCTTCCTATACATGAGCATGGAATGTTTTTCCATTTGTATCCTCTCTGATTCCTTTGAGCAGTGGTTTGTTGTTCTCTTTGTAAAGGTCCTTCACTTCACTTGTAACCTGAATTACTAGGTACCTTATTCTTCTTGTAGCAATTGTGAGTGGGAGCTCACTCATGATCTGGCTCTCAGCTTGATTGTTGTTGGTGTATAGAAATGCTATAACAATTTTTGCACATTAATTTTGTAACTTGAGACTTTGCTGAAGTTGCTTATCAGCTTAAGAAACTTTGGGGGCTGGGCGCGGTGGCTCATGCCTGTAATCCCAGCACTTTGGGAGGCCGAGGTGGGTGGATCATGAGGTCAGGAGACCAAGACCATCCTGGCTAACATAGTGGCTAACCCCGTCTCTACTAAAAATAGAAAAAATTAGCCAGACGTCGTGGCACACACCTGTAGTAGCAGCTACTCAGGAGGCTGAGGCAGGAGAATCGCTTGAACCCGGGAGGCGGAGGTTGCAGTGAGCCAAGATTGTGCCACTGCACTCCAGCCTGAGCGACACAGCAAGACTCCATCCCAAAATAAATAAATAAATAGCTTTTGGGCTGAGATGATGGGGTCAAACAGGGATAGTCTGACTTCCTCTCTTCCTACTCAAATACATTTTATTTCTTTCTCTTGCCTAATTGCCCTGGCCACAACTTCCAATACTATATTGAATAGGAGTGGTGACAGAGGGCATCTTTGTGTCAGTTTTCAAGGGGAATGCTTCCAGCTTTGGCCCATTCAGTATGATATTGGCTGTGGGTTTGTCATATATGGCTCTGATTATTTTGAGGTACGTTCCTTCAATACATAGTTTATTGAGAGTTTTTAACATGAAGGTTGTTAAATTTTATCAAAGCCTTTTCTGCATCTATTGACATAATCCTGTGGCTTTTGTCTTTAGTTCTGTTTATGTGATGAATCACATTTATTGATTTGTGTATGTTGAACCAACCTTGCATCCCAGGGATGAAGCCTACTTGATCACGGTGGATAAGCTTTTTGATGTGCTGCTGGATTCGGTTTGCCAATATTTTATTGAGGATTTTTGCATCAATGTTCATCAAGCATATTGGCCTGAAGTTTTCTTTTTTTTGTTGTATCTGTGCCTGGTTTTTGGTATCAGGATGATGTTGGCCTCATACAATGTTAGGAAGGAGTCCCTCCTTTTCAATTGTTTTGGAATATTTTCAGCAGGAATGGTACCAGCTCTTCTTTGTACATTTGGTAGAATTGAGCTGTGAATCTGTGTGGTACTGGGCTTTTGTTTTTTTTTTTTTCTGGTTGGTAGGCTATTTATTATTGCCTCAATTTCAGAACTCATTATTGGTCTATTCAGGGATTCGATGATTCAATCTTGGAAGGGTGTATGTGTCCAGGAATTTATCCATTTCTTCTAGATTTTCTAGTTTATGTGCATAGAGATGTTTATAATATTCTCAGATGGTTGTATTTCTGTGGGGTCAGTGGTAATATCACCCTTATTATTTCTGATTGTGTTTATTTGAATCTTCTCTCTTTTCTTCCTTATTAGTCTAGCTAGTGGTCAATCTATTTTATTACTTTTTTTCAAGAAACCAGCTCCTCGATTCATTGATCTTTTGAATGTTTGAGTGTGTGTGTGTGTGTGTGTGTGTGTGTGTGTGTGTCCCTATCTTCTTCAGTTCAACTCTTATTTTGGTTGATTCCTGTCTTCTAGATTTGAGGTTTGTTTGCTCTTGGTTCTCCAGTTCTTTTAGTTGTGATGTTAGGTTGTTAACTTGAGATTTTTCTAGCTTTTGAATAAGGTCATTTAGAGGTATAATTTCCCTCTTAACATTGCCTCAACTGTGTCCCAGAGATTCTGGTACATTGTCTCTTTGTTCTCATCGGTTTCAAAGAACTTCTTGATTTCTGCCTTAATTTCATTATTTAGCCAGGAGTCATTCAGGAGCAGGCTGTTCAATTTCCATGTAGTTGTGGGACACTTCTGAGCTTCATGAGCTCTTGTAAAGTTGGTCTGGTGGTAACAAATTTTCTCAGCATTTGCTTGTCTGAAAAGGAGCTTATTTCTCCTTTGCTTATGAAGCTTAGTTTGGCTGGATATGAAACTCTGGCCTGGAGTTTATTTTCACACATTCACTCATCACTTCCCTGCGCAGGCGAAGGGGTTCCCCTTGGCTCTTTGTCGCTTCTGGGTGGGCTGTCACCCTGCCCGGCTTTTTTCCATTCTCCATGGGTGGAGCTGTTTTCCTGATCAGTTCCAATGTGAGTACTTGGATATTTCAGTTGAAGGTGCTGTGTTTACTCATCCCTCTCATTCTTTTCTGTGAGAGCCATGCACCATAGCTGCTTCTAGTTGGCCTTCTTGGCCCCCTTCTGGCTGAGCCTAATTCTGTGTAATAGAGGTTGTACATAGATATGCCCTAGAAACACAGATTATAGAGAAGGATCATACAATATGATCATACAATATGATCCTTACATATGCACATACACGTGTAATATGGCTTTGCATGTGTCATGCATCAGTCAAAATTATTCTGTTTTTTACTTCAGGGTATTTTGACTATAGTGTTTCATATGTGTTTCTATTTTTCTCTGTATCACCATTTTAGATCATTGAATGGACTGCTGGGCTAGACCTGGAAAATTCTTCTGCCAAGTGTACTATATGTCTAGGTTCATGTCACTGTGTGATATCGGTGTCCTTGTGACAACTGTAGGGGGATATAAGAGCAACAGTGAAATAAAGTCATCTCTCACAGCTGGCATGTATATTCCTATAAATTTATGTGAACAGGAAAATAGACACAAATTGGAACCATGGAATTCAAAAAACGGTCTCTTAAATGAAGTCACAGAAACTACTTGGAAATTTAATTTAAAATGTTGAACTCTGTCCTCAATTGTATGCACCTCTGCACAACAGGTCTATCTTGTGGAAGGGCAAGGTATTTCTTCTCACATTTTTTTTCCTTCTGTCTTCTAAAGAGCTTCATGTGAAAGCAGAAGACTCATGAGAAGACATCTAGAGACTAGCCCTAAAGTGCTTTTCTCCACAGGAATGTCACCCAGGCACTACATCCAGGAGTCTCAGGTGCCACTGGGTTCCCATCCTCAGTGAGGCAGAGCTGGGAGAAGGCACGCAGCATTCAAATTTCCTTCAAGTCACTTGCTTAAGGTATACATTGAAGGTTCAAACTAAATTTGAAATCCTTTTTTTGTTGTTTTTTACAATTAGCACTTTTTTGTTATTTTTTTATATATTTTTTATTATACTTTAAGTTCTAGGGTACATGTGCACGACGTGCACGTTTGTTACATATGTATACATGTGCCATGTTGGTGTGCTGCACCCATTAACTCGTCATTTACATTAGGTATATCTCCTAATGCTATCCCTCCCCCATACCTCCAGCCCACAACAGGACCCAGTGTGTGATGTTCCCCACCCTGTGTCCAAGTGTTCTCATTGTTCAATTCCCACCTATGAGTGAGAACATGTGGTGTTTGGTTTTTTTTCCTTGTGATAGTTTGCTGAGAATGATGGTTTCCAGCTTCATGCATGTCCCTAAATAGGACATGAACTTATCATTCTTTATGGCTGCATAGTATTCCATGGTGTATATGTGCCACATCTTCTTAATCCAATCTATCATTGATGGACATTTGGGTTGGTTCCAAGTCTTTGCTATTGTGAATAGTGCCACAATAAACATACGTGTGCATGTGTCTTTATAGCAGCATGATTTCTAATCCTTTGGGTATATACCCAGTAATGGGATGGCTGGGTCAAATGGTATTTCTAGTCCTAGATCCTTGAGGAATCACCACACTGTCTTCCACAATGGTTCAACTAGTTTACAGTCCCACCAACAGTGTAAAAGTGATCCTATTTCTCCACATCCTCTCCAACACCTGTTGTTTCCTGACTTTTTAATGATCGTCATTGTAACTGGTGTGAGATGGTATCTCATTGTCGTTTTGATTTGCATTTCTCTGATGGCCAGTGATGATGAGCATTTTTTCATGTGTCTGTTGGCTGCATAAATGTCTTCTTTTGAGAAGTGTCTGTTCATATCCTTTGCCCACTTTTTGATGGGGTTGTTTGTTTTTTTCTTGTAAATTTGTTTGAGCTCTTTGTAGATTCTGGATATTAGCCCTTTGTCAGATGAGTAGATTGCAAAAATTTTCTCCCATTTTGTAGGTTGCCTGTTCACTCTGATGGTAGTTTCTTTTGCTGTGCAGAAGCTCTTTAGTTTAATTAGATCCCATTTGTCAATTTTGGCTTTTGTTGCCATTGCTTTTGGTGTTTTAGACATGAAGTCTCTGCCCATGCCTATATACTGAATGATATTGCCTAAGTTTTCTTCGAGGGTTTTTATGGTTTTAGGTCTAACATTTAAGTCTTTAGTCCATCTTGAATTAATTTTTGTATAAGGTGTCAGGAAGGGATTCAGTTTCAGCTTTCTACATATGGCTAGCCAGTTTTCCCAGCACCATTTATTTAATAGGGAATCCTTTCCCCATTTCTTGTTCTTGTCAGGTTTGTCAAAGATCAGATGGTTGTACATGTGTGGTATTATTTCTGAGGGCTCTGTTCTGTTCCATTGGTCTATATCTCTGATGGGACGTATCTCAAAATAATAAGAGCTATTTATGACAAACCCACAGCCAATATCATACTGAATGGGCAAAAACTAGAAGCATTCCCTTTGAAAACTGGCATAAGACAGGGATGCCCTCTCTCGCCACTCCTATTCAACATAGTGTTGGAAGTTCTGGCCAGGGCAATCAGGCAGGAGAAAGAAATAAAGGGTATTCAATTAGGAAAAGAGGAAGTCAAATAGTCCCTGTTTGCAGATGACATGATTGTATATCTAGAAAACCCCATTGTCTCGGCCCAAAATCTCCTTAAGCTGATCAGCAACTTCAGCAAAGTCTCAGGATACAAAATCAATGTGCAAAAATCACAAGCATTCTTATACACCAATAACAGACAGAGAGCCAAATCATGAGTGAACTCCCATTCACAATTGCTTCAAAGAGAATAAAATACCTAGGAATCCAACTCACAAGAGACGTAAAGGACCTCTTCGAGGAGAACTACAAACCACTGCTCAATGAAATAAAAGAGGACACAAACAAATGGAAGAACATTCCATGCTCATGGATGGGAAGAATCAACATTGTGAAAATGGCCATACTGCCCAAGGTAATTTATAGATTCAATGCCATCCCCATCAAGCTACCAAAGACTTTCTTCACAGAATTGGGAAAAACTACTTTAAAGTTCATATGGAACCAAAAAAGAGCCCGCATTGCCAAGTCAATCCTAAGCCAAAAGAACAAACCTGGAGGCATCATGCTACCTGACTTCAAACTATACTACAAGGCTACAGTAACCAAAACAGCATGGTACTGGTACCAAAAGAGAGATAAATTGGAAATCTAACAGAAGCATTCAGAACTACATGTCAAGCCCAAGTCACTTTTAGATATTTGAGAATGTGTACAAACCATATGGGTGTACTTTCCCCAAAAGTGTGTTTTTTGCAGTAGTGGTTAGGAGTATTCTTTTGTGAGATGGTATTTTTCTTAAGCAACCACCATTTAGATTCTTAGTTCTCTTAACTTTTAGGTTAACAACTCAATACATCTTCCAAGTGTCCTCGTATACTTTTTCCGGTTTGACTATTAGTTTAGGTGGTGCCTATGGCCCATTTAAACTCGGAGACTCTGAGGCTCTGATGTGTATCCATCTGGTTAGAGTATGTATGAGTAAAGCCAAGGTCAGTCAATGACTTGACCTCACTACCTTTTCCAAAATTTCTAGTTCTAACATTGGCTAGCAATTTTGAATGCTTGTCAGACAAATACCTCAGAGTCCTTGCCCTGCTAATGCAGTCATTATTAAGAGTGAAAATTACATTGTGTTGCCTTATTTAATGATGTAATGCTGAGTAAGCATTTATAGAGCACCTATTCTGGGAAAGATTAAAAATATACAAAGTGATAATAAATGGTCTCGTCTTAAGAAGCTTAAGAGGAAATATGACATATTAACAAGTTGCCATGAATTAAGGCATCATATAATAATACAATAAGAGAGTATAAACTATTTTAATAAACATGTTCTACAAAATGGAGCATTTGGATCCTGAAAGGGGGCTAGAATTTAAAAGTATGAGTTGAGAGAGAAAGCATTCCAGTCAGAGGTACCAGCAGAAAAAGTAGCTCTGAGACAGGCATTGGAATTATCAAATATATTTTTCTTCAGATTTTATGAAAGTATGCTTATCCATGAATGCTGAAGTGCTTATCTATGTCAACATTTTGTTAAAGAGTTACTCAAGCTCAGAAAATATAGGGAAATTTTATTTATATTTTCTCAGAAAATATATTTATTTAATTTAATTTTCTCAGAAAATATATTTATTTCTATATTTTCTCAGAAAATATATTTATTTCTATATTTTCTCAGAAAATATATTTATTTCTATATTTTCTCAGAAAATATATTTATTTCTATATTTTCTCAGAAAATATATTTATTTCTATATTTTCTCAGAAAATATATTTATTTCTATATTTTCTCAGAAAATATATTTATTTCTATATTTTCTCAGAAAATATATTTATTTCTATATTTTCTCAGAAAATATATTTATTTCTATATTTTCTCAGAAAATATATTTATTTCTATATTTTCTCAGAAAATATATTTATTTCTATATTTTCTCAGAAAATATATTTATTTCTATATTTTCTCAGAAAATATATTTATTTCTATATTTTCTCAGAAAATATATTTATTTCTATATTTTCTCAGAAAATATATTTATTTCTATATTTTCTCAGAAAATATATTTATTTCTATATTTTCTCAGAAAATATATTTATTTCTATATTTTCTCAGAAAATATATTTATTTCTATATTTTCTCAGAAAATATATTTATTTCTATATTTTCTCAGAAAATATATTTATTTCTATATTTTCTCAGAAAATATATTTATTTCTATATTTTCTCAGAAAATATATTTATTTCTATATTTTCTCAGAAAATATATTTATTTCTATATTTTCTCAGAAAATATATTTATTTCTATATTTTCTCAGAAAATATATTTATTTCTATATTTTCTCAGAAAATATATTTATTTCTATATTTTCTCAGAAAATATATTTATTTCTATATTTTCTCAGAAAATATATTTATTTCTATATTTTCTCAGAAAATATATTTATTTCTATATTTTCTCAGAAAATATATTTATTTCTATATTTTCTCAGAAAATATATTTATTTCTATATTTTCTCAGAAAATATAGAAAATATAGGGAATTTTTAGTTTATATTCTTTGATTTTACCATGAATCTGAATTTCTGTTATTTAATTGTTTAAATAGTTACTATAATTTTTGTGTTAAAGATAACACATTATAGAATATCTAATTTACTTATCACCTTCAGGAAAATCAAATAAGCATTTGTGAAGTGTCAACTATTTTCTCTGCAGTGGTGCTTTTCAAACTACCCAGAGTGAAAGACTTTTATTTTTTGTAAAATGTAAAATATTGTGGCAATGTCAGATTGCTATAAAAGGTTTTCAAATCTGTACTTCCAGGTACTTCAAAATTAGTTTGCAGATTAGTACCAGTGGTCTTAGTACAATTTGAGTAGCTACAGTAAGTAAGGAGTTGATACAAAAGAAATACAGCATATTGTCACCATCATTGGTATAAGAATGTTGTGGGGAGGACTAGGCTTACCTATGTAACCAGTGGAAAATGCAGCATATGGTACAATTACTAAAGATAAATATAGACATAAAGAAGAGCGATGATAAAACTGTTCTGGATCCCAGTTAAAATCTTTGGGGTTACTGCTTAACTCTCTGGACTCACAGCCCCGACCCACCATCCCCAATGTGCAGTTTCACTCATGGAAAAAAAGTGTCTAGACCAGCAGCTGAGGATGCATTTACTCTATGTTCAGCCCACTCAAAATACAGTTCTGTAATCAGAATACAAAAACAACCACCAACAACAACATCAGCCCAACTTTCTTTACTGTGTTTCATTTAATGCTGAAATCAGACAATGATTAGAACATGAAACTTTGTTTGAAAAAGTATATTCAATAAATTTTGTATTTAAAACAGAGCTCTTGACCTATAAAGTATAAAAAGTAATTACAATGAAATATTCTTCAGTAAATCTGACACTTTGGGATTCCAGGCAAAAGGATCGCTTGGGTGCCAAGAGTTCAAGACCAGCCTGGTCAACATAGTGAGATTCTATCTCTGAAAAAAAAAAAGAACAAAAAACAAAAGTTAAACAAATCAGTAAATCTGAGATGCACTGGTATAATTCACTGGCTTGCCCAGTTGGTACTCTCTTAGCCGTGGCTATTCCTGATGACTAACTGGCAGTAAAAGCCAGGAAATTATGGAGGTCTACTGAGGAGTCCCCTCTCGAAGTGAAGTTTTCCCATTATTTACACTTAAGAAAAAATTAATGTGAGATTGGATTTTAAACATCCCCATTAAAAACAGAAGAATGGAGGGAAGAAGGTGGGTGGGGAGGGAGAGAGAGAGCTGAATAAAACATTTACTTTATCATTTATCTTTTAAAGTCACATGGAATGCCAATTCCAAAATCACTTAATTTTTAGAACCACTGCAATCTAAACACTGTCATCAGAAACATGCCAAGTGTTGGTTCTCTGTGGTAGGTCTCCCATCTTACTTATATTTTCACTGTATTAAACTTTACCCTTGCATGGGTTTACCCTCCAGCCTCTGAGCCTTCATTAACTAGGACCCTATCTACCTGCATGTTTTGCTCTCCACTTTCTTTGCCATTCACTGGCCCCTTCTTTAGTGTTTGGTCTTCAGGTCGCCACTTTCCCTTTTAGCTAATTCCATTACTCTGATTTTCTCTGTTCCTTTAGCTACCCTATCCTAGAACAACTCTCCCAGGGATGAAAATGGGGACTTCAGAATTGAGAAATAAAAGGGAAGATGTTATGACAACCTTCCTATCTTATTTTTTGGTAAATCCACTCTTTCCCTGTCTCTATCTCTCTCTCACACACACACACACACACACTCACACACACACAGAAATTTACAGGGTAAGAGAGATTAGGAAGATAATTTTGGTGGTAGAGTCAAGAAGAGGTTGAAGAGGTGCTAATATTAAAAGAGAGATTTGAATAAAATGTTTTTAGAATTCATAGGCATTATGATATTCTATTGTAAAATGCTATTGGTTAAAATTATCTTTGTATGGGCAAACTGAGTCTCTGTCTCCAGCTGTCTGTGAACAAGCTATTCAGTTCACTAAACCTCAGCACCTCATCTGTGGAATGAGCACCATAGTAGCTCCTGTCATAAAGGTTAAATGATTTTGTAAAGGACAGATTACAAAGCATATATAAAGTATTTGATTTTTTGTTATTAAAATACTTATAATGTCTGTAATATTTTTAAAGTAAAGAGGTATAATGATTTATACTTCTGTTTATTCTAGAAACTGATTCTTAGTTGAGCTCGGAGGTTTTTCAACTTTTCTTTCAAATATTGAGATAAATAACATTGATCTATCTATTTATCTATCTATCTATTTTGAGATAGGATCCTACTTTGTCACCCAGGCTGAAGTGCAGTGGCCTTTGTCTTCCAGGCTCAGGTAGGATCCTCCTACCTCATCCTCCCAAATATCTGGGACTACCAGTGTGTGACACCACCCCCAGCTAATGTTTTTGATTTTTTTGTAGAGATGAGGTCTCACTATGCTGACAAAGCTGGTTTTGAACTCAAGTAGTCCTCGTGTCTTGGCCTCCCAAAATGCTGAGATTACAGGCATAAGCCACTGTGCCTGTACTTTTATTTTATGTAGATCACCATCCCTTACTGAGTATCACATAACTGTTATTATAAATCTTGAATAAGAGATTACATGTTTTGGCCAGGCACGGTGGCTCATGCCTGTAATCCCAGCAATTTTGGAGGCCAAGGTGGGCAGATCACCTGAGGTCAGGAATTCGAGACCAGCCTGGCCAAAATGGTGAAACCCCATCTCTACTCAAAATACAAAAAAAAAAAAAAAAAAAAAAAAAAAATTAGCCAGGTATGGTGGCACATGCCTGTAGTCCCAGCTACTGGGGAGGCTGAGGCAGAAGAATTGCTTGAACTCAGAAGGCAGAAGTTGCAGTGAGCTAAGACCATCCCACTGCACTCCAGCCTGGGCAAATGAGTGAGAATCCATCTTAAAAAAAAAAAAAGACTACATATTTCATACAGTATTCCAAAACCAAAAACAACACTATGCTTTGCTTTTCGTTACCATGAATCTATAAGTTATTAAGCTTTCAGTACTGCAAATATTGTCACATATTAACAGTTTGACTTGAAAATACGTGTAATTTCTACTAAAAATAGAAAAGAAAGGCCTTGTCTTTAGAAGCTTCCAAGGAACATTATAACAGAAGTTATATTTTCCACAATTTGGGTTCAATTAATCTTATATATTGCAATTGACTTAAATAAAATTTTAATTTTTGAACACTTTAAGGTTTACAGAAACATCGTGAAAATAGTATAATATTCCTGGTAAGTACCCAAACTCTGCTTTCTCTATTACTAAAATTTTATATTAGTGTGGTGCATTCATTACAATTAAGGCATCAATATTGTCATATTATTATTATCTAAAGACCATACTTGTTCAGAATTCCTCAGTTTTTATTTAGTTTCCATTTTCTGTTCTAGTGTACATCCTAGAATCTTATATTACATTTAGTCATTGTGAGACAGACTCCAGGTCAGTAAGTGCTGAAACAGGGGATGTTAAAAAAGAACCAACATAGATTACAAAAGGAAGACTCAAAGCTTCCAGAATGATTTTCTTTCTATCTAAAATCATTTTCTATCTTTCATCCTATCAGCACTCATAAATTACACACACTCATAACCTGCCACAATTTACTGGCAGATTGTGAAGCGGGAGCAGGCATGTCACACAGTGAAAGCAGGAACAAGAGAGTGAGGGGGGAGATACCACACACTTTTAAACAACCAGATCTTTTGAGAGCTCACCTGCTATCATGAGGAGTACCAAGGAGATAGTACTAAACCATTCATGAGAAATCCACCCTCCTAATCCAGTCACCTCCCTCCAGACCCCACCTACCACACTGGGGATTACAGTTCAACATGAGATTTGGGTGGGGACACAGATCCAAACTATATCACAGGGGTTTCCCTATGTTGCTTAGGCTGGTCTCAAACTCCTGGCCTCAGGTGATCTTCCTGCCTCAACCTTCCAACGTGCTGGAATTAGAGGTATCAGCCACCATGCCCAGCCAGAAATTTCTTTCTCAAGGGGCTTTTCATCTCACTGGAAATTTTAGTTTAGGGATCTCCCAACTTACAAAGGGTTTGTGTTCCAAAATTTTGTTTCTAAGTCAGGTAGGCTCACTTTCCTACAGAAAATGAGAAGAAGCCAGTCCCAAAGCAAGCAATAAAAGCCTGTTGCCTCACAAGTGAACTATGATGTTGCTAAATCCATCAGGAGTAGTTTTACTTTTGCTCTTTGTTGAATGGGCTACTGTGGGCCTGTGGGGGCACCTAACCACCATTTATCTTATTTCTTTGAAGCAGGTCATGCTGTCACGTGTGGTCAAAAGGGAATTAGTGATGATAATGGAGCTTTCTCTGCCTCTCTCCCTCTTGACTGCCAAGGTCCAGGGAAGTTCACATCTCAGTGGTCACGGGCTGGCCAAGTAGATCCCCACCAGTTGCTGGATAATGCCTGTGAACTACTGGCTAGCATCTATTCTGAAAACCTAGCTTCTGGTTTGCTTGTTTATTCACCAGTATCTCACATAATTTTCTTATGACCATCTGGCACCTAATATAGATCCCAAAAGAGTTTAAGAGGATTTACCCTTTAGGCAAAAAATACTGGCAGTGTTTATAATCCCCTCAAAAAGAGAGAGGGAGAAAAAAAGAAAGAAGAAATGTTTTTAAAGGAAGAGATAGCACCATGTAACTATAAATAACTCTCTATATCAGACTGAAAATAAATTTTTGTTTTTTCTTTATTTTGGCTCATTTGGTAAGCTAACAAACTGGAAGAAAAGAACCAGTTTTAACTAAACAACTCTAAAAGATTTCAGAATTTGAAAACTTAGAGTTATGAATAGATTTGATTCACTTAGCCCCAAAACTATCAAAAGAAGTATATAAAATATTAATAGTCACCAAAACCATTGAGCTATAGAATTCCAGATATTGAAATTCTAAGGAAATGTTGTTTTAGAATCAAATCATGTACTAGGCTGAAATTAAATCAAATACCATTACTGAGTATTGTTATTAGGATAAACATCTTTCCATACTTTGGTGAAATTGGAAATACTCTTGCAGAAGTGTTTTCATCTCTCACCCAGAAAAAGTAAATAATGACCTTCTTCCTTCTTCCACTTAATGTAAAATCCTACATTTACATATATTGTGTCATCCCTTGTTTTGTGATTATTTGCTTACAGATTTTCTCTAGGTGCTCTCTAAGCAGAGAGAACAGGGTACTGGTTAAGATTGTAGATCTAGGGGATCACTGATCTAGGTCCTATTCCAAATTTGATTCCTCACCTGCTAAGCTTGCAAGTGCAACTTATTTAAATTCTCTGAAGGTTAAATGTTTCATCTAAATAGGGATAATAATAAACACCTATAGCATAGAGTTGTTTGAGATTAAATGAGATAATACATGTAAAATTATGTGCCTGGCATACAGCAAGATTGTTGTTGTTGTTGATGATGATGATGATGATGATAATATTTTTCTATCCCCAGTGCACAACTGCTTGAACCTATTAGATAATCAATACATGTTTCTTGAACTGAGATCAATTTCCCCATGTTGTCTGACTGATGAAGCCCTACATTTTCTTCTAGAGGAGATGACATTTGAGCAAGATCTTAAAGAAAATCAGATGCCTTCACCTGACCACTGCTTGGTGATCCCATGGCACTTTGTACATCTCTCCATTAGCTCTCATCTCACCAGCCCATCATTATTGTATGTGCTGCCTTCTGAAGCTTGCAGCTGGCTACATCAGGTAGAATAAAATCATCCTTTCATAAAATAGTGACCTCCTTTTTTATTTGCATTTCCAAAGCCAAGCACGTGGTAGGTAGACAACAAATGCTTGCTCCTGGGCTGCGCTAAAGGCATCTATAACCACTAAGCCCAAAGAGTGTGGTGTCCCTTCAAAAGGAAGGAGCCAGTGTTTATATCACTTTTTCTTGACCTTCACGGCTCCACTCAAAGCCCACCTCCAGCATGAGGCACTATCCAGTCCAATCCACAGTGATCACTCCCTTTCTGAGTCCTTCTAGGAAATCAGACACAGTCATTTGAGGTGTGTGTTAGTAATCTTTCCTCAGATGCCCTGTGAGCTCTTTTGCACAGTACCAAGGCATGTAATAGGCAGGAAACGTATTTAATTGCTTGGCTTAGTTCTAGTTTTCAATGTGTACTTCTCCAGAATTATCCAATTAACCCTAACTTGAGAAGATAGGCAAACTGGATTTGCACACACTGGAGTCAATTCCTGATATCCCCGGGGGTGTGAATGAACAGAGGTCTTCTTGCTGGCTTCTGTAACAGTATCTCTCTTTGGCCAGCACCCAATTTTTGGAACCATTATGAGCACACAAAAACAGCATTTTACACAAATCAAGAAATAGCTCCCAACCATGTCTTTGTGGCATTGTTAAACAACAGTAAATTGTACTTTGAGTTCTATTTCCTCTAATTAAATGAAATGAGAAGTGGGCCCAAGTCCCCCAGAAAGAGACTGGAGGGAACCACGATGTTTCCTGTGATTAGATACACCACTAAGGAAATCTGACCCTGAGCAACTGAAAGCTGCCTATTCTCATTAAGAAGAGCTACAGACTGACCCTTTTCAAAGACTAGTAACTGGACACATTTCTTTCACAAATTATCTTCTTTTCCCTTCTTCATACCAGGAATTCTCAGGGATTATAATCCTCATCAATATAACAAGCCTCCAAAGTCATATTTTTTAACTTTGTGAAATGCCCTCCCACCTAACTACCCCATTTGACACCTGCAACCATCCTCTAGAGAGGCAGACAAGATCGACCGTCTCACTTTACAGAAGTGCAAAGAGTAGCTGGCCTAATGCCACAGCCAATGAACAGATGAAGGAGGCCTACAACCACCTAGTCTTCCCTACTTCTCCTCACTCCTCCCCTCTGACCTCCTTATGTCACCACTGACCAATGGATCACTGTGTGGCCGTTCAGCATCTTCCTATGCTGTGTCAGGCAAGAGAAATTCTGGAAAGAGAGCATCTCATGTTTATTAAGGAGACTGGGTGTCCTTGTAGAAAGTCCTGCCATGCACAACCCCGGTCTTAACTGATGTGTTTCACCATACTGAAGGCAAGTTGCCATCTAACATAGTTGAAGGGGAGCCAGTTGTGGTGATCTTTGTTCCTGCTGAAATATGGAAAGAAAATGAGGAAATGAGCTCATTTTCAAAGAAAATGAACATTCTTTCACATGAAAGAAATAGGAGCAAAGTGACAGGAGAGAAACAAAGCTTAGGGTTGGTGTGAGATACACAGACAGGGTGTTAGCCCCACAAACAGTGCTGCTGGGCCAAGTTAACTCCCTGTTTTTCCCTATATATGTGGTGTGGAAAAGCTATTTATAAAATGTGTTTAAATATTTAGGACCAAATAAATCAACATTGTTAGGAAACATTGACTCTGACCAGAACTCATTTCCTCACCCTAGTCCAATGTGAATAACAAAATGAAGAATATCAGGATGATTCGAGACCAGGAATACTACAGATGTCCAACACTTCCACCTGGAATCCCCAAAGAGGCCCGCTTTTAGCCTCCACACTGGTTGGTGACCTGACATGAGAGAAATGACAGAAATCTCAGAAGACTGGCCTCATGAATAATCTTCAGTTTCAATGTAACAAAGCAAGCCTTCTAGAAATTACCTGCCTCTGCAGTTCACTCTGCTGCTTCAGATGAAAATTTTCAGGTCTGTCTGCCACTGTAGTGAAGCACTGCTTTGGGTAGTGTCTGTGGAGAAACTTTTTAAAGGACATAGTTGAAATATTGTGCTACAAACCAATTCTTGAACACCACTCATTTTGTCCTACCTCTCTGTGACCGTGAAAGACGGCTGTGCTCTTGGCAAAGGTCATCTCTCTGTCATGAGTCTGGATCTCCTTTTCTTCTCCTGATTATCTGTCACTCAGTTATCCCCACTCTCTTCCACAACTTTAACTTCAGCTTCTCTATTCTAAGAGACTCTTCTCGCAGGCTCAAGGCTCTCCTACCCTCCATCATTCCTCCCTCTACCCCACACAGCCAGCATGTGTCCAGCTAGTCTATCCTTCAGCCAAACTTCCTTAGAAAGAGGCCTTACCTCACTGTCCCTACCCATCTACTCTCTGACTCACTTCTTAACTCCATGACTGGGTTCTGGTTTCTTTCCCTTGCCTGTTGTGACTTCCTATGGACACAGCCAAAAACCATCACATAGTCCTGTTGTATGGCATCCCCACCATCTTGAAATGTCCTCTCCCTCAGTTCCTATGTGTTACCACACACGCCTGCCTTGGCTTCTCCCTCTAGTTGTTCCTTCTCTGTCTTCTGTGGGCTTCTTATTGTCTGCTCACTCCTTCTTCAGTGTCCTCTCATGGGCTTCCTTCCCTTCTCAGCTGATGCCATCACCTGGGGAATCACAGTTACTCAGCAGCACTGGGGCCTCTCTATCTCTATGCTGGTCATGCCTATGTGTGAGCTGCAGACCCAGTGGAATTTCCATTTGTGCATCCCATGCCCAGCCCACCCTCCACCAGCCTCGAATGCAGCTGTTCAGCCCTACCCCAGTCCTCAGAAAAGTTCCTCTCCCTGGATCCCCTTTTTCCTTCATGAGTGCCCGGTTGCCCAAGTCAAAAACCTGGGAGTGATATAAACTCCCCACACATCCAGTCAGTCACTCATCAACTCTATTGATTCTGTCTGCTAAATATATCTCAATTGTATTAACTTAAACATATGCATAATACATCTTCTTCTTCACTGCATTTTTGTGGGCTGCACTTACCTTTCAGGTAACAACAACACTGGCCCCTCTTGCCCTTCTAGTCAGAAGTGCCAAAATGATGAGAGCTAGCCATGACAAACCCACAGCCAACATTACACTGAATGTGCAAAACTGGAAGGGCATCCAAACAGAGGAGGGAAGAGAGGAATAGACAGGAAGTCAAACTGTCTCTGTTTACAGATGACATGTTTCTATATCTAGAAAGCCCCATAGTCTTGGCCCCAAAGCTTCTTCTGCTGATAAACTTTAGCAAAGTCTTAGCATACAAAATCAATGTGCAAAAATTACTAGCAGTCCTATACATCAAGTCAAGCAGAGAGTCAAATGAAGAACACAATCCCATTCATAATTGCTACACACAGAAAAAATAAGATACCTAGGAATACAGCTAACCAGGGAGGTGAAAGATCTCTAGGAGATCTCTAGAAGAATTACAAAACACTGCTCAAAGAAATCAGAGAAGACACAAACAAATGGAAAAACATGTCATGCTCATGGATAGGAAGAATTAATGTCATTAAAATGGCTATACTGCCCAAAGTAATTTACAGATGCAAGTTATCCCTATTAAATTACCAACGGCATTCCTCACAGAACTAGAGCAAACTATTTCAAAATTCATATGGAACCAAAAAAAAGAGCCCTAATAGCCAAGCAATCCTCAGCAAAAAGAACGAAGCTGGAGGCATCATGTTACCCAACTTCAAACCATACTACAGGGCTACAGTAACCAAAACAGCATGATACTGATACAAAAACAGCTCATCATTTTGAGCTATGTTTCTTCAATACCCAGATTTTTTAGAGTTTTTAATATGGAGAGGCATTGAATTTTATTGAAAGCCTTTTCTGCTTATATTGAGATAACCACATGGTTTTTATCTTTAGTTTTGTTTATGTGATGAATCAGATTAATTGATATGTGTATGTTGAGGCAACCTTGCATCCTGGGGATGAAGCATACTTGATCATGATGGATTAACTTTTTGATGTGCTGCTGGATTTGGTTTGCCAGTATTTTGTTGAGGATTTTTGCATTGATGTTCATCGAGGGTATTGGCCTGAAGAGTGTGTGTGTGTGTGTGTGTGTGTGTGTGTGTGTGTGTGTGTGTGTGTGTGTCTGCCAGATTTTGGTATCAAGATGATGTTGGCCTCATAGAATGAGTTGGGGAGGAGTTCCTCCTCCTCAATATTTTCAAATAGTTCCTGTAAAAATGGTACCAGCTCTTCTTTGTATTTCTAGTAGAATATGACTGGGAATCCATCATGTTCTGGGCTTTTTTTGGTTGGTAGGTTATTTATTACTGATTCAATTTCGGAGCTTGTTATTGGTCTGTTTACAGCAAATCAATTTCTTCCTGGCTCAGTTGTGGGAGGGTGTATTTCTCCATGAATTTATCCATCTCTTTGAAGTTTTCTAGTTTGTATGCATAGAAGTGTTTGCAGTAGTTTCTGATGGCTGTTTCTATTTCTGTGGGGTCAGTGGTAACATTCCCTTTGTCATTTCTAATTGTGTTTCTTTCAATCATCCTCTGTATTAGTCTGCTAGCAGACTTTCTTATTAATATTTTCAAGAAACCTACCCGGAATTCATAGATCTTTTGAATTTCTTTTTTTCATGTCTCGGTTTCTTTCAGTTCAGCTCAGATTTTCAGTTATTTCTTGTCTTCCTCTAGCTTTGGGGTTTTGTCTTGCTTCTCTAGTTCTTTCAGTTGTGATGTTAGGTTATTAATTTGAGTTCTTCCTAACTTTTTGATGTGGGATTTAGTGCTATAAATTTCCCTCCTAACATTGTCTTAGCTGTGTCCAGAGGCTCTAGTATGTTGTAACTTTGTTCTCATTATTTTCAAAGAGCTTCTTGATTTCTGCCTTAATTTCATTATTTATTAAAAAGTCATTCAGGAGCATGTTGATTGATTTCCATGTAATTGCATGATTTTCAGCAATTTTCTTAGTCTTCTATTTTTACTGCACTGTGATCTCAGTATGTATTTGGTATGATTTCAGTTGTTTTGCATTTGCTGAGGATTGCTTTATGTCCAATTATGTGGTTGATTTTAGAGTATGTGGCATATGATGATGTGAGGAATGCATATTCTGTTGTTTTTGAGTGCAGAGTTCTGTAAAGGTCTATCAGATCCATTTGATCCAATGTTGAGTTCAGGTCCTGAATATCTTTGTTCATTTTTTTGCCTCAATCATCTGTCTAATACTGTCATTGGAGTGTGGAAATCTCCCACTATTACTGTGAAACATACTTTGTAGGTCTCTAAGAACTTTACTTATGAATCTGGGTGCTCCTGCATTGGATGAATATATATTTAGGATAGTTAGGTCTTCTCGTTGAATTGAAGCCTTTGCCATTATGTAATATCCTTCTTTGTCTTTTCTATTTTATTTTAAGTTCCAGGATACATGTACAGGATGTGCAGGTTTGTTACATAGTTAAACATGTGCCATGGTGGTTTGCTGCACCTATCAACCTATCACCTAGGTATTAAGCCCCACGTGCATTAGCTATTTATCGTGATGCTCTCCTTCCCCCTACCTTCCCAACAGGCTCCGGTGTGTGTTCTGCCCCTCCCTGTGTCCATGTGTTCTCATTGTTCGGTTCCCACTTATGAGAACATGTGGTGTTTGGTTTCCTGTTCCTGTGTTAATTAGCTGAAGTTTATGGCTTCCAGCTTCATCCATGTCCCTGCAAAAGACATGATCTCATTCCTTTTTATGGCTGCATAGTATTCCATGGTGTATATGTATCACATTTTCTTTATCCAGTCTATCATTGATGGACATTTGGGCTGATTCCATGTCTTTGCTATTGTGAATAGTGCTGCAATAAACATAAGTGTGCATGTATCTTTAAAACAGAATGATTTATATTTCTTTGGATATAAACCTAGTAATGGGATTGCTGGGTCAAATGGTATTTCTGCTTCTAGATCCTCCAGGAATTGCCACACTGTCTTCCACAATGGTTGAACTAGTTTACATTCCCACCAACAGTGTAAAAGTGTTCCTGTTTCTCCACAGCCTCTCTAGCATCTGTTGTTTCTTGACTTTTTAATAATTGCCATTCTGACTGGCATGAGATGGTATCTCATTGTGGTTTTGATTTGCATTTCTCTAATAAACACTAGTGTTGAGCTTTTTTTTTCATATGTTTGTCGGACGCATAAATGTCTTCTTTTCAGAATGTCTGTTCGTGGCCTTTGCCCATGTTTTGATGGGGTTGTTATTTTCTTGTAAATTTGTTTAAGTTCCTTGTAGATTCTGGATATTAGACCTTTGTCAGATTGGTAGATTGCAAAAATATTCTCCCATTCTGTAGGTTGCTTGTTCACTCTGATGATAGTTTCTTTCCCTGTGCAGAAGTGCTTACGTTTAATTAGATCCCATTTATCAATTTTTGCTTTTGTTGCAATTGCTATTGATGATTTCATCATAAAATCTTTGCTCATGCCTATGTCCTGAATGGAACTTCCTAGATTTTCTTCTAGGGTTTTTTACAGTTCGGGGTTTCACATTTAAGTTTTTAATCCATCTTGAGTTAATTTTTGCATAAGATGTAAGGATGAGGTCCAGTTTCAGTTTTCTGCATATGGCTAGTCAGTTTTCCCAGCACCATTTAAATAGGGAATCCTGGCCAAGTGCAGTGGCTCATGTCTATAATCTCAGCACTTTGGGAGGCTGATGCAGGTGGATCTTGAGGTCAAGAGATCAAGACCATCCTGGCCAACATGGTGAAACCCCGTCTCTTCTAAAAATACAAAAACTAGCTGGGCGTGGTGGCTCGAACCTGTAGTCCCAGCTACTCAGGAGGCTGAGGCAGGAGAATCACTTGAATCCGGGAGGCAGAGGTTGCAGTGAGCTGAGATCATGCCGCTGCACTCCAGCCTGGTGACAGAGTGAGACTTTGTCTCAAAATAAATAAATAAATAAATAAATAGGTATTCCTTCCCCCATTGCTTGTTTTTGTCAGGTTTGTCAAAGATCAGATGGTTGTAGATGTGTGGTCTTATTTCTGAGATCTCTATTCTGCTCCATTGGTCTGTGTGTCTGTTTTGGTAACAGTACCATGCTGTTTTGATTAGTGTGGCCTTGTAGTATAGTTTGAAGTCATATAGCATGATGCCTCCAGCTTTGTTCTTTTGGCTTAGGATTGTCTCGACTATTCAGTCTCTTTTTTGGTTGCATATGAAACTTAAAGTAGTTTTTTTTTAATTATGTGAAGAATGTCAATGGTAGTTTGATGTGAATAGCACTGAATCTATAAATTACCTTGGGCAGTATGGCCATTTTCATGAGATTGATTCTTCCCACCCATGAGCATGGAATATTTTTCCATTTGTTTGTGTCCTCTCTTATTTCCTTGAGCAGTGGCTTGTAGTTCTCCTTGAAGAGGTTCTTCACATCCATCGTTAGCTGTATTCCTAGGTATTTTATTCTCTTTGTAACAATTGTGAATGGGAGTTCATTCATGATTTGGCTCTCTTGCCTATTGTTGGTGTATAGGAATTGAAGAATATTGTCTATTGCTGGTGTATAAGAATGCTTGTGATTTTTGCACATTGATTTTGTATCTTCAGACTTTGCTGAACTTGCTTATCAGCTTAAGGAGTTTTTGGGCTGTGACGATGTGGTTTTCTAGATATAGAATCACATTTTCTGCAAACACAGACAATTTGATTTTATCTCTTGCTATTTGAACATGTTTTATTTCTTTCTTTTTTTTTTTGAAGGGTTTTTCATGTCTCTGTCTCCTTCAGTTCCACTTTGATCTTAGTCATTTTTTTTTTTCTCTTCTGCTAACTTTTGGATTTGTTTGCTCTTGCTTCTCTAGTTCTTTTAGTTGTGATGTTAGGGTGTCAATTTGAGATATGTCTAGCTTTATGATGTGGGCATTTAGTGCTATAAATTTACCTCTTAACACTGCTTTAGTTGCCTCCCAGAGATTCTGGTACATTGTCTCTTTGTTCTCATTGGTTTCAAAGAGCTTCTTGATTTCTGCCTTAATTTTATTATTTACCCAGAAGTCACTCAGGAGCACGTTGTTCAATATCCATGTAGTTGTGTGGTTTTGAGTGAGTTTCTTAATCTTGAGTTCTAATTTGATTGCACTGTGGTCTGAGAGATTGTTATGATTTCAGTTATTTTGCATTTGCTGAGGAGTGTTTTAATTCTAATTTTGTGATCAATTTTAGAGTGTCATATGCCACTAAGAATAATATATAGTCTGTTGTTTCGTGTTGGAGAGTTCTGTAGATATCTATGAGATTCACTTGATCCAGAGCTGTGTTCAAGTCCTTTCTTGTCAATTTTCTGCCTAGATGATCCAATATTGACAGTGGGGTGTTAATGTCTCCCACTATTGTTGTGTGGTAGCCTGAGTCTCTTTGTAGGTCTCTAAGAACTTGTTTTGTGAATCTGGGTTCTCCTGTATTGGGTGCATACATATTTAGGATAGTTAGCTCTTCTTGTTGAATTGATTCCTTTATCATTGTGATGTTCTTCTTTGTCTTTTTTTATCTTTGTTGATTCAAAGTCTGTTTTGTCAGAAACTAAGATTGCAACCCCTGCTTTTTTCTGCTTTCCATTTGCTTGGTAAATTTTCCTCCATCGCTTTGAGCCTATGTGTGTCTTTGCACATGAGATAGGAACCCTGAATACAGCACACCTGAATCTTGACTCTTTATATCCAATTTGCTGGTCTGTGTCTTTTAATTGGTACATTTAGCCCATTGACACTTAAGGTTAATATGGTTATGTGTGAATTTGATCCTGTCACCATGATGCTTGCTGGTTATTTTGCTCACTAGTTGATGCAGTTTCTTCATAGTGTCATTGGTCTTTGTACTTCAGTACATTTTTGCAGTGGCTGGTACCAGTTTTTCCTTTCCATCTTTAGCACTTCCTTCAGGAGGTCTTGCAAGGCAGGCCTGGTGGTGATAAATTCCCTCAGCATTTGCTTGTCTGAAAAGGATTTCTCCTTCACTTATGAAGGTTAGTTTGGCCAGATATGAAATTCTAGGTTAGAAATTCTTTTCTCTAAGAATGTTGACCATTGGACCCAACTGTCTCCTGGCTTGTGGGGTTTCTGCTGAGAGGCCCACTCTTAGTCAGATGGGCTTCCCGTTGTAGGTGACCTGCCCTTTGTCTCTGTCTGCCTTTAACATTTTTTCCTTCATTTTGATCTTGGAGAATCTGATGACTATGTGTCTTGAGGGTTGATCTTCTTGTGGAGTATCTTACTGGGGTTCTCTGGATTTCCTGAATTTGAATGTTGGCCTGTCTTGCTAGGTTGGGGAAGTTCTTCTGGATGATATCTTGAAGTGTGTTTTCCCAACGTGGCTCCATTCTCCTTGTCTCTTTCAGGTAGTCCAATCAGTCATAGGTTTGGTCTTTTACATAGTTCCACAGTTCTTTGAGGTTTTGTTCATTCCTTTTCATTCTTTTTTCTCTAATCTTCTCTGCCTGCCTTATTTTGGCAAGACAGTCTTCAAGCTCTGATATTCTTTTTTCTGCTTGATCAATTCAGCTGTTGATACTTGTGTTTGCATCACAAAGTTCCCCTTATGTGCTTTACAGCTGGCTCTGGTCATTTATGTTCCTCTCTAAACTGGTTATTCTAGTTAGCATCTTCTGTAATCTTTTAACATGGTTCTTAGCTTCTTTGCTGACAGAAGTAGGGTTCAGAAGGTGGGTAATAACAAATTTCACAGAGCTAAATGAGCATGTTCTAACCCAATGCATTGATTTCTCCACCTCCCTTTCAGGGATGCCAGTGATTTGTAGAATTGGCCTCTATATATAACCCCATACTTATTGGAGGTTTTCTTCCTTCCGTTTTATTCTTTTTTATTTTTGTCTGTCTTATTTTAGAGAACCAATCTTTAAGTTCTGGGATTCGTTCCAATATGTTGGGTTAGAGCGTACTCCTTTAGCTCAGTGAAGTTTGCTACTACCCACCTTCTGAAGCCTACTTCTGTCAATTCATCCATCTCAACCTCCACCCAGGACTGTGCCCTTGCTGTAGAGGTGTTGTGATCATTTGGAGTAAACAAGTCACTCTGGCCTTTTGAGTTGTTAGGGGTTTTTCATTCCTTTCTCATCTTCATGAGTTTGTCTCATTTTGATCTTTGAGGCTGCTGACCTTTAGATGAGGTTTTCGTGGGGACTTTTTGGTTGATGTTGTTGTTGCTTTCTGTTTTTCTTTCGACAGTCAGGTACCTCTTCTGTAGGGCTGCTGTGGTTTGCTGGGGATTCACTTCAAGCCCTATTTATCTGGGTCCCTCCCACACCTGAAGATGTCACCAGAGGGTGCTGGAGAACAGCAAAGATGGGACCCCACTCCTTCCTCTGGGATCTCTGTCCTTGAGGGGCACCCACCTGATGCCAGTAGAAATGCTCCTGTATAAGGTGTCTGGTGACCCACTGGGGTGTTTCACCCAGTTGAGGGGCACAGGATCCAGGACTTGCTTAATGAAGCACTTTGATTGTCCCTTTGGGAAGGGGGTATGCTGTGCCGGGGAAAATCCCACTCATCTGGGCTGCCTGGAATCCTCAGAGTGAGCAGGGGGAAAGAACAAGTCTTCCGGTTTGTGGAGACAACAGCCAGCCACCCCTCCCACTAGGGACTCAGACCTAGAGAGATCAGAGTTCTCTCCCTAATTCCCTGGCTTGAGTTGCTGGAGTTCCTGCAGGGAGGCCCCACCCAGTGAGGAGGGATGGGTCAGGGTCAGCCTAAAGAGGCAGTCTGGCCATGATCTGCCACAGCCAGTATGCTGCGCTGTGGGGAATACCTCTTGGGACCAAGCCGTCCAGTCTTCCTGGCATCAGCAAAGGAAAAACAGCAGCCTGGATCTGTAGAAATGGCTGCCGCCCTTCCTCCCCAGGAGTTCAGTGTCTTAGGCAGCTAGCAGCCACAGTGATGGCTGCTGTCCCTTCTTAGGGAGCTCAGTTTCCTCAGGCAGCAGGCAGCTGCAGTGATGATGACTGCCCCTCTCTTGGGAAGCTCAGTTGTCTTAGGCAGCCAGCAACCACAGTGATGATTGCTCCCCCTCCCCCAGGGAACTCAGAGGGTTTAGGCAGCAGGCAGCCACAGTGATGATGACCACCCCTCCCCAACTTGGGAACTCGGTAGTTTTAGGCAGACTCCAGCTGAGTGGCTGTTGAGAATCTGCATGGCTCTGTGGTTGGCACCCAAGGCCCTCGTGGTGTGGTCTCATGAGTGGGATCTTCTGATCTGTGGATTGCAAAGATCCATGGAAAAAGCAGTTTCCCAGGCTGGGTAGCATGCTCACTCACTGCCTCCCTTGGCTGGCTGAGGGTGAGGGCTCCCCTTGCCCCATGTGGCTCCCAGGTGGGCCAATCCACCAGCCCATCTTTCCTTGTTCTCTATGGGTCACGGCAACCACCTAGTCAGTCCTGATCATAGAACCTGGATATGTCAGTTGCTGCTGCAGGATTTGCACACTCTTTTAGTTCTTCTCAGTGGGAGCCTCAAACTGCAGCTGCTTCTAGTCGGCTATCTTGCCCCTGCCCCCTTGTCCTTTTGAAAAATTATTGTTCATTTGAAATCTGTTTTGTCTGAAATTAGGATTGCAACCTCTGCTTTTTTTCTGTTTTCTATTTGTCTGGTAGATTTTTCTCCATCCTTTTAGTTTGAGACGATGAGTGTCATTATGTGTGAGATGGGTCTCTTGAAGACGACATACCATTGGGTCTCGCTTTTTTTTTTTTTAAATCTAGCTTGCCACTCTGTGCCTTTTAAGTGGGGCATTTGCCCATTTACATTCAAGGCTAGTATCGATTTGTGTAGATTTGATCTTGTCATTGTGCTGTTGGCTGGTTATTATGTTGGCTTTTTTGTGTGGTTGCTTTATAGTGTCACCGGTCTGTGTGTTTAAGTATGTTTTTGCATTAGCGTGTAGTGGTCTTTCCTTTCTATATTTAGTCCTCCTTTCTAAAATCTCTTGTAAGGCAGATGTGGTGGTAATGAATTACCTCAGAATTTGCTTGTCTGTAAATGATCTCATTTCTCCTTCATTTAGAAAGCTTAGTTTAGCTGTATATGAAATTCTTGGTTGAAGATTTTCTTTAATAATGTTAAATATAGTCCCCCAATCCCTTCTGGCTTGTAGGATTTCAGCTGAGAGATCTGCTGTTAGCCTAATGGGGTTCCCTTTGTAGATGGCCTGCCCTTTCTCTCTGGCTGCCTTTAACATATTTTCCCTCATTTCGACCTTGGAAAACCTGATGTTTATGTGTCTTGAGGATGGTCTTGTGTAGAATCTTGTAGGAGTTCTTTGTATCTCCTGAATTTGACTGTTGGCCTTTCTAGCAAGGTTAGGGAAGCTTTCAAAGATGATATCCTGAACTACGTTTTCCAAGTTGTTTGATTTCTCCACCTCCCTTTCAGAGATGCCAGTGATTTGTAGAATTGGCCTCTTTATATAATCCCATCCTCCTTGAAGGTTTTGTTCATTCTTTTTTATTTTTGTCCATCTTATTTTAGAGAACCAATCTTCAAGTTCTGAGATTCGTTCCTCAGATTTTTTTTTCTGCTGTTAATACTTGTGATTGCATTGTGGAATTCTTGTATTGTGTTCTTCGGCGCTTTCAGATCGGTTAGGTTCTTTTTTATTATACCAGCTACTTTATCCTTCAGCTCCTGTAACACTTTACTGTTATTCTTATTTTCCTCGGATTGGGTTTTGCCATTCTCCTGAGTCTTGATGATTTTTTTTCCTATCCATATTCTGAATTATATTTATGTAATTCCAGACAGTTCATCCAGGTTAAGAACTCTTGTTGGAGAACTGGTGTGGTTGTTAGAAGGACATATGACACAGAGGCCATTTGAGTTACTGGAGTTCTTGCATTGGTTTCTTCTCATTTCCACCTATGGGTTTTCCTTTAATTGCAGTGTAGATTGAGTACAGTCCGTAGACTTATTTTCGGATGTTTTCACCAGGCTGAGGCTTTGTGCAGGGTCTTTATTTGAAGCTGACTTCTCATTTCTGGTTTCAGAGGGGAGTATATTAGTAAGGTATTTTTGATGCTGAAGCTTTGGGATGTGATCCAGTAGGTGGCACTTGGGCTTACTGGTCAGTTGGTAGACTCTTGCTTGGTCATGTGGCTCCCCTATGTTTCCTTACAGTTGCAGCCATGTTCCCTCTCAATGATCTGAAAATGTGCTTCTCTCCCCCTTGAGTGCTGGCTGTAGGTCATGGCTTGGCACTCCTAGGCTGCCCACTGCAGCTCTGGGGCAATCTCAGTGTTTATATTTCTTTCCTAACTTTGAGGCAGAAGAGGAAGGGACATTAGTAGTGGTTGTAGCCAAGGGTCTTTTGTTTGTCTCCTCAGAGTTCCACCACCCCTGGAGAATACAGCAACTGTTTACTGCAATCAGCAATCAGGATGGAGAATTCGTGCTGTGGGGGCCAATCCAGGGGTTCCCTGTCATGAGCAGTGGGGAGTGTGTAGAACCCATGAGAGATGGGCTTTGGTCAATTAAAGCTTGTTGAAGGTGTAGATAAGGGTGTTAGCTCCTTCATCAGTCTGAGGGTAGCAAGGACAGTTCCACTGCAGAAGCAGTGGCAGAGAGGCTTTCAGTTGCCCCTGGAGGCTCTCTCCAGGGAGTGGCTGAGTTGCTACTGGCTCAACAGTTCTGGTAGGGGGGGTTAGGTAGAGGTCCAGGCCTGCAAGACTTGCCTAGTGAGAAGATATAGGAATGGGAACCCAGGTAACAGTCTGGCCACTTTTCCATAGGGCTGCTGCAGTATGCCCAGGGCCCGCTCCAGTCTCTAGTAGCCTCAGATTTTCCAGTACCTGGAGTTATCATCAGTGAAGCCTGTGAAACAGCAAAGATGGCAGCCTACCGCTCCCTTTGGAAGCTTTGCCCTAGGGAGGTATGAATGAACTTGTTGCTGGCCCAAACACACCTGTAGGAGGTGGCTGGAGACCCCAGTTTGGAGGTTTTGCCCAGTGAGGAGGAATGGCATTGGGAAAGTGCTTAAAAACGCAGTCTGGCCTCATTTTTATAGAGCAGCTGTGGTATGCTGAGGGTCCACATCACCCCCTGGTCTCCTTGGACACTCCAAAGACTGAAGGTTGAAGTGGCTAAGTTGCAAAAACAGCAAAGATGGTGGCCTGCCCCTCCATCAGGGAGCTCCAGCCCAGAAAAAATTGAAATCACTGTCAGCAGGAGAACACCAGTGGGGGTGGTTGGAGGCCCCAGTTGGGAAGTCCCAAACAGTGAGGAGGAATGAATCCGGGACCTACTTAAAGAAGCAGTCTGGCTATGCTTTTGTACAGCAGCTGTGCTGTGCTGGGGGGCCATATCCGCCCTAAGTCAGCTGGGACTCCTTAAAGCCCAAAGGCTGGAATGGCTAAGTTGCCAAAACATCAAATATGGCGGCCCACGCCTCCCTCAGGGCACTCCATCTCAGGGAGAATTCAAATCTCTGTCAGCCTGAGAATACCAGAGTGGGTAGCTAGAGGCCCTGGTTGGGAGGTCCTGCCCAGTGAGGAGGAATGGGATTGGGGACCTTCTTAAAGCAGTAGTCCGGCCATATTTTGGTAGAGTAGCACTGTGCTGTGCTAATGGATCCCTCTGTCCCTGGTCCGCTGAGACTCTCCAAATCCCGAAGGCTGGAGCAGCTAAGTTGCCCAAACAGCAAAGATGGTGGCCTACCCCTTCTCTCAGGAGCTCTGTCTCAGGGAGGCTCAACAGTGTTGCTGGTGGCTGGCTGGAATTCCAAGCCAGTGGCTCTTATCCTGTGAGGTGCTGTGGAAGTGGGGCCTGCAGGCTGTTGCTGCTCAGCTCCCTGAATTCAGCCTCTTCCCTAGGGATATGTATGAGGGTCTCACCTCCCACTTTGCCACAGTTGCAGCTACTTTTGCAGGAAAGCCCAGGTACCTAAGGCTCCCAGGTCTCCATGTGTGCCTGAGTGGCTGCTGTGCCAAGATTCCACGTAGCTCTGTCAGACTGAAGGCCCTGGTAAAGTGGGTTCATGAGAACTCCCGACCCAAGGATTGCAAAGATCCATGGAAAAAGCATGGGTTTCCAGGGTCACACATTCACTCACTGCTTCCCTGGGTGAGAGAGCTCCCCCTGGCTCTGTGGTACTCCCAGGTGGGCTGTCGTTTTGCCTTTCTTTTCTTCATTCTCCCTGGGTCAAGTTGTTTCCTTGGTTAGTCCCAATGTGAGTACCTGGATGTTTCAGTTGAAGGTGCAGTATTGACTCTCCCCTTGTGTTCCTCTCTGTGAGAGCCAAACACACTAGCTGCTTCAACTCGGCCACCTTGGCCAGCCCACTGCCCCCTCACTGCTATATTTTTACATATAACATTTACAACTCTATAAAGTACTTCATTGTACTCATTTTACAGGCGAAGATAGTTTAGACACACAAAGACTGAATAAGATCTAAGTCCTTTCCTTGTAAGATGCAAAATCTGGAATTGACAATGTACATAACTGCTACGTGTCTCAAACCTAAGATGTAATTAGGCATTTCTAAAGCTCACACTTTTTAAATGTTTAAATATTTTGTTAGAGTTTTAAAGAATGATTTAGTTAAAAAATACGATTATGGGGGTGTGTGGCCAAGATGACTGACTAGAAGAAGCTAGGGTGCACGGCTCTCATGGAGAGGAATGAAAAGGGCAAGTCAATACAGCACCTTCAACTGAAACAACCAGGTACTCGCATTACTCACATAATCAAGGAAACAACTCCAGCCAGCCACCAGCAACAGTGTTTTACCTACCTGAGACTGACTTCCTAGGGGACAGGGCAGGCCACCATCTTTGTTGTTTGGGTAACTTAGCCATTCCAGCCTGTTGGGCTTTTGAGAACCCAAACCAACTGAGGGCAGAAGGGATCCCCCACGCAGCACAGCTGCTCTACCAAAATGTGGCCAGACTGCCTCTTTAAGTGGATCCCCAATCCATTCCTCCTCGCTGGGCGGGACCTCCCAACTGGGGCCTGCAGCTACTCCTGCAGGTGCTCTCAGGCTGACGGAGATTTGAATTCTCCCTGGGATGAGTTCCCTGGGGGAGAAGGGGGCCGCCATCTTTGCTGTTTGGGTGACTCAGTTATTCCAGTCTGTGGGCTTTGGAGAGTCCAAAGTGACTAGGGTGGAGGGGATCCCCAGAACAGCACAACTGCTCTATCAAATCATGGCAAGATTCTTTAAGTAGATCCCCGATCCGTTCCTCACTGGGTGAGACCTCCCAAGTGGGGCTTCCACCCCTTAGTTCTAGAGCTGACAGAGATTTACATTCTCCCTTGGATAGAGTTGTCAAGGTCCTGCCAATTAAGAAGAAATGGGTCAGGAACCTGCTAAAAGAATCTGCCTGACCAAGATTTTGTAGAGTAGCTGTGTTGTGCTGGGAGATCCCTTCTGCCCCGGTAGGTATGGATTCCACAAAACCCTCAGGCTGGAGTGGCTAAGTTGCACAAACAGCAAAGATGGCAGCTCATCTTTGGCCATTTCATCCCAAGAATTCAAATATCTTTGGGCCCGAGAACACCAGCAGGAGTGACTGGAGGTCCCAGTGCGGTGATCCCTCACCAGGCAGGACTTTGAGACCGCCATGCCAGGGATAATTGAAATCTCTGGCAGCCTGAGGACACTGGAGGAGGGGGTGGGGTGGTGGCTGGGGGCCCGAGTTGAAAGGAACTTCACTGGGCAGGAACTGGAGACCTCCATGCCAGGGAGAACTCGAATCTCTGTCAGCATGAGAACACAGGTAGGGGTGGCCGGAGGGCCCAGTTAGGAGAACCCTCACTGGGTGGGACCTCAAGAACTCCATGCTAGGGAAAATTCAAATCTCTGTCAGCCCCAGGACACTGGCGGGGGTGGCTGGAGGCCCCATATGGGAGGTCCCTCACTGGGTCAGACACCGAGACCTCCGTGCCAGAGAGAATTCACATCTCTGTCAGCCCCAGAACACTACCGGGGTGGTTGCAGGCCCTAGTTGGGAGGTCCTCACTGGGCGGGACCCCGAGACCTCCATGCCAGGGAGAATTCAAATCTCTGTCAGCCCCAGAACACTGGCAGGGGTGGCCAGAGACCCCAGTTGGGAGGTCGCTCACTGGGCCAGACCCCGAGACCTCCATGCCAGGGAGAATTCAAATCTCTGTCAGTCCCAGAATAAAGGCGGGGGTGGCCGGAGGCCCCGGTTGGGAGGTCCCTCACTGGGCGATACCCCAAGACCTCCATGCCAGGGAGAACTCAAATCTCTGTCAGCCTGGGAACACCAGTGGGGGTGGCTGGACACCGCAGCTAAAAGGACCCTCATTGGGTGGGACCTTGTGAATTACATGCCAGGGAGAATTCAAATCTCTCTCAGCATGAGAACACCAGTGGGGTTGGCTGGAGGCCCCGCTTGGGAGGTCCCTCACTGGGCAGGACCTCAAGACCTCCACACTAGGGAGAATTCAAATCTCTGTCAGCCCCAGAACACTGGCGGGGGTGGCTGCAGGCCCCCGTTGGGAGGTCCCTCACTGGGCAGGACCCCGATACCTCGATGCCAGGGAGAATTGAAATCTCTGTCAGCCCCAGAATATTGGCGGGGGTGGGGGGAGTTGGCTGGAGGCCTGAGTTGGAAGGACCCTCACTGGGCAGGAACCGGAGACCTCCATGCCAGGAAGAATTCAAATCTCTTTCAGCATGAGAACACAGGTGTGGGTGGCCAGAGGTCTCAGTTAGGAGAACCCTAACTGGGTGGGACCTCAAAAACTCCATGCCTGGGAGAATTGAAATCTCTGTCAGCCCCAGAACACCAGCGAGGGTGGCTGCAGGCCCCGGTTGGGGGGGTTCCTCACTGGGCAAGACCCCGAGACCTCCATGCCAGGGAGAACTCAAATCACTGTCAGCCTGAGAACACCAGTGGGATTGGCTGGAGACCCCAGCTAAAAGGACACTCATTGGGCGGGACCTTGAGAACTACGTGCCAGGGAGAATTCAGATCTCTGTCAGCCCGAGAACACCGGTGGGGGTGGCTGGAGGCCACGGTTGAGAGGTCCCTCACTGGGCAGGACCTCAAGACCTCCATGCCAGGGAGAATTCAAATTTCTGTCAGCCCCAAAACACTGGCAGGGGTGGCTGGAGGCCGAAGTCCTTCACTGGGCCAGACGCTGAGACCTCCATACCAGGGAGAATTCAAATCTCTGTCATCCCAAGAACACCGGTGGGGGTGGCTGGAGACCCAATTGGGAGGTCACTCACTTGGCAGGACCTGAAGACCTCCATGCCAGGGAGAATTCAAATCTCTGTCAGCCCCAGAACACTGGCGGGGTTAGCTGGAGGCCCCAGTTGGGAGGTCCCTCACTGGGCCAGACCCTGAGACCTCCATTCCAGGGAGAATTCAAACCTCTGTCAGCCCCAGAACACTGGCGAGGGTGGCTGGAAGCCACGGTAGGGAGGTCCCTCACTAAGCAGGACCTAAAGACCTCCATGCCAGGGAGAATTCAAATCTCTGTCAGCCCCAGAACACTGGTGGGGTTAGCTGGAGGCCCCAGTTGGGAGGTCCCTCACTGGGCCAGACCCTGAGACCTCCATTCCAGGGAGAATTCAAATCTCTGTCAGCCCCAGAACACTGGCAGGGGTGGCTGCAGGCCCCAGTTGGGAGGTCCCTCACTGGGCGGGACCCCAAGGCCGCCATGCCAGGGAGAACTCCAACCTCTGTCAGCCCCAGAACACCAGTGGGGTTGGCTGGAGACCCCAGCTAAAAGGACCCTCATTGGGTAGGACCTCAAGAACTAAGTGCCAGGGAGAATTCGAATCTCTGTCAGCCTGAGAACACCAGGGGTGGGTGGCTGGAGGCCTGAATTGAAAAGACCCACAGCGGACAGGAAGTGGAGACCTCCATGTCAGGAAGAGTTCAAATCTCTGTCAGCATGAGAACACAGGTGAGGGTGGCCGGAGGCCCCAGTTAGGAGAACCCTTACTGGGCGGGACTTCAAGAACCAAGAACTGCATACCTGGGAGAATTCAAATCTCTGTCAGCCCCAGAACACTGGCGGGGGTGGCTGGAGGCCCCAGTTGGGAGATCCCTCACTGGGCAGGACCTAAAGACCTCCATGCCAGGGAGAACTCAAATCACTGTCAGCCTGAGAACACCGGTGGGATTGGCTGGAGACCCCAGCTAAAAGGACCCTCATTGGGCGGGACTTTGAGAACTAGGTGCCAGGGAGAATTCAGATATCTGTCAGCCCAAGAACACCGGTGGGGGTGGCTGGAGGCCACGGTTGAGAGGTCCCTCACTGGGCAGGACCTCAAGACCTCCATGCCAGGGAGAATTCAAATCTCTGTCAGCCCCAAAACACTGGCAGGGGTGGCTGGATGCCGAGGTCCTTCACTGGGCCAGACCCTGAGACATCCATACCAGGGAGAATTCAAATCTCTGTCAGCCCAAGAACACCGGCGGGGGTGGCTGGAGGCCCGATTGGGAGGTCACTCACTTGGCAGGACTTAAAGACCTCCATGCCAGGGAGAATTCGAATCTCTGTCAGTCCCAGAACACTGACAGGGGTGGTTGCAGGCCCCAGTTGGGAGGTCCCTCACTGGGTGGGACCTGGAGACCTCCATTCCAGGGAGAATTCAAATCTCTGTCAGCCCCAGAACACTGGTGGGGGTGGCTGGAGGCCCCAGTTGGGAGGCCCCTCACTGGGCCACACCCCAAGACCTCCATGCCAGAGAGAATTCAAATCTCTGTCAGCCCCAGAACACCGGAGGGGGTGGCTGGAGGCCCCAGTTGGGAGGTCCCTCACTGGGCAAGATCCTGAGACCTCCATGCCAGGGAGAACTCAAATCTCTGTCAGCCTGAGAACACCGGAGGGGGTGGCTGGGGACCCCAGGTAAAAGGACCCTCATTGGGCAGGACCTTGAGAACTACGTGCCAGGGAGAATTCAGATCTCTGTCAGCCCTGGAACACCAGCGAGGTGCTCTACCAAAATGTGGCCATACTGGGTCTTTAAGAAGGTCTGTGATCCATTCCTCCTCACTGGGCGGGACCTCCCAACCAGGGCCTCCAGCCACCCCCACCAGTGTTCTCGGGCTGGCAGAGATTTGAATTCTCCCTGGCATGGAGGTCTGGAGGTCCTGCCCAGTGAGGCACCTCCCAACCGGGGCCTCCAGCCACCCCCACCAGTGTTCTGGGGCTGACAGAGATTTGAATTCTCCCTGGCATGGAGTTCTGGAGGTCCTGCCCAGTGAGGCACCTCCCAACCGGGGCCTCCAGCCACCCCCGCCAGCGTTCTGGGGCTGACAGAGATTTGAATTCTCCCCAGCATGGAGGTCTCGAGGTCCCGCCCAGTGAGGGACCTCCCAACAGGGGCCTCCAGCCACCCCCGCTGGTGTTCTCAGGCTGACAGAGATTTGAATTCTCTTTGGGATGGAGGTCTTGAGGTTCCATTCAGCGAGGGACCTCCCAATAGGGGCCTTGAGACACTCCCGCCAGTGTTCTGGGGCTGACAGAGATTTGAATTCTCTCTGGCATGGAGGTCTTGGGGTCTGGCGCAGTGAGGGACCTCCCAACTAGGGCCTCCAGCCACCCCTGCCAGTGTTCTGTGGCTGACAGAGGTTTGAATTCCCCCTGGTATGGAGGTCTTGAGGTCCTGCTTAGTGAGGGACCTCCCTACCGTGGCTTCCAGCCACCCTCGCCAGTGTTCTGGGGCTGACAGATATTTGAATTATCTTTGGGATGCGGTTCTTGGGGTCCCTTCCAGTGAGGGACCTCCCAACCGGGGCCTCCAGCCACCCCCACCAGTGTTCTGGGGCTGACAGAGATTTGAATTCTCTCTGGCATGGAGGTCTCGGGGTCTGGCCCAGTGGGGGACCTCCCAACTGGGGCCTCCAGCCACCCCCACCAGTGTTCTGGGGCTGACAGAGATTTGAGTTCTCCCTGGCATGGAGGCCTGGAGGTCCAGCCCAATGAGGGTCCTTTCAGCTGGGGCCTCCAGCCACCCACACCGGTGTTCTCAGGCTGACAGAGATTTGAATTCCTGGAATGAGTTCCCACGCGCAAGAGCAAGGAGCCATCTTTGCTGTTTGTGCAACTTAGTCGTTACAGCCCGCGGGCTCTGGAGAATCCATACCTACCGGGGCAGAAGGGATATATCATCAGCACAGCACAGCTACTCTACAAAATCTTAGAAGGCAGATTCTTTTACCAGGTTCCTGATCCATTCCTCCTTACTGGGCAGGACCTCGACAACTCCTTCCCGGGGAGAATGTAAATCTCTGTCAGCTCGAGAACACCGGTGGGGTGGTGGAGGCCCCAGGTGGGAGGTCCCACCCAGAGAGGAGGAAAGAATCAGGGATCTGTGTAAAGAATCTGCCTGGCCACTATTTGGTAGAGCAGTTGTGATGTGCTGGGGGATCCCTTCCACCCCCAGTCATTTGGGACTCTCCAAAGCTGGCCCCATCCTCTCCCCCAGGCCCCAGTTGGAAGGACTCCCACTGGGCAGGAACTCCAGAACTCCCTCCCAGGGAGAATTCAAATTCCTCTCAGCCCCAGACACCAGTGGGGTAGCTGGAGGCCCTGGTTGGGAGGAACAGATTGGGAATCCCCTTAAAGATTCTGTCTGGGGCCGGCCACGGTGGCTCATGCCTGTAATCCCCATACTTCGGGAGGCCCAGCAGGGTGGATCACTTGAGGTCAGGAGTTCCAGACCAGCCTGGCCAACATGGTGAAACCCCATCTCTACTAAAAATAAAAAAATTCGCTGTGCGTGGTGATGGGCACCTGTAGTCCTAGCTACTTGGGAGGCTGAGGCAGAAGAACTGCTTGAACCAGGGCTGTGATGGGTGCTGTAAGCCGAGATCATGCCACTGCACTCCAGCCTGGGTGACAGAGCAAGACTCCTTCTCAAAAAAAAAAAAAAAAAAAAAAAAAAAAAAAAAAAAAAAGGATCTGGGCACATGTTGGGAGAGCAGCTGTGCTATTCTAGGGATCCCTTCTACCCCACCAGTTTGCACTGTCCAAAGCCCACAGGCTGGAATGGCTGTGTCACCCAAACAGCAAAGATGGCGGCCAGCTCCTCCCCTGGGAAACTCATCCCAGGGAGCTCCAGCATCCTTGGCACAAGCTGGCAAGTATTGGCTGAAATGACAGGTGCCCTGGAGAAATTTGAAAGGGTTATCCACATCCGGCTGCTGATTATTTTCACAATTTTCCTGAGATGTCGTTATCATTCTTTGACTCTCCTTTCTATAGTCAGACATTTGGCTCTCAGAGGTGACTTTCTGGCTGAAGAATGTGGATTCGTCACTGTCTTGTGCTCAATGTAGAGGGGGCTCTTAATTCCAGAAATGTCCATATCTGATGAAAGAAAGCGAAGAATGAAACAAAAAGAGATATGTACCGTATTCATAAGTAGATTCAATGCTCTTAATTCCAGAAATGTCCATATCTGATGAAAGAAAGCGAAGAATGAAACAAAAAGAGATATGTACCGTATTCATAAGTAGATTCAATGCTATTAAGATGTCAGTTCTTTCCAATGTATAGATTCAATGCAATTCTACTCTAAATGAAAATGTTTATATGGAGAGGCAAAAGACCTTGAATAGCTAACACCATATTGAAGGAGAAGAACAAACTTGGAGGACAGACACTACTCAATTTCAAGACTTACCCTAAAGCTACAGTAATGGAGACAGTGTGGTATTAGTGAAAGAACAAACGGATAAAATGAGATAGAGAGTTCACAAATAGAAACACATTAATACATTCGATTAATTTTTGACAAAAAAGTAAAGGCATTATGATGATGAAACAGTTTTTTCAGGAAGGGCTGCTGGAATACCTGGATATCCACATGCAAAAAAAAAATAAATTGCAGACCTTACACCCCCACCAAAATTAACTCAAAATGGATCAGCAACATAAATATACAAAAAACTATAAAATTTATAGAAGATAATATAGAAGGAAATACAGATTATCTTGGGTTTAATGATGACCTTTAGAAAAAACACCAAAGTTGAAGTCAATAGAAGAAAGAATTGACAAGCTGGACTTGATGAAAATGTAACATTTTTACACCATTAAAGACACTGAAAGAAAAGAGAAACCACAGATGGAAAAAAATTTGCCAAAACGTATCTGATTAAGAACTATTATTCAAAACATATTAGTATTCTTAAAGCTGAGCAGTAAAAGACATGAGCTAAAGACCTTAACAAGTACCTCACCAAGTAAATTATACAAATGGAAAATAAGCATATGTAATGAGGCTACACATAATATTTCCTCAGAGAAATGCAACCATGAGATGCCACTGCACACGTATTAGAATAACCAAAATCTAGAACCACTGACAACATCAAACGCTGGCAAGGATGTGGAGCAAGAGGAAACTTCATTCATTGCTTGTGGGAATGCAAAATGGTGCAGTCACTTCTTGAAAGTTGTATTCTATGTACCTCAACAGCATGGCCTTCACTGTTCATATTCCTATTATCATTTTGGTCAACCACTTAACCAAGGTCTAATTAAGTTCCACAAGTTTCCTCATCTTCCTGACTTCTTTGCCTATTACCCAGTTCCAAAGCAAATTCTGCATTATCAGGTATTTTTATAGCAAAACCCCACTCCTTGGTACTAATTTCTGTGTTAGCAACACAGAATAACACAGAAAAGAGCAACACGGAAAAACACAAATTTTTGTGTTGCTATAAAAAATTAGCTGAGACTAGGTAATTTATAAGGAACAGAGGTTTGTTTGGCTCACAGTTTTGCAGGCTGTAGAAGAAGAATGGCAGTGGCATCTGCACAGCTTCTGGTCAGGGACCCAGAAGGCTTTTACTTGTGGCTAAAGGTGAAGAGACAACGGGTATGACACACATGGCTAGAGAGGTAGAAGAGACGGGAGAGGTGCCACACTGTTTTAAACAACCACCTTTCGTGTAATGCAGTGAGAACTCACTCATTAGTGAAAAAAGGGCAAGAAGCTATCCAGGAGAGATCAACCACCATGACCCAAACACCTCCCACTAGGTCCCACCTCCAACATTGGGGATCAAATCTTGACACAATATTTGGAGGGTACAAATTTGCAAACAATATCACTCTCTTTTTGTCTTTAACTTTGGACAATTTGATTATAGTGTATCTTGTTGTGAGTCCCTGGATTCACCTTATTTGGTTTCCTTTGGGCTTTCTGGATCAGGCTTTCTGTTTTCTTCCCCATGCTTGATAAATTCTCTGTCATTATTCCTTTAAACACTTTTCCGTTCCTTTCTTCCTCACTTCTCCTTCAGGCATGCCAATAATGTGTGAGTGGTCCTGCTTGATGGTGTCCCATAACTCTCTAAAGTTGTCTTCACTCCGTTTGCATTATCTTTTTTTCTGATCCTCAGGTTAGATAATTTCCAGTGACCAGTCTCAAAGTTCACTGATAGATTCTATTAATGGACACCTCTATTAAATTTTTTCAGTTCAGTTACAGTACACTTTAGATCTATGATTTGTTTGACATTATTGTATAACGTTTTTCCTTTTCTTGAAGTTCTCAACTTGTTCTTGCAAAGCTATCTTGACCTCAGTGATTATTGTTATGACCATTATTTGGAAATCTCTGTCAGATAAATTACATATCTGCACTTCACTCAGGTGCTGGAGATTTATCTTGTTTTCTTGCTTTGAATATATTTCCCTGTTTCTTCATTTTTCCTCGACTCTCTCTGTTGGTTCCCGTGCATTTGATAAGACTGGCCTCATGTAGGAAAAGGATCTCACCAAACTTTCCAGCCAGAGATCTTCAGGTACCTCTCAAGTCCTTGTGTGCTCTAGTATTGACTGTTTTTGGTGGCTCCCTGGAACTTAGGATGTGCCACGCCTTGTCAGTAACCAGAAATTGGTTAAGGTAGGAGCCAGACAATCCAGATGTAGCTAGAAAGTTAGAAGGCTGGAGGAGTGTTTCAGTTCTTTCTAGCTACATGATGAAGATTAGTATGGACATTTATCTCCCACTCTCTCTCCATTAAGCTTGGTAGAGGATCTGTGACAAACACCTATGCACACTCTGGATGCAGCCTCTGATCCTGAGGAGATAGCTTCTGAATGTGGGCCCATTGTATGCTTACTTCTTTGTTTTCTATGGTCTAAATACATTCAAAAATACAAAATCCTGTCGACTCACAGAGCAGAGTTCTTAAGAAAACAGTTCCTTGGGCACTAACCACGGAGGTTGTGGAATTTCAATGCATAATCAAGCTCCTTCTGGGAGCTTGATTCAATGCATAATCAAGCTCCTTCCGGGAAGAATGGGTAGGCTTGGATTTATTACTGGGTTGAACCCGACATAAGACTGGTAGTGTCAAACTATGGTTCCATCTGCCAGATGAATTGTACTTTGTAAGCCACATTAGCCCCCATGATGCCAGTATTTAAATACAAAGCTAGAAATGATTAATAGGGTGAGAAAAGCATGTTGAAAGCTCAGATAGGCTGAAAGCTAGGCAACTTACATCAAACAGTAAACTAAGCTGTGAATGCAAAAAAAAAAAAGTTCTTAAAGGAAATTAAACAGACTACTCCAGTGAATGCACAAATGATAAGTACAATGGTATTATTGCTGATGTGAAGACAGTTTTAGTGGTCTGGATAGAAAATCAAATGAGCCACAACATTTCGCTAAGCCAAAGCTGAATCCAGAGCTAAGCCCTAACATTCTTTAATTCTATGAAGTCTGACACAGGTGAGGAGGCTGCAGAAGACAAGTTTAAAGCTAGCAGAGGTTGGTTCATGAGGTTTAAGAAAAGAATCTTCATAACATAAAAGTGCAAGGTAAAGCAGCCAGTGCTGATAGAGAAGCTGCAGCAAGTTATCCAGAAGATCTAGCTAAGATCATTGATGAGGGCAGTTATGCTAAATAACAGATTTTCAATGTAGACAAAACAGCATTATACTGGAAGAAGAGGATACCTAAAACTTTCACAGCTATAGAGGAGAAGTCAATGCCTGGCTTCTAATCTTCAGAGGACAGGCTGACTCTTTATGTACTGGCTAATGCAGCTGGTTACATTAAAACATTAAAGGCAGTACTCATTTACCATTCTGCTACATTTTTAAGTTCTTCTAAACCTATGCTACCTATACTCTATAAATGAAACAACAAAGCCTGGATGAAAACACATCGTTTACAGTATGGTTTACCAAATATCTTAAGCACACTGTTGAGACCTATTGTCCAGAAAACGTGTGTGTGTGTGTGTGTGTTTGTGTGTGTGTATATGTGTATGTGTGTGTATGTATATATGTGTGTATATATATATATATATATATATATATATATATCTTTTAAAATATTACTGCTCATTGACAATGCACTCATAACCCAAGAGCTCTGATGGAGTTGTACAAATAGATTAATGTTGTTTTCATGCCTGCTAACACAGCATTCATTCTGAAGCCCATGGATCAAGGACATTTTATTATTTAAGAATACATTTTGTAAGCCTATACCTGCCATAGACAATGATTCTTCTGTGTATCTGCACAAGGCAAATTAAAAATCATCTGGATTTTTTTAGAAAGCAATCACTATTCTAGATGAAATTAAAGATATTTGTGATTCCTTGGAGGAGGTCAAAATATGAAGTTTGGAAGAAATTGATTTCAGCCCTCATAGATAGCTTGCAGGGTTTCAAGACTTCAGTGGAGGAAGTAACTGTGAGTGTGATGGAACTAGGGAGAGAACTAAGAGTAAAACTGGAGCCTGAGCCTGTGACTGAATTTCTGCAGTTTCATGATCAAACTTGAATGTACTAAAAGTTGTTTCTTATAGCCCATCCATCTGAGATGGAATCTATTCCTCGTGAAGATACTGTAAACACTGTTGAAATGACAAAAAAACACCTATCTTATTATACAAACTGAGTTGATAAAGCGGTGGCAGCATTAGATAGGATCGACTCTCATTTTGAAAGGTGTTCTACTGTGAGGTAAAATGCTATCCAACAGCATGGCACACTACAGATAAACCTTTCATCAAAGGAGTCAAGTGATGCAGCAAACTTTACTGTTGTTTTATTTTAAGAAATCGCCACAACCACCTCAATCTGCAGCAACCACCACCTTAATCATTCAGCAGCCATCAACACAGAGGAAAGACTCTTTATCAGCAAAAATTAAAATTCACTGAAGGCTCAGATGATCATTTGCATTTTTAGCAATAAAGTAGTTTTTAAAGTATGTAATTGTAGACATAAGGCTATTGCACACTTTATAGACTATGGTATAGTGTAAAAAACTTTTATATGCAGTGTAAAACCAAAAATTCAAGTTCTTATTACATTGTGGTTGCCTGGAATCACACCTGCAATATCCCTGAAGTATGCCTGTACAAGAAATCATGGATAACATACTAAAATAAATTTGGGAAACAATTCATTAACAGAATGATAGTTCTGAAGTAGAAATAGATATGATAACAAAAAAACAAATAGAAATTCTAGATATAGAGAATACAACAAACTAAAAATTTAATACAATGCTTCAGCAGCTGATTTTATTAGCAGAAAAAAAGAATCAGTGAGCTTAAAGAAAAAACATTTGAAATGATTCCATCGGGGAAAAACAACAACAAAAAAGAATAACAAATGCCTATGGCAATTATGGGACTCAATCAAACAACCCAACTTTCATATAATAACAGTTTCTGAAGGAGAAGAAAAAGAAAAAGGCCTAGCAAGCATATTTAATGAAATAATGACTAAAAATTTCCCAAACATGAAGAATGATGACAACATTGAGGTATGAAAACTGCAGAGGTCATGAATCCATTTCAATCCAAGAGGCATTTATCAACACACATCACAATGAAGTTATTAAAAATGAAAAACAAAGAATACTGAAAACAGCAAAAAAACAAGAAATACATCACATTCAAGGGAGCTTCAATATGGCTTTCAGTGGATTTCTCTGCAGAAAACCCTACAGTCCACGAGAGAGGGATGATGTATTCAAAATGCTAAAGCAAACAAGCAAGCAAACAAACAAAAATGCCAATCAACAATACTGTTCCCGGTTGGGTGAACTGGCTCATACCTGTAATCACAGCAGTTTGGGAGGCCAAGGCAGGTGGATCAGGAGGTCAGGAGTTCAAGACCAGCCTGGCCAACATGATGAAACCCCATCTCTACTAAAAATACAAAAATTAGCTGGGCATGGTGGCATGGGCCTGTAATCCCAACTACTCGGGAGGCTGAGGCAGGAGAATTGCTTGAACCTGGTAGGCAGAGATGGCAGTGAGCAAGCTTGAACCTGGGAGGCGAGATCACACCGCTGCACTCCAACCTGGGTGACAGAGCAAGACTCCATCTTGAAAAAAAAATGCTGTGCCTAGCAAAGCTGTCCTGTAGAAATGAGGGAGAGGGAGATATAAAAACCTTTCTATACAAAAAAAAACTAATAAAATTTATAATCAATATCCCTGATTGATCAGAATTACTAAAGGAAGAGCCTTACATTGAAATAAAAGGCTAAATAGTAAGAAAAAACACATAAAAGTAAAAAGCGTCAATGCTATCAGTAATACACAGTCATGTTCCAAATGCTCTAATATTCTAAGGGTGGTTTGTAAAGCAATTTTATCCCTACTAGTAGGGTTAGCAGACAAAGGTATTGAAAATAACTGTAGCTACAATAAATTGCTAAGGTATATAAGTATGAACTAAAAGGGTAAGTTTTGACATAAAATTGTACAATTGTAAGGGAGAGAGAATGAAAATGTAGACTTTTGGATGCAATTAAAGAGAAGTTGCTATCAGAAGTTGTTAGAGTAGTTTGTTATAAGAATATGATATTTTAGGTAAGTTTCATGATAACCACAAAACAAAACCTATCATAACTGCACAAAATAAAAAAGTTTATTTTGCAATTTATCCAAAATTTTAAAGCATACCACCACAGAAAGCCATCAAGCTATAAAATAGTTCAGCAAGAGAGAAAAAGGGAACAAAGAACTCATAAAACAATCAGAAAAAAAATTACAAAGTGGCAGTAGCAAGTCCTTCCCTATAAATAATTACCTTGATAGTAAGTGCATTACATTGTCAAATAAAAGGACATAGAGCATCTCAATGGATAGAATAAAAAACAAGATTCAATCATGTGCTGCCTACAAGAGACTCACTTTACCAGTCAAGACATATATAGGCTGAAACTGAAAAGATGAAAAAAGATATTCCATGCAAATGCAAACTAAAATAGAGCAGGGGAGCTATACTTACTATTAAAAGAAATAAACTAAGTCAAAACCTATAAAAGAGATAGGGTTCACTGCATAACGATAAAGGAGTTAATTCATCATGAAGACATAATACATGTAAATATATATGCACTCAAGGTCACAAGACCTAAATTCATAAAGCAATTATTAAATAATCTCATGAGAAAAATATACTGCAATACTATAATAGTAGGAGACCTCAATACTCCAATTTCAACCATGGAAAGATCATTTAGAAAGATAATAAATTAAGAAACATTAGATTTGAATCACACTTTGGAGCAACTGGATCTAACAGATATACCCAGAACATCCTATCCAACAGCAGAAGTGTACCTGTTCTTCTGAAATGTGGGTGGAACATTCTCCAGTATATGTCATATGTTAGGCCACAAAACAGATCTTAACAAATATTAGAGAATTGAATTATAGAAAGAAAATTTTTGCATCCCAATGGCATAAAGCTAGAAATCCGTAACAGAAGAAATCTTGAAAAATACATAAAATAGCAAAATTTAACATATTCATAAATGGCCCATGAGTTACAGAAAAAATTTAAAAACATATTTTAAGACACACAAAAATGAAAACACAACATACCAAAACTTATAGAATGTAGTTAAATCAATCATTATACCTCAATGAACTAGATGAGAAACAAAGCCAAGAATTAGCAGAAATAAGAAAATAGCAAAGATTAAAGTGGAAATAAATAAAATAGATATGAGAAACCCAATGGAAAGAATTAATACTGAACTTCTTTTTAAGGCGATAAACAAAATCAACCAATCCGTATCTAGACTAACTAGAAAAAGGACTATTCCAACAAATAAGATCAGAAATGAAATAGGAGAAATTACAACTTTTAACTCTAAAATACAAAGGATTACAATTGTTCATATAATGAACATTTGTATGCCAACAATTTGGATAACATGGAAGAAATAAAAACATTTCCACAAACATACAACTTACCAAGACTGAATCAAGAAGAAACAGAAAATCTGAATGGACTAATAAATAATAAGGAAATTGAAGCAGAATTTTTTTTTTTTGAAGCGGAGTTTTGCTTTTGTTGCCCAGGGTAGAGTGCAATGGCACAGTCTCAGCTAACTGCAGCCTCCGCCTCCCAGGTTCAAGCAATTCTCCTACCTCAGCCTTCCAAGTAGCTGGGATTACAGGCGCCCACCACCACACCCATCTGATTTTTTGTATTTTTAGTAGAGACAGGGTTTCACTACTTTGGCTAGGCTGGTCTCGAACTCCAGACCTCAAGCAATCCACCCACCTCAGCCTCCCAAAGTGCTAGGATTACAGGTGTGAGCCACCAAGCCTGGCCTGAAGCAGAAATTAAAAGCCTCCCATGAAAGAAAAGCATAGGACCAGAAGGCTTCACTGCTAAATTCTGACAAACCTTTAAAGAACTAATACTAATTACTCTCAAACTCTTTCAAAAAAGTGAAATAGAGGAAATACTTCCAAACTCATTTTATTAGGGTACCATCATTCCGATACCAAAGACAGACAAGGACACTACAAGAGACGAAAATACTAGGCCAATGTCAGTAACGAACCCTGATTCAAAAATCTTCAACAAAACATTAGCAACCAAATTTAAGAATATATGAATGGAATCATTCACCATGATAAAGTGGGATTTATCCTTTGGATGCAAGTTGGTTTCAACATATGCATATGAATACATGTGATAAAATGCATGAACAAAGTCAAAGACAAAAATCATACGATTCTCTCAATACATGCAGAAAAAGCACATGACAAAATTTAAAACCCTTTCATGATGAAAGCTCTCAACAAATTAAGTGTAGAGAAAATGTATCTCGACACAAAAAAGAACCGTGTATGACAAGCTCTTAGCTAACATTATTCTCAACAGTGAAAAGTGGAAAGCTTTTCCTCCATGTTCAGAGACAAGACAAGGATGACCAGTCTCACCACTTCTTTTCATCGTTAACAGTGGAATTCCTAGGCAGAACAATTAGACAAGAAAAGAAAAGCATCCTACTCAGAAAAAAGTGAAATTATCTCTAATTGCAGACAACATGATCCTGTATACAGAAAACCCTAAATATTCCACCAAAAACTGTTAGAACTGATGCATGAATTCGATAAGGTTTCAGGATACAAAATAATCTAACAAAGATCAGAAGTGTTTCTGTATACAAATAACAAACTACCTGAAGAAATTTTTTAAAAATCCCAAGTATGATAGCAACAGAAATTAAATACTTAGGTGTAAATTTAAGCAAAAAATTAAAGGTCCTGTATATGAAAAACTATAAAACACCAATGAACAAAAATTTAAAAACACAAGTAAATGAAAAAAAAATTCATGCTTGTGGATGGGATGAATTAATATTGTGAAAATGAACAAAATACCAAAAGCAACATATTTGATGCAATCACTATCAAAATTCCAATGCCATTCTTTTACAGAAATGGAAAAAAATCTTGACATTTGTATTGAACAGACCTAAAATAGACAAAATAATCTTGAGCAAAAAGAACAAAGCTAGAGACAGCATGCTACCTAATTTTATTACATATTGTAAAACAATTGTAATCATGGTAGTGGCATATAAATGGACAAATTTGCTAAACAAAATGGAAAACCCAGAAATAAATCCACACACGTCAACTTATCTTTGACAAAGGTGCCAAGGACATACAATGGTTAAAGGATAGTCTGTTCTACAAATGGTGTTGAGAAAACTGAATATCCACAGGAAAAATAAAGTTAGTCCCTTAACTTACACCACATACTAATATCAACTCCAAATGAAGATTTAAATAGAAGGCCTGAACTGTAAAATTACTAGAAGAAAACATAGAGTTAAAGCTCCACAACACTGGTCTCAGCAATACTGTTTTTGATGCAACCCTGATAGCAGTCAACAAAAGCAGAAATAGACAAATTTCTTGTGGCTTAGTTTTGAATTTCTGGTCATTTACTCAATCTGGTCATTACTTTCCCACACTTCATGGTTACAAGTACCAGCCAAGACATGGATCCACCTTCCTACTGCAGTATCTGAAAATCACTGTCTGTTCTATCCTCGGCCTGACCCTCTCTGGCATTCTCGGGATCTACATTTTGATGGAAATGTAATGCTCTGGAACCCTAGGCATATATGAACCAGAAACATGTATGCAGACTCTACTTACCGACAGCAACATAGTTGGAAATACAGTAATCACAGTTGGATAGGAACAAATATTTTATATCTCTTTCTTAGAGATCTGGATTCCACTAAAACGGATTCATGGATGTCAGGGCATTAGGGGTGTGGACTGATAACAAACCTCTCCTTTTTCAGTGCCAAACCAACTTAGAAATAAAAACAAAAGGTCAGATCAATATCCAAATACATTATTCCTCCTAAAGCTGATTTAGAAACTATGGCTTAATGTTGACCAAAAAAGACTTCTAATATTGCCCCCTAGCCTTGACTTTAGAACCTGAACAAAAAAAAGTTCATCTGAAGAACAGTCAGTTACCCACCCAGTGCAGGGAGGGTCTTCACCTGCCTTCCAAGTCTCCTGTTCAGAATCCAGAGGAGAAAGAGAGACTAGATGTACTCATTGATCACTGAGTAAGTTTGCCTTACTAATAGGCAAACGTGGACCAATGGATTTGATGGGACCAATGGATAAGATTTCCCATCCACCAAATAAGTCACATCTTCTCCTGGCTCTGGGAATGAGCCAGATAAAGGTGAAGAGTTGGCAGTGTTTCTACTCAATATTTGTGAGAAGACCGAAGGTGTTGTCAATGGGTAGATAGAACTGGAATGAGGTGGGAAAGTTTTACTCGTTTGACCAACTTCTTTTTATTCAAGTTGTATATGCTGAAGGTAGCCGCTAGAAGAATTGACTTCTGGAAAGATGATTCCCCTCACAATTGCTTGATCTTGAGTATTTTTATTTTTGTGTTAAAGAACTGATGTTGGTTTGTGTACACTGAAATAATGGGGGGAAGCTCTGTATGGAAGGAAAAGAAAGTTTCCTTTCTTTTCTAGAGCCGTCTGTTCAGGTTATCGGAGTCTCCCTATTCATGGGATGAGTGTCCACAACAAACTCCACAATCCTGTGTCTGCTCATTGAAGGTATGTATCAGAGTGACACTTGGAAGCATGGTATAAAGAGGAAATATGCATTTGTCAAATGAAAAATTAAAATATAAGAAAAAGTTTAAAAGGAAAAACAGAATGAGAAGGGCAGGGGCTTGATTAGAGTTTTGTCAACTGGGACAAACTTTGCAGTTTTAGTCAAATATTGCCATCTTTCTAGTGGAAGACTTTGACATGTAAGTTCTAGATTATACTTTCATTTATAAATAACTGTGTAGCTTAATGAGATGGCCCCTGTTAGTATCTTAGGCCATCTATTGAAGGTTTACTAAATTCTTCCAAGGCACGTGAGTCTGCTCCTCAGCAAAGCAGTGACAAACCTGCTTTTCCCTGGTTTCCCCAACTATGTAAAACCTTATTAAAGAATTCCTGAACAATATAAAGTTCCCTCAGCAAGACGGAACTTCCCAAGCTCTTGTCTCAGGAGAGAATGTGGATTATAGAAAGATTGTGGGTGTGAGTGGAGTGGGAAGTTATTTAGGTAGTAAGATTTTCAGGCTCGGTGCAGTGGCTCACACCTGTAATCCCAGCACTTTGGGTGGCCGAGGTGGGCAGATCACAAGGTCAGGAGATGGAGACCATCCTGGCTAACAGGGAGAAACTCCATCTCTACTAAAAATACAAAAAAAAACTAGCTGGGCACCTGTAGTCGCAGCTACTCGGGAGGTTGAGGCAGGAGAACCGCGTGAACCCAGAAGGCGGAGCTTGCAGTGAGCCAAGATCTCGCCACTGCACTGCAGCCTGGGTGACAGAGCCAGACTCCGTCTCAAAAAAAAAATAATAAAAAAATAAAAAGTTAAAGAGGCCAAGAAACATCATTTAAAACACGATATAAATTTTCATCAGACATAAAAGATAAAAAATATTTTCATTTAATAAATACTTTTGCATGTCACACATTTAACGGGAAACAAAATATCATGTTAACAGCCTAGTAATACAATTTTATTGTCTTAGATTTTTTTCGTCAGCATGTATTCTTTCTGTTTTGTTTTGCATTTGAGATGGAGTCACTCTGTTGCTCAGGCTGGAGTGCAGTGGCACGATCTTGGCTCACTGAAACCTCTGCCTCCCGGGTTCAAGTGATTCTCCCACCTCAGCCTCCCGAGTAGCTGAGACTACAGGCATGCACCACCACACCCAGCTAATTTTTGTATTTTTAGTAGAGACAGGATTTCACCATATTGGCCAGGCTGGTCTTGAACTCCTGACCTCAAGTGATCCACCTGCACTGGCCTCCCAAAGTGCTGAGAATACAGGCATGAGCCACTGCAGCCAGACAGCACATATTCTTGTTATGCTTTTAAAACTAGTTATTGATTTAAATTTTACTCATTAGTAGATTCTAGTGCAGAAGCTATAGAGCAGCAGTCCCCAGCCTTTTTGGCACCAGGCAGCAGTTTTGTGAAAGATAATTTTTCCACAGATGGGGGTTTGGGGGATGGTTTCAGGATGGTGATTCAAGCGTATTACATCTATTGTGCACTTTATTCCTATTATGACTACATTGTAATACATAATGAAATAATTACACAACTCATCATAATGGAGAATCAATGGGAGTCCTGAGCTTGTTTTTCTGTAACTAGATGGTCCCATCGTGAAGAGATAGGAGACAATGACATATCATCAGGCATTAGAGTCTCATAAGGAGCATGTGACCTAGATCCCTTGAACGAGCAGTTCACAGTAGGATTTTCACTCCTGTGAGAATCTAATGGCTTTGCTGATCTGACAGGAGGCAGAGCTCAGGTGATAATGTGAGCAACAGGGAGTGGCTGGAAATACAGATGAAGCTTCACTCGCTTGCCTGCCACTCACCTCCTGCTGTGCAGCCTGCTTCCTAACAGGTCATGGAACTGTGTGTGGCCTGGGAGTTGGGGACCCCTGCTATAGAGGATTCAGATTTAAATTCAGAAGTTAGAATGAAAAAGAATTATATTCTTTATCTAAATGATTTCACAGTTAACTAAGAGAAAGTCAGTATATGCTGAAAAGCTTATCAGTGTTAATAAGAATGAAAAATATGTACAATATGCAATTACTATTAAATATAATTTGCCCATAGTTGCACACCGAATTCATTATCATGGCAGTTAAGTATCAGAGCTTCTGGTTTCTCACTCTTCGTTCATGTATTCAGCAACCATGTGCTAAGGTACTAGGACAAGCACTGGAATTACAAGATAAAGATGATACGGTCCGCCCCTCAACAACTGTATGCTATAATCTGAAAAAACAAACAGGCAATTCCCATACAGAGTCATACATACAATGACAAGCATAAGACAGCACTTATTGGAAGACATAGAAGGGATACTAGCCCAGGTTTGTGTCAATATTGTAGGCTTTTTGGTAGAGGCAATTCATAGGTTGATATCTGAAGGGGAAGGAAAACACATGTAGGATAGAGGGAAGAAGTAAATGCAAACAGCTGGAGGTGAAGACGATCACTGTGGAGCTCCATGTAGTCTAGTTTGGCTGGATGCTAGAACAAAGGTGTAGAGTATGGTAAGTGGCGAAAGATAAGGCTGAATAACTTGACAAGAACCACACTGATGTGAGAGTTTTGATTCCATGCTAAGGAATTTTCAACTTTTCCCAGGGGCAAAAGTAAACCAATGACAAAGTCAATGACTAGAGATTTAAAATGTCACTGGTCAAGTGACTGCTTGTGACCTGTAATTGCTTAACTAATTATTATCACATGAGTGTGGGGTCTGTTAGCCTTAAATCACTACCTTAACCTTGAGAAGTTGATAATGCCTTTGTTTTGTGAGAACAGTTTCAGTGTGCAGGCTGATAGTCTATAGGGGTGGCAGAAGAAAAGTGTAGGGCCAGAAAAAAAGGGATACACAGATTTCTTGCGATTTTTTTAAAGCTATGAAACATGATGAATTAACAAAGCATAAGTATACCCTTCACTATGAATGTTTATGTTTTCACATCTTTCACTAGATGTGTGTAAGAAAAAATATTTAATGTAGCATTTATTAACCAAGCAATTGAGAGGGAATACCGTTCACTACTTAGAGTTTATTTCAGAAATCAATGATTTGAATTTAATTCATAAATTTTGGCAACATACCTTCATCTAGCTCTCAAACACCTGCAGCATCTGAAATAAATCAAATATTACTTATAATGTTTCAGTCAAACAAGAGACATTATCATGTAAACCCACTGTAAGTCAAGGAGCATCTGTACTGTAGATTGATCATCCCTAATCTAAAAATCTGAAATCCAAAATGCTCTACAATCTGAAACTTTTTGAGCACGGACATGACACCACAACTGCAACGTTCCACACCTGACCTCATGTGACAGGCTCTGGGGAAAACAGTAAAAACTTTCTTACCTGCAAAAAATTACTGTAAAACATTGTAGAGAATTACCTTCAGGCTATGTGCATAAGGTATATATGAAACACAAATGAATTTCATGTTTAGACTCAGGTACCATCCGCAAGATATTTCATTAGGTATATACAAATATTCCAAAATCTGAAAAAAATCTACTTTTGGTCCCAAGCATTTTGGACAAGGGATATTTAACCCATCCTACTGGAAAAATAAAATTCCTTTTCAGTATGACAGAAATTAAGAGATCAGCTTACCAAACTTGAATGCTGCAGGATTTTCTCAAGCCGCTCAATTTGGTCATCCTGTTTTTTAATAATTTTTCTCATCATCACATGTTCTACTTCAAGCCTAAAATGTGCATTTTAAAATAATTACTCTCACACGTAATTTTTTTTAAATCATGTAAATTCTAAACAAACTTCTGAAGGTATAATTACACAAATTCTTAGCAATCACAAAAGTAGACGATTGGGCTACTGTGTCATTTTCTACCTGTGTTTTGGTGATAATATGCAAAATTTAGGAATAATGTAGAAAAATGATGTATTTCGATATAGCTTACAAATGAAACTTTTTTGGCTTCACAAAGACATACTAATTATCATAACTGATACAATTTTCATACTACAGTGCTCTTTTGCTTTATAAATACTCAAGTTATTTTGTGTGCTGCTTCAAATTTTACTTTTGTGTGTCGCCTTCCATCTCCTTAGTACATCTTATAGTAGCTGTAAGTTGATCCTGTATTTCTTGAAACTGAAACAAAGAATTTTAAAAAATTACATTTGGAAATGACCTAAATGTCCATCAGTAGATGAATGAATCAACAAAATATATATGAAATATTTTAGACTATCACAATCTTTTTTATTTATAAAAGGTCATAATCTAGGAGAAATCATCCCATTACCTGTTTTTTGTAAGTAATTTTAGTGGGACACTGCTACACCCCTTCAGTCTGCATATTGTTCATGGCTACTTTTGTGCTGTAATTGCAGGGCCGAGTTATTGCAACAAGGATCTTATGGCTCACAAAGCCTTACATAACACTATCTGGCCCTTTACAGAAAAGTTCACAGACCCCTGCTCTAGGACTAAAACACAACATTCTTCTTGCTTTTGAATTACATTTTATCAATTAAATACTCAAACTTACAAACTGGTAAAATGTGGAAAGATAAAGGATTACCTCACGCTAAGCATTTATATTTTGAATTCCAAACACTACCACATCAACTATAATTTTATTTTTTGTATGTATGCATTTAGTTTTATTATAGCAAAGCAACTTGCACATTTTTAAATATTTAAAACTAAGCATCATCTTTCCTTTCTAGGGAAACAACAAGAAAATTTAAAAACAAGCAGGAACAAAATTAAAATCGACAAAGTCAGTTCCAAATAAGATCCTACAGGATCTTATTGACTCTCCCATTGAATAGCAGGACTCAGGTCATCATTAGGAGAGAAGTGATTTAAAAGCGTCATCTTAAACTGCAAAGATGTCCATTAAACATGCCAAAGGAGAAGCCCTGTTGTCTAAATGCCCACTTAACCAACCCAAACATCTCAAACCCATCCTTTGCTGACCTTCTATAACCCCCTTTTTAGTTTAGCTTTCTCTACAAATAAGAGAAAATAGATACATGTTGGCAAATGCTAACTGTCCATATTCATATAGAGACAGAGTGTGCTCTCTGAGCCCAATACAAAGGAAGTAAGGATTTTCATCGAAATAAAAATTTATTCAGTAAAATGGCCTTTCTGAACAAGTTAACCTGAAATCTAAGAAATAAGTATACACAGGTTCTTTATACATTCAGAAAAGTAGAGACTAAAAAGAAGATAATTTTCTGAAACATTCCATTAGACATTATCCTCTGAATTAACCTGGCTTGCCTCACCATGCCAATAGAGAAATCATTAAAAATAGACTGTTTAACAGGAAAAAAAAACTCTCTCAACTTCTGTGAGAAATGATGCATAATTCTCAACTTTCCTAAGGTTAAATATTTAAGAAAAAAATATATGTATAAAAAATGGCAGAATGAAAGCCAGAGATTAAGATATAGGTGCATTATAATAAAATCTTAATAAAATTAATAATAAGGAAAATACAGAAGAAAGCCATCCACTATAAAATTTTAATAACATTAATTATCATAAAAATACAAAAGAAAGCCATCCACTAAAATTAGTACCCCAAAACACTTTATATTAGTTAACTAGCTACAGATTAACAGTTGTTGGTGTGCAAAGTTGCATACATACTTGACTTCTCATCTGGTCTAATTTCTTCCTTGAATCCTGCATCCCATTTTCTAAATAGGTGCAGTGACGCGATGAAGCATCCAGCAGAGCTTTTGTTGCTGATCCTTTGTTTAAGACATCATCTCGTTTTTGTTGAAGCTGTCTCACAGCTACCTGATAAGATGTTATTTTTGTTACTGATTTTACAAATCACCTTATTATTAAACCATTAATAATATTTAACTCTAAAGCATACTCTTTGAAAAATATCACCACACAGACCGATTCACCTTCTTTTCCTCATGTGTACACATTCCTGTGTATTACTGAATCCAGTTAAGGATACAGAAGGTGTTATCTTCCTGCCAAACTGGTATTGTTATTCACACAACATATTCAGCCCACTAGTCATTCCTCCCTTGATGAATCTGCAATGCTTAAAAACCTTCTGAAGTCTCAAAAAGAAATGAGTATGTGGGTGAGACTGATGGTAGTAAATTATACATTGTGGAATGATTTCCCTCTTTTTTTAAATTAGAAACTCAAATCAACCTCAGAGTTCCTCACATTAAATCATCTGCTTAAATCCTTCCAATAGATGTCTATCTCAGAAGAAAAGTAAAATTCCAGTGGCCTTAGATGCTCTAAGTAACCCGCCCTCCACCTCCCGCCCTGACTCAGCTGCTATATCTCTCCTCCGTACTCACTCCATTCCTACTCTACGTGAATCCTGCCACTCCTCGTTAGTCTGAAATCCTCCTTAGTCTGAAAATGGGGATCCAGTGTCAAACTAATAAATCACAGATAGCTATGCCTCTCTTTGTCCTGGACAAAGTTATATCCAAATGATAGTAATTGAGCCTTGAAATAAAAATTATGAACAAATTTTTTATTTAAAAACTGAAAGTAAATTATAAATGCCAGTGGGAAGATTAAATCAAACATGATTTGGCTAAAATTTACTGCATTTGCCCCATATTATAATAGAAGTAAAATTAGATGCCTTGAAAGAATAGAATGGTCATATCTATACATAATTTGAGATTGAAATAGTTTCAGATTTAAGTCAAATTGACATGAAGAAAAACAAAATTTTACCAACTAAGACATATTTAAAGCTACTGAAGAAAAGTAATTATGAAATAGGGAATACACTTCAGTTCATCTAGGAAATCTGAAATTCACTGTCAAAGTACCCCACTTAATTGAATCAATTTCAAAATACCATTTTAGGTATGAGCATTTCCATATACCTGATTTATCATGGTCTTAAAATGTTGCAACATAAATACATTAAAATTATTACTTCAGCAGTATAAGACTACATTATTAATGTTAGTCTATGTTAACATTTTATAACTTAAAATTTTATAAGTGACACATTGACTTTAATCAGAGGAAAGCATCTCTCAGTTCTAACTTTGACTTGCTGGAGACAAGGAATGTTTCTAAGCAGATATATTTATCATATGTATCCTTTTTTATATTCAACTAGATCCAACATTCAGCTGTAACCAAATATTACTTTAAATTTTACTTCAGGAAGTTTGAAAAATACTTATTTTTCTTGATACTTACTTCTCTTTCTGCTTTCTCTTTTTCATATTGGCATTCTTTTTCTTTCGAATGATTCAGTTCATTGACCAACATTTTATTGTCTTCTTCTAGTAAAAGACGGTGCTTTCTGCACTCAGCTTGAAGGTTTTGTACTCTAGCATCACATCTGGCTTGAATATTAAGTATTGCTTTTTCTTGATTGTCAGCTTTGTTGCGAGCATCATCCAGTTGCTGTTGAAGCAACATATTTTGTTTTTTTAGTTGACAAAATCTTTCCTGTTTTTCTATGCATTTTTCCATTGTATTGTATCCACTTTTGTACATTTTTTCAATGTCCTTCATTTGACTCTGTTTTTGCTTTAGCTCACTTTGCACGTGTTCAAAAACCAAAGCCTTTTCTTTCAGAGCCTCTCCTGTGTAATGGAGCTCAGTTTTGAGGACTCTGGACTTACTCTCAGCTTTAGAAAGTTGCAGAGAAAGAATCAGAACATGAGAATTCAAATTTTCCTGTAAGTGACGACATTTATCTACTGTGCCCTGGAAAGCAAGCTCTTGGTCTCTTTTTGATGAGTGACTTTGATCATGATCACATCGAGCAGCATTCAGTCTACAATGGTATGATTGCATTTCTGTTTCCAGTCTTTGCCTGCTCTCTCTTTGCTTCTCCAGTTTGGAACGGAGCGTTGTGTTTTCATCTGTCAGAGCAGCAAGCTGTCCACTATAACAGGCTATCGTTTTTGCTAATGTTTCCCCATTCCGTTTTAGAGCCTTTTGAAGGTCTTCATGCTTTCTTTTCACAATTTCAAAGTCTTTTAAGTATTTCTTTTCCAGGTTTTGGTTTTTTATTGTGTCTTTTTCCAGCCTGAGCCTGGCAATTTCATCTTGCATCAAGCGGTTTTCATGCAGCAGGTCTTCTTTTTCATCAGTTTCAGAAACCTAAGTAAAACAAAGCAAACTTGTAACTAGTATCCAATAGGATAACATATTGTGATTGCTTCTGAAATTAAATAATAACCTGTACATTTATACAATGAGAGGTTGCCATAACTGGATATCTAACTGGGAAAAAAGAAGTTAAGTCAAAACCTCAAACCTCATACAGCATAAATTCCCCAAAGTTCAAAAGTTTATTTGAAGACAGTGAATCCATGAAAGCAAAAAAGAAGCCACTAGATAATTTTTTTAAATTTCAGGATAAAAAAAGGCTTTTACTGAATTACAACAAATTGCAAGGCATAAAGAATTAATAACTATGACCACATTAAAAAATTGGGTTTACACTCTAACATCTAAACTATACCTCTCCCTATAGTGAGAGCCTTAGCTTGGCAGATATTTGGACAGATGAATGACATTTTCCAAATTCTTTAAGTTCCCTTTTTCTAAAATATTGTATAGATATTCTACTTTTCTAATATTGTTATGGTCAGTTTTAAGAATGACATTTATTGATAAATGATAAAGCTAGGCATTATACTAAGCACTTTTACGTGCACAAATCAATGAACTCATTTAGTTATAATTCTATAGCAAAAGGTTAAAAATATAAGCAAGCTGCAGGATTTTTCCCAGCTTTTCTGACTCTATTCCTAGTGCTCTTCCACCAAATCAGTAACTTCTGTGAGGTAGATATATACATACAAAAATAATCTTTTATTTCAAGACACCAAAAGTCAAGAAAATTAGATCTATAAAACTCTTCTTAGAAAATCATGACATTATTTGCTATTGTGATAACTTTTATTCCTTTTCCATAACATTTGAAATGTAATTAACATGAAATAGGGGAAATATGCTGAACTATGTCACTAGGAACAAAATACTTACAATATCATTAAGTATATATTGTAGAATAGCATTGTTTTCAAAAGGCCTTTGAACTAAAATAAAATATTTCAAGGTTTATTATAAATAATTATAGCTATAAATGCCATGATTCATTTTTAAGATGAAATAAAATTTGGGGATTGTTCAGGCCTAAATAATATACGTTAAATGAAAGAGATGGTATAAGTAATATTAATAAGAGTAGAAATATGAAGTTTTACCAAACATTAATTTACCTGATTTGAATTATTTCCTCCTGTCTTCAATTCCACCTCTGCTGATTTGAGAGCCGGTTTAATTGGTTTTGTCACATCAGCTTCTATCCTATATTGCTCTTCTGTTATTCTTAACTTTTCCCTAACTTTTTGGTGCACCTCTTCAACATTTCTTCTTTTCTTTTTTTCTTGCTGTATGGCAAATCTGTAAATATACTTATCTTAGAATTTATCTTATCAGTGAGGACTAAGCTCTAATTTTTTATCTTGCCCAAATTCCTACCTAAGGGGTCCAGGGAGTCGTGCCCTACAAACCATGGATTCTCATCAGATGGGTTTTATTTGACCCTGTATATTGTGACTTGCTTTTCAATCTGACTCTGGCATAACCTTACGAGACAAGGAAGAAAATATTTAATCCAAAATATATTTCCTTGCCATGCCTTGAAATTGCCCTGCAAAGTCTCTTGTGGGAAAAATCCACATTCTATAGAGAACCCCCTTTCCCCTTTGTTTTCCTTCCTTTCTATGCAGATCCAGGGGATATTCAGCTGAGAGCCAGGCACCCTTTTGGGTCCGATAAGAAACATTTTACAATCTGCTCTCTCTGAAGTCTGCTGAGAGATTCCTCTGCACAGTAAAACTTGGTCCCCACAATCATTTATCTTAACCTGAACATTTCTTTCCATTAATCCCAGGTCTTCAAATAAACTCAAGCAATTGTCAACCAGAAAATGTTTAAATTTACCTACAGCCTGGAAGCCCCAGCTTTGAGTTGGCCTGCCTTTCTGAACCAAACCAATGTATTTCTTACATGTATTTGATTGCTGTCTCATGCTTCTCTAAAATGTATAAAACCAAGCTGCACCCCGACCACCTCGGGCACATGTTCTCAGGACCTCCTGAGGGCTGTGTCGGGGGCCACGGTCACTCATATTTGGCTCAGAATAAATCTCTTCAAATATCTTACAGAGTTTGACTCTCTTTGTTGATATTAGAAAATAAAACATTCATATGTTGGTTTATTATCCTAATAAAGTTTCTATGTTCTTAAATACTATTTTTCTTTCTAGTTCTCATGTTTTTAATTTCTCACCTCAATCTCATCCAAAGGGCATGTATAAGTTGAAATGTATTGATAAAAGAACATCCTGCATAAGTTTCTATTACTAGTAACTCTAGCAAATATTATGAAAAAGGACGTTGAAAATTATTCAGTAAAGTTACAAGATAAAAATTATCTTTTCTTCACAGTAATTACTCCTCAATTAGGATGAATCATTTAGAGTTAATTAACATAAAGTTACTTTTTATAAACAAGTTGGTACATTCACTAGAAATACATTTTCATCTTCATGAAACATTCATTGCAAGTATCCCTAAACATAATTTACATTGCAAGATAGCATTTTCGATGTCTTTATGAAACATATATCAGCAGATTACTGTAATCCAAGACTAGGTTAAGAAGGTAATATGTTACCCTACACTTTTTCAGATTGTTTTTTGGGTAACACTTTCAGTCTATCCTGCTGATTAGTATGTACTTTATAACCAATTGTAAAATCTGTTTTGGAACAACACAAGATCTAATATTTAATTAAACAATAAAGAATAATACATGTCTTCAGCATAAAACTGAATTAATTTTATCTACATAGCAGAGAGATGTTGAATAAGCTAATCAGTAATCACTTTACATTTTACTTTTCATTCCCTGCATATTAAGAATAAAACTGGATACATTTTTTTTTTTTTTTTTGAGAGGGAGTCTCCTACTATCACTGGGCTGGAGTGCACTGGTGCAATCTCTGCTCACTGCAACCTCTGCCTCCCAGTTTCATGCGATTCTCCTGCCTCAGCCTCCTGCGTAGCTGGGATTACAGGTACAACCACCATACCTGGCTAATTTTTTGTATTTTTAGTAGAGATAGCATTTCACTGTGTTGGGCAGACTGGTCTCGAACTCCTGACCTCGTGATCTGCCCACCTCGGCCTACCAAAGTGCTGGGATTACAGGCATGAGCCACTGCACCCGGCTGATAATTTTTAAAATAATTATTCTGGGTAAAGAAAAATATCTGTTTTATACTCTGTTGGTTGAATTATAAATTAATATGAACATCCTTAAGAACAATTTAGAAATATTGATCACAGATCTAAAACAGATCTAAAAAAGTTTCTATACTTTAACCAGAAGAATTTATCCAATGTAAATAATTAGAAATGTAGAAAACTATGTGTATATAAAAGATGTTCCTTGTAGCATTATTACAAAAACTTTTTAAAACCTGAAATTCAATTCATCAATTAAATAATGAGATTTCCAAAAGGTAAAATTCTATACAGCCATTAAAACTATGATTTAAAAGAATATGCATTTAATTATTAGAGAAGTATTCACAATTAAGAACTTGTGATATTATATCCAATAATTTCACACTCCATAAGATTAAGAAGCTTTCTTCCCTGTTAAATCCTAGAAGGAAAGTTCGCAATTACAAAACTTCTCCTTATACGTCTTTAATATAAAACAAACAGTTCAAACATTTATTTAAAACTAGGTCATACCTCAAACTACAGAGTTCTTTTTCCAATTCAAGTATTTCATGCTTTAACTGCGATTTTATTTCTTCTTTTTCAGATATTCTCTTTTGTAGTACACTAGCCTTATTTTTCAGTTTTCGAATTTTTACTCTAAGTTGCTCACAGTGGTTATCTTTAAGTTTTATTAATCTTTTCCATAAACAAAATGTATTTTTAATTTTCAATAGGTGAACACAATCTGTAACCAGGAAAAAACAAAGTAGAGATAAAATACATGAGTAGATTTTTGGATATAAAGGACTGTGCATTTTTAACATGTATTCATTCATACGTTGAACAAGTATGTACATATTGAGTGCCTACAAGGTGGAAGATATTATAGTAAGGTCTGCAGATAAGACAACACCTCTGCTATTGTTTTAGCTTAAAGTATAGTGAAGAACCAAGATAAAAAGGTGACAGTTATAAACTCAGATAGGTCCTGTAAAAAAAAAAAAAAAAAAAAAAAAAAAAAAAAAAAACATAGTTATGTGATTGCATAAGATAATTTGATCTATACTTCACCCAGGGAAGATTTCCCTGAGGAAGAGATGCTACACTGAGAAATGAAGGATGAGAAAGAAGCAGTTAAGCAAAGAAGAAAGCAAAGCACTCTGGCTAGTTTGCAGCATGTGCTGTGCTGAAGCTCTGCTGCAATCTGTTACTAGCTCTGATGGAGTAACAGATACTGATTTTTCATCTTATCTGAATGAATAAAAAACAAAACAGACACAATACATTAAACTGATTTTCAACACAGTGGACTTCAGGCAATGAAGATGGTAGGTGATCACTGAAAGACAGAAAACAAATACAGCAGGCCTTACAAATATCCCAGCTCTTTTGACAGAGTTTTGACGGAGGTTCGAGGCCATCACAAAGGGAGAAAATCTGACATAGAGCTGGGGTGATGACGCTGAGAGGCCAGTAAAACCAAAGCAGATAGAGATCACAGGACAGAAAACTGGAGAGAAAAAAGCAGTACAGGAAACAAATCCTGGAGATGTGCAGAGATTCCCTCTTGGGTATTTAGTGGAGTAATGAAAAGTGCTTGTGTACTAGGAAACTTCCTAAGAACAATGAAAAATAAAATAAAAAAAAACAACAGTTAAAGAAAATTAGCAGAAACGATGTCTGGGGTTCACACAATGACTGGAAGAGGGTCCATTCCCATGAGCCAGGCCAAAATACCGCATACTTCACAGGACAATGAATACTCCGAAAGGTCTTGCCTCAGGAGTGAGGAATTACCCCAAATCTAAAAGCAAGAATGGAAAGATTATAAGTAAATCTCTGTACTCCAAATAAAACTCAAGATAATAAGTGGAGGCAGGGAAGGTTTTTTTTTAAAAAAACACAAACCATACTTGTAGAGACACAAATTACATTGTCATAAGTAAAAACTATAGTGGATGGAAATAAACACAAATTAGAGATAACAAAGGAAAAATTCCTAAATTTGACACGATAAACTGCAAGAAACTTTCAAGCAGCTAATAGATAACTCCTCAAATAAAAAAGAAGAGACAGAAAAAAAATTAAAGAAAAAATGACCAAAAATATTCTAACCTTAACACAAACCATAATCCCACAGATTCAGGAAGGAAGTGTCTGGGACAGAAAAAAATGAAAATGTATCATTGTCATTTTTTATACCATCTAGGATGTATAATATTACTGAAGGTGAACTGTGATAAGTTAAAATTATATACTAAAAATCCTAAACACTAAGATAGCAAAACAGTTATCGCTAATAAACCCAAAAATATATATAAAATTGAATCATAAAAAACAGTTGACTAATCTAAAGGAAAGCAGGAAAAGAAGGGGAACAGAGAACAGTTGGGACTAATAGCAATCACACAGCTACCAGACAAACATAACTATATCAGTAATCACATTACAAATGACACTTGTCTAAGAACCTCAACTATAATACAGACTGTCAGGCTCAGCAAGAAAGCAAGACCCAACTACAGGCTGCCTATAAGAAATGCACTTTAAATGTAAAGACACAAATTGGTTGTAAGGATGGAAAAAGATACATGCTAACAGTTGGCAAAGGCAGCTGAGCAGGTGTGGCTGTATTAATACCAAAGTAGATTTCATAGCAAAAAAAAAAAAACATTCCAGCAATAAATAACAAAGGTCATGTCACAATAGTAAAAGGTTCAGTTAATCAACAAAACATAACAATCCTCAGTCTTTATGCCCCTAATAACAAACCAGCCTCACAATATATGAGACCAAAGTGGATAGAACTACAAAAAGTGACAGACAATTTCTAGGTAATCTGAGGTTTCAATACCCTTTACTCAATAAGTGATAGAACAAGAAGGCAGAAAATCAGCGAGAATAGACTTGAACAACACTATGCTTTCCAAGTACCCACGGAACACTTACCAAAATAGACCATATTTTAGGCCATACAACAACTCTCAATTAAAGGATTGAGTCAGAAGGATTTAACTCATACAAAGTATGTGCCCTGACCACAAATCAATCAGATTAAAGACCGATAACAAAAATAACTCTGGGAAATACACAAATATTTGGAAACTAAGTAACACACATCTAAATAACCCTGGGTCAAACAGGTAATGAAAATAGAAATAGAAAATAGAAAATATTCTGAACTGAATAAAAATTCATCAACCAGAATTTGTGGAATGCAGCTACAGCTGTACTTGAATACAAATTTTTAGCACTGCTGAATGTCTACATTAGAAGAGTCTTAAATCAATGACTTTGACTTCTACCTTAAGCAACTAGATAAAAGAAGAGTGACATAAACCCAAAGCAAGCAGAGGAAAGGAAATAATAAACATCTGCTGTGGTCTGAATGTTTGTCTTCCCCAAAATTTATATGCTGAAAGCCAATCACAGATGTGACGGTATTAGGAGGGGGGATTTTTACAGGTAGTTGGTCATGAGAGCGAAGCCCTAATGAATGGGATTAGTGCTTAGTGCTCTATACAACAGACCCCAGATCTCCTTCACCCCTTCTGCCAAGTGAGGGCACAGAGAAAAAGCATTCATGAACTAGGACGTGTTCCCTAACCATACACCAAACATGACAGCATCTGGATCTTGGACTTTGCTGAACCCACAACTGCGAGAAATCAACTTCTGTTGTTTGAACCAGTCTATGGTATTTTGTTATACTGTTGGTTCCAGAAGAAACAATAGAAAAAAATCAACAACACAAAACACCTTGAGGAGATCAATAAATGTGATAAAGCTCCATTTAGCCAGGCTGCTCAGAATAAAAGAAACAATACAAATTACTAATTTCAGAAATAAACAATGTGACATAATTATAGATTCTACAGATACTAAAAATATAACAAGATATTATAATTTCTATGTAAGTAAACAGGACAACTTAGATAAAATTAACAAATTCCTTTAAAAATGAAAATTAGCAAATCTCAATCAAGAAGCAATAGATAACGTGAATTGCCCTATATCTATAGAAGAAAGTTAAGTTATAGTTAAAAACCTTCCTAAAAGAAAACTCCAGACCCAGCTGGCTATGCTGGTGATTCTACAAAACATTTCTGGAAGAAATTAATACAATTATACATAAACTCTCCCAAAAGAAACAGAAAGAAGGAGTATATCTCAACTCAGTCTGTAATGTTAGCTTTACCCTGAACCAAAACCAGAAAATATTACCAACAAGAAAATTCCCTCATGAGCACGAATGTAAAAATTCAACCAATTTGTGATGCAACGAAGACATCCTCCCATAGTGGAGTGAATAAACTGTGGTTACACAGCCATACAGTGGAATATCACTCTACACATAAAGAAATGAGCAATCAATTCATGAAAATATGTGAAGGAACCTTAAATGCATATTACCAAGTGACATAAGCTCATCTGAAAAGGCTACTTACTGTATGGTTCCAACTATATGATCAGGAAGAGGCAAAACTATGGATAAAGTAAAAGGGTGCCTAAGGGTAAGAGACAGCAGGAAAAGATACATAGGCAGAGCACAGAGGATTTTTAGGGAAGTCAAAATAATTTATATAACATGGATACACATCATTGTACATTTGTCCAAATCCATACATGTAAAGTACCAAGAGTGAACCCCAATGCAAATTATGGGCTTGGGGTGATTGTGATGTGTCAATTTAGGCTCATCTATCATAGCAACTACCACTATGGTGAAGGATACTGGTAATGAAGGAGGCTAAACATGTATTGGATTGGGGGTATACAAAAAAATATCTGAACCTCCCTCTCAATTTTGACAGGAACATAAAACTGGTCTAAAAAATAAAAGTCTTTATAATAAATTCTAAATGAGACTTTAGTAAACTGTATCCGACAGTATAATGAAAAGGTAATACATCATAAACAAATGGGGTTTATTCCAGAAATGGAAGGTTGGCTTAACATTGAAACATCATCATTATTTACCACAAAACAAACTGAAAGAGAAGACCCATAGGATCATCCCAACAGACACAGGCATCTGATAAAATTTACTCCTGATGTCTCAAAGAAGAAACACTCTCAGTAACATAAGAATCCAAGGGAAGTTCTTCAGCATGATAAACAACGTCTATGATGAACCTACAGCTAACGTGCATCATAGTGAAAAACTGAATGCATTTCCCATAAGATGAGGAAGAACATGGGAATGTCTGCTTTCACTACTTGTTTGTAGCATTGTTCTGAAGATTCTAGTTAATGCAGTCAGGCAAGAAAAAGAAATAAGAGGCATCCAAGTTTAAAAAAAAGAAATAAAATTGTCTTTATACACAACCATGACCATAAAATAGGTATGGGTAAACCCCAACCTGTGGGCCAGCTTCTTGTCCGATAAGCTTTTATTGGAACACAGCTGTGTTCATTAATTTATGGATGATCTATGGCTGCTCTCATACTAAAATGGCAGAGTTTATCAGCTGCAAAAGAGACCCTTTTGCCACAAGCCTAAAATATTCACTATCCTTAGTAAGAGGGTAGTTTGAGAAAGAAAGGTTTAACAACCTTTGGTCTATGAAGAAAATCTGATCAAATCTACCAACAATGTGCCAGAACTAATAAGTGAGTTTAACAAGAATGAAGGATACAAATTCAATACAGAAAAATTAACTGTATTTCTATATGCTAGCGATAAACAATCAAATGAAAATTTTAAAACTATCATTTTCTATAGTTTTATAAAAGTGTATATTTGGATTAGCAATGCTCAACCTGTATAAAGAAAGTCAAATACATCTACACTAATTAAACTATCATTTACAACTTCATCAAAAATGAAATACAGATAAATCTGATAAAATATGAAAAGACCTATAAACTAAAAACTACAAAATACTACTGAGAAAATTAAATATTACCTCTATAAAAGCAGACATACACTTTATTGAGGAGTAGATTCGCTATTGTTAAGATGTCAATTCTCCCCAAATTAATCTATAAATATGACCCAATCCCAACTTAATTTCCAACAAGCGAGCAGTCTTTATTTTATTGATAAGCTGATTCTAAAGTTCATGTGAAAATGCAAAGGATCTAGCATAGTCAAAACAGAACAAAGAACAAAATTGGAGGATTCATTTCAAGAATTACTATAAATCAATAGTAACAAAAACAGTGTGCCACAGGTACAGGCTGAATATCCCTTATTCAAAATGCTTCAGACTAGAAGTTTTTCAGATTTTGGATTTTGGAATATTTGCATATACATGATGAAATATCTTGGGGATAGGACCCAAGTCTAAACACAAAATACATTTGTTTTTCATATTTACCTTGTACACAAAGACTGAAGGTAATTTTAAATAATACTTTTAATAATTTGGGGCATGAAACAATGTTTGTATACATGAGGTCGGATGTAGAATTTTTCCACTGTGCTGTCTATGTTGGCAATCAAAAAGTCTGGGGTTTTAGAGCATTTCAGATTTGGGATATTTAAATTAGCAATGCTCAACCTGTATAAAGAAAGTCAAATTCAGACAATCCCCAACTTAAGGTGGTTTGACTTACTGACTTTACAGTGGGTTTACTGAAGTATTAACTTGCTTTTGACTCAAACACTGGGTTTCCCACAATTTGGGGAGCATCTGCAAATTAATAAAATTCAACAGACAGTCCAGAAATAGATAACACATAAGCAACCAGCTTATGACTGACAAAGGCAGGATGGCAATGCAGTGGAGAAAGGATAGCCTTTTCAACATGCGGTGTTGGAACAATTGGCTGTCCATATCCAAAAAGTGAACTTGAATCCATACCTCACCTCACTCCATAGACAAAAGGAAACTCAAGATGGAGCACAGATTTAAATGGAAGATCCAAATCTATAAAATTTCTAGAACAAACACAGGAACAATCTTTGTGACCTTGTGCTAGGCAAACATTTTTACATATGACACAAAATGCAAAATCTGTAATTCAACAATTAAATTGGATTTCATTATGATTAAAATCTTCTGCTCTTCAAAAGATACTACAAAGCAAGTGAAAAGTCAACCCAAAAACTGGCAAAAATACCCTTGTAAAAAAGTAGCTAAAAGTAATAGTATCCAAATACATACAGAATTATTAAAATTCAACACGTAAGAAAACATCAACCTACTTTTTTATATGCAAAAGATGTGAAAAGACAGTTCAACAAAGAAGATGTACAGATGGCAAATAAACACATGGAAAGATGCTCAACATTTTAGTCATTAGGATCATGTACATTAAACCCATAAGAATATACATAATACACCCATCAGAATAACTAAAATTTAAAAAAATAAATACAGCAGTAGTGTGACAACATAGCAACTGGAATGGTCATTTACTGCTGATGAGAATAGAAAATAGTACAAATATTTTGGAAAACCATTTAGCAGCTTTTAAAAACAGGAATATGAAGGGCCATGAGGAGACGTTAGTGGGTGATGGATATATGTTGACTATCTCGATGATGGTAATAGTTTCACATGTGTATACATCTGTTAAAACTTATCAAATGGTACCTTTTACATGTGTGCACTGTATCGCATATCAATTTTACCACACTAAAGCTACTGATTGTAGGAGCAAACACCTAAGGCACTGGCTGTGGCACAGAGAAGGGTATGCAATGATGCAGTATAAAGCTCGAGGACTGAGATCCATATCTTATAGCAATAAATGGCAGCTGGGTTTTCAGCAAGCAGGTAACATGATCAGGTGTGATTTTTTACAACTATATAATTATGATTGCAGAACAGGCCATGGTTTTGGAAGGTGGAATAGTAGGAAAGACAGTTAGAGGGTTATCACAGTATTTCAGGTGGGAGGAAATGGTAACATGACCATGGGTAAATGGGTAATGGCATAGAAGAGAAGCAGAGTAAACAAACACACTGTGTGTATCATTCACACTGAGAAAAGTACAGTGAAATGATCATAGCTCTTTGGCTGAGAAGGTACAAGATACAGTTGCTTTCATTCTATTTTAACATAAGGCATATTTCTGAGATGAACATTCTTGTAACATATCAGTACTCTATGGTACAGTGTTAAGCAATGTGTGCATACATTGCTATAGGATTTTTAAAAAGCCTTATATTTATGCATTGGTCCTACCTTTACACTTCATTTCATGTTGATCAATGAGTAATATGACATTCTTACAATTACAGCAAAGCGAGTCACCGTCCTCTGAGACTGTTTGAGATGACTGAATTATGTCATCAAGGTCATCCCTAGAATGTATTTGGTTTTTCACCTACAAAATAAATAACACTGTTTCAAAATGTCCCCAAAATATTTATAGCATATACAAAATGTACAGAAGTGGGAATTGCCCATCTGTTTCTATGAGCACAAACACAGGTACCTGTTCCGTACTTTTTTTTTAAGCAATTTCCTTTATGTTGACTCTAGTTCAGAAGACCACATGGTCTATGGATAAATTAGTTTCCCAGTTCCTGTGCTATTTAGAAAACTGACAGAGAGACTTGGGTTAATTAAGGAACAAAGATTAAGAGAATGTCTTCCTGAGCTTGAGTTATTTTAATTGCAAAAACAATCTATTTATACATACAATTAGGTATTTAGATTACCCCATTTTACACAAGAGATTTTCATAAGTAAAAAAATTCAAATGGATCAAATAATTGGTGAAGAGAAAAACCAGAGTAGCAGCAAGTGACCCTCTAAGTCTTTTGGAAGTTGAACTTTCTCCAAAGCCAGGAACTCTACTTTACTTGTAATATGCTTACCTCATTCTTAAATCTTTGCATATATCACTTAATTCCACTTCTAGACATACTGCTGATGTTCTGTCACCATGTGGTGGAGAATAATGCACATTTTCTAATTCAAGTTTTATGCTTTCATATTTATTTGCACTACAGTTGTCACATAACGGCTTCTGGAACACATTCTGTATTGGTTTTGTACTGTTTGTAACAACAGAAACACCATCATCTTTTTTTTTTTTTTTAAATCACATGCTTCATTTCTTTGGAGCAGGTAAGCCACATACCTAAAAGGCTTTTTGAATCACTAAATTGAGGCATATGTCCGATGTTTAATTTCCAATTAGCGGTGTTTTGTTTTTTTGTCATTTGCCTCACAACCTATTTGTCTTCTTTTATTTCATCCATAACTACTTCTGGGTTTCTTGCTTTTGTACTTTCAGTATCATTATAAAAATTTTCCTTGTCTGAGTTAAAAACATGTTCAGTATCTGGTTTGTTGTCGTTTTCACAGTCTACTTTATTTGTATTTAAATAAAGCTCTGAAGGTGACTGGCAAGCATATTCTGGGGACCCAGAGTATGAATGAGAAAGAAAGGCATTTTTGAGACTGGGTTATTTTTGTTCAGGAAATATCTGGACTACTACAGAGACAGACATGCCAGATGCATCACTTTCCTGACAATCAGGTGAATCATTTGTCAAATTAGAAGGTTTTTACTTAAGTTTGTTCTTCCTGTAGAGTTATTATGTAGTTGCTCTTCCTCAATACAAGCAGTTTTGTAATTTTCACAAATTTCACCAAAACTCTGCTTTAACTTATTTGTGATGAATTTTAAAGGTTTTTTTTACCCTAGTTTGTCTTGTTTCATCCACATTCTCTCATACTTTTGTGCACAAGTAAGTCCTGCATATATAAAGAGGTCCTTTCTATCACAACACTTTTTCACTACTAGTTGTTGAGACAATTTTTGCACATGCAAAAGTGGAAGATAAATTTGCTAGTTTTCTTTCTTAGATGTCTTTTCTGTCAGAGTACATGTTTTAAAAATAACTTTATCTTTAAATAATCAAGTGTAAAAAGAGAAAAATTTTAAAATAATTAAAGTTTAATATCAAACTTCTTAATCTATGTTTACCTACTCCCAAATCACTGGATTGTAACTAAGAAGTGAAAAATAATTTGCATTAGCCTAAAATCAGTGAAAAACATAAACCATGAAACTTTAATTTGTCACTGTTTGTTTGGACTAAACTTGAATAATTCATTATGTGTTAAATTTCCCAAAAATGAATTAGGAGATGACTTGTGGTACTATAAAGGCACTGTCACTTTAAAAGATTTTATCACTATATGAACAGTGTACACTTGAGTGCTTTTTCCTAATATTACTAACTAATGATTAGGCAAACTTTAAATTATTAGGAGCCAAAATCACCACCAGTCAGTAAGAAAAGCAAATTCTTTGTCTGGCAGCCAAGACTGCTGAATAGGAACAGCTCCAGTCTACAGCTCCCAGCGTGAGCGACGCAGAAGATGGGTGGTTTCTGCATTTCCATCTGAGGTACCAGGTTCATCTCACTAAAGAGTGCCAGACAGTGGGTGCTGGACAGTGGGTGCAGTGCACCGTGTGTGACCCAAAGGAGGGTGAGGCATTGCCTCACTCAGGAAGTGGAAGGGGTCAGGGAGTTCCCTTTCCTAGTCAAAGAAAGGGGTGACAGACAGCACCTGGAAAATTGGGTTACTCCCACCCTACTACTGCACTTTTCCGACGGGCTTAAAAAACGGCACACCAGGAAATTATATCCTGCACCTGGCTCAGAGGGTCCTGCGCCCATGGAGTCTAACTGATTGCTAGCACAGCAGTCTGAGATCAAACTGCAAGGCGGCAGTGAGGCTGGGGGAGGGGCACCTGCCATTGCCCAGGCTTGCTTAGGTAAACAAAGCAGCTTGAACTGGGTGGAGCCCACCACAGCTCAAGGAGGCCTGCCTGCCTCTGTAGGCTCCACCTCTGGGGGCAGGGCACAGAGAAACAAAAAGACAGCAGTAACCTCTGCAGACTTAAATGTCCCTGTATGATAGCTTTGAAGACAGCAGTGGTTCTCCCAGCATGCAGCTGGAGATCTGAGAATGGGCAGACTGCCTCCTCAAGTGAGACCCTGACCACTGACCCCCGAGCAGCCTAACTGGGAGGCACCCCCAGGTAGGGGCAGACTGACACCTCACACAGCCGGGTACTCCTCTGAGACAAAACTCCCAGAGGAACGATCACACAGCAGCATTCGCGGTTCATGAAAATCTGCTGTTCTGCAGCCACCACTGCTGATACCCAGGCAGACAGGGTCTGGAGTGGACCTCTAGCAAACTCCAACAGACCTGCAGCTGAGGGTCCTGTCTGGTAGAAGGAAAACTAACAAACAGAAAGGACATCCACATCAAAAACCCATCTGTACATCACCATCATCAAAGACCAAAAGTAGATAAAACCTCAAAGATGGGGAAAAAACAGAGCAGAAAAACTGGAAACTCTAAAAAGCAGAGCGCCTCTCCTCTTCCAAAGGAATGCAGTTCCTCACCAGCAACAGAACAAAGCTGGACAGAGAATGACTTTGACGAGTTGAGAGAAGAAGGCTTCAGACGATCAAACTACTCTGAGCTACAGGAGGAAATTCAAACCAAAGGCAAAGAAGTTAAAAACTTTGAAAAAAAATTTAGACGAATGTATACCTAGAATAACCAATACAGAGAAGTGCTTAAAGGAGCTGATGAAGCTGAAAGCCGAGGCTCGAGAACTACGTGAAGAGTGCAGAAGCCTCAGGAGCCGATGCAATCAACTGGAAGAAAGGGTATCAGTGATGGAAGATGAAATGAATGAAATGAAACGAGAAGGGAAGTTGAGAGAAAAAAGAATGAAAAGAAACAAACAAAGCCTCCAAGAAATATGGGACTAAGTGAAAAGACCAAATCTACATCTGATTGGTGTACCTGAAAGTCACGGGGAGAATGGAACCAAGGTGGAAAACACACTGCAGGATATTATCCAGGAGAACATCCCCAATCTAGCAAGGCAGGCCAACATTCAGATTCAAGAAATACAGACAACGCCACAAAGATACCCCTTGAGAAGAGCAACTCCAAGACACATAATTGTCAGATTCACCAAAGTTGAAATGAAGGAAAAAATGTTAAGGGCAGCCAGAGAGAAAGGTCAGGTTGCCCACAAAGGGAAGCCCATCAGACTAACAGTGGATCTCTCGGCAGAAACTCTACAAGCCGGAAGAGAGTGGGGGCCAATATTCAACATTCTTAAAGAAAAGAATTTTCAACCCAGAATTTCATATCCTGCCAAACTAAGCTTCATAAGTGAAGGAGAAATAAAATACTTCACAGACAAGCAAATGATGAGAGATTTTGTCACCACCAGGCTTGCCCTAAAAGAGCTCCTGAAGGAAGCACTAAACATGGAAAGGAACAACCGGTACCAGCCACTGCAAAATCATGCCAAAATATAAAGACCATCGAGACTAGGAAGAAACTGCATTAACTAATTAGCAAAATAACTAGCTAACATCATAATGCCAGGATCAATTTCAGACATAACAATATTAACTTTAAATGTAAATGGACTAAATGCTCCAATTAAAAGACACAGACTGGCAAATTGGATAAAGAGTCAAGATCCATCAGTGTGCTGTATTCAGGAAACCCATCTCACGTGCAGAGACACACATAGACTCAAAATAAAAGGATGGAGGAAGATCTACCAAGCAAATGGAAAACAAAAAAAGGCAGGGGTTGCAATCCTAGTCTCTGATAAAACAGACTTTAAACCAACAAAGATCGAAAGAGACAAAGAAGGCCATTACATAATGGTAAAGAGATCAATTCAACAAGAAGAGCTAACTATCCTAAATATATATGCACCCAATACAGGAGCACCCAGATTCATAAAGCAAGTCCTGAGTGACCTACAAAGAGACTTAGACTCCCACACAATAATAATGGGAGACTTTAACATCCCACTGTCAACATTGGACAGATCAATGAGACAGAAAGTTAATAAGGAGACCCAGGAATTGAACTCAGCTCTGCACCAAGTGGACCTAATAGACATCTACAGAACTCTCCACCCCAAATCAACAGAATATACATTTTTTTCAGCACCACACCACACCTATTCCAAAATTGACCACATACTTGGAAGTAAAGCTCTCCTCAGCAAATGTAAAAGAAGAGAAAGTATAACAAAGTGTCTGTCAGACCACAGTGCAATCAAACTAGAACTCAGGATTAAGAAACTCACTCAAAACCGCTCAACTACATGGAAACTGAACAACCTGCTCCTGAATGACTACTGGGTACATAACAAAATGAAGGCAGAAATAAAGATGTTCTTTGAAACCAATGAGAACAAAGACACAACATACCAGAATCTCTGGGACACATTCAAAGCAGTGTGTAGAGGGAAATTTATAGCACTAAATGCCCACAAGAGAAAGCAGGAAAGATCCAAAATTGACACCCTAACATCACAATTAAAAGAACTAGAAAAGCAAGAGCAAACACATTCAAAAGCTAGCAGAAGGCAAGAAATAACTAAAATCAGAACAGAACTGAAGGAAATAGAGACACAAAAAACCCTTCAAAAAATTAATGAATCCAGGAGCCGGTTTTTTGAAAGGATCAACAAAATTGATAGACAGCTAGCAAGACTAAAAAAGAAGAAAAGAGAGAAGAATCAAATAGATGCAATACAAAATGATAAAGGGGATATCACCACCGATCCCACAGAAATACAAACTACCATCAGAGAATACTACAAACACCTCTACACAAATAAACTAGAAAATCTAGAAGAAATGCATAAATTCCTGGACACATACACACTCCCAAGACTAAACCAGGAAGAAGTTGAATCTCTGAATAGACCAATAACAGGATCTGAAATTGTGGCAATAATCAATAGCTTACCAACCAAAAAGAGTCCAGGACCAGATGGATTCACAGCCGAATTCTACCAGAGGTACAAGGAGGAAGTGGTACCCTTCCTTCTGAAACTATTCCAATCAATAGAAAAAGAGGGAACCCTCCCTAACTCATTTTATGAGGCCAGCATCATCCTGATACCAAAGCCGGGCAGAGACACAACCAAAAAAGAGAATTTTAGACCAGTATCCTTAATGAACATTGATGCAAAAATCCTCGATAAAATATGGGCAAACCAAATCCAGCAGCACATCAAAAAGCTTATCCACCATGATCAAGTGGGCTTCATCCCTGGGATGCAAGGCTGGTTCAATATACGCAAATAAATAAATGTAATCCAGCTTATAAACAGAACCAAAGACAAAAACCACATGATTATCTCAATAGATGCAGAAAAGGCCTTTGACAAAATTCAACAACGCTTCATGCTAAAAACTCTCAATAAATTAGGTATTGATGGGACGTATTTCAAAATAATAAGAGCTATCTATGACAAACCCACAGCCAATATCATACTGAATGGGCAAAAACTGGAAGCATTCCCTTTGAAAACTGGCACAAGAGGGCACAAGACAGGGATGCCCTCTCTCACCACTCCTATTCAACATAGTGTTGGAAGTTCTGGTTAGGGCCATTAGGCAGGAGAAGGAAATAAAGGGTATTCAATTAGGAAAAGAGGAAGTCAAATTGTCCCTGTTTGCAGACGACATGATTGTATATCTAGAAAACCCCATTGTCTCAGCCCAAAATCTCCTTAAGCTGATCAGCAACTTCAGCAAAGTCTCAGGATACAAAATCAATGTAAAAAATCATAAGCATTCTTATACACCAATAACAGACAAACAGAGAGCCAAATCATGAGTGAATTCCCATTCACAATTGCTTCAAAGAGAATAAAATACCTAGGAATCCAACTTACAAGCGATGTGAAGGACCTCTTCAAGGAGAACTACAAATCACTGCTCAAGGAAATAAAAGAGGATACAAACAAATGGAAGAACATTCCATGCTCATGGGTAGGAAGAATCAGTATGGTTAAAATGGCCATACTGCCCAAGGTAATTTATAGATTCAATGCCATCACCATCAAGCTCCCAAAGACTTTCTTCACTGAATTGGAAAAAACTACTTTAAAGTTCATATGGAACCAAAAAAGAGCCCGCATCACTAAGTCAATCCTTAGCCAAAAGAACAAGGCTGGAGGCATCACGCTACCTGACTTCAAACTATACTACAAGGCTACAGTAACCAAAACAGCATGGTACTGGTACCAAAACAGAGATATAGACCAATGGAACAGAACAGAGCCATCAGAAATAACGCCGCATATCTACAACTATCTGATCTTTGACAACCCTGAGAAAAACAAGCAACGGGGAAAGGATTCCCTATTTAATAAATGGTGCTGGGAAAACTGGCTAGCCATATGTAGAAAGCTGCAACTGGATCCCTTCCTTACACCTTATACAAAAATTAATTCAAGATGGATTAAAGGCTTAAACGTTAGACCTAAAACCATAAAAACCCTAGAAGAAAACCTAGGCATTACCATTCAGGACATAGGCATGGGCAAGGACTTCATGTCTAAAACACCAAAAGCAATGGCAACAAAAGCCAAAATTGACAGATGGGATCTAATTAAACTGAAGAGATTTTGCACAGCAAAAGAAACTACCATCAGAGTGAACAGGCAACCTACAACATGGGAGAAAATTTTCGCAACCTACTCATCTGACAAAGGGCTAATATCCAGAATCTACAATGAACCCAAACAAATTTACAAGAAAAAAACAAACAACCCCATCAAAAAGTGGGCAAAGGACATGAACAGACACTTCTCAAAAGAAGACATTTATGCAGCCAAAAAACACATGAAAAAATGCTCACCATCACTGGCCATCAGAGAAATGCAAATCAAAACCACAATGAGATACCATCTCACACCAGTTAGGATGGCAATCATTAAAAAATCTGGAAACAACAGGTGCTGGAGAGGATGTGGAGAAATAGGAACACTTTTACACTGTTGGTGGGACTGTAAACTAGTTCAACCATTGTGGAAGTCAGTGTGGCGATTCCTCAGGGATCTAGAACTAGAAATACCATTTGACCCTGCCATCCCATTACTGGGTATATACCCAAAGGACTATAAATCATGCTGCTATAAAGACACATGCACACATATGTTTTTGCGGCACTATTCACAATAGCAAAGACTTGGAACCAACCCAAATGTCCAACAATGATAGTCTGGATTAAGAAAATATGGCACATAGACACCATGGAATACTATGCAGCCATAAAAAATGATGAGTTCATGTCCTTTGTAGGGACATGGATGAAATTGGAAATCATCATTCTCAGTAAACTATCGCAAGGACAAAAAACCAAACACTGCATGTTCTCACTCATAGGTGGGAATTGAACAATGAGAACAGGTGGACACAGGAAGGGGAACATCACACTCTGGGGACTGTTGTGGGGTTGGGGGAGGGGGGAGGGATAGCATTAGGAGATATACCTAATGCTAAATGACGAGTTAATGGGTGCAGCACACCAGCATGGCACGTGTATACATATGTAACTAACCTGCACATTGTGCAAGTGTTCCCTAAAACTTAAAGTATAATAATAATAAAATAAAAAAAGAAAAGCAAATTCTTACATTTTAATGCAAATTACACATTGTAATATGATTGACAGTGTTATATATTTATATAGATTATAGGCTTAAGTTCTAAGGTCTACTAATGACAGTGGATTTAATAAATTTAACAATATTTAGAGATTTTCTATATTGAAATACATTAGGCAGTTATTGTTTGTACACTAATACCAAAGGTGCCATTCTGCAAGGTATAATTCTCTTGATAGCCAGTTGGGTTGATTTTATAACGCATTCTCTCCCTGAACATAGAAACTGAAGTCAGAGATCAAAAAGGAAAATAAATTTTTAACCTTGGTATTAGTGACTGGCAATAAAAAAACTGCAAAGTTTGAACCACTAGCAATAATTACTCCTTTAATCTGAATCCAGTACGGTGGTCATCACTGTTAAATTGTTCATAATTTCTATTGCTTAAAATTGTAATTCAATATTTGATGTTACCTTCTTTATTATAATAGGAAGTTATAAAAATAGAAGTGCAAACAATATCAGGAACTTTTTAACTCAGTTCCAAGAGTAAAGATAAGATACAAGTTGCTATAGATTCCAACACTATTTTAAGTTTTATAACTAGTTAAATGTTTTTAAAATGAAATATTAAATTATAATCAACTGATACTAAAAGGCTAATCCAAAGGTAAATTCATTTCAAATATGCTGTATTACCAAAGCTAGGAAAACAAGATTAAACCAGAAATTTGATTTTAAATTTTTACATACCTGTGGCTGGTTATTTTCATATTCTTCAAGCCTCTTTTGCTCTCCCTCTGATGCCATTTCTAAGTCTTGTTCTGCTAAAAAAATTATATATTTAGTTAAAATGAGCTACACAGAACAGTTAGATAAAAGCCATGGTCAGCGGTGGCTCACGCCTGTAATCCCAGCACTTTGGGAGGCCGAGGCAGGTGGATCACGAGGTCAGGAGATCGAGACCATCCTGGCTAACAAGGTGAAACCTCGTCTCTACTAAAAAATACAAAAAATTAGCTGGGCGTGGTGGCGGGCGCCTGTAGTCCCAGCTAGTCGGGAGGCTGGTGCAGGAGAATGGCGTGAGCCCGGGAAGTGGAGCTTGCAGTGAGCTGAAGATCTCACCACTGCACCTCCAGCCTGGGTGGCAGAGCGAGACTGTGTCTCAAAAAAAAAAAAACAAAAAAACAAAAAAACAAAACGATAGTCTTTCTAAAACCAGAAAATAAAAGTGTTTCAACGAAGCTTAATCTTTAGTATAATATTTACTTCTTTAAGAAAGGCTTTTAATCCTCCAAAACTTCAGCAAACCACTTGGGGAGGCACTAGATGTCACCAGGTTCAAGCCATGCAAACGTGGTCAAAGATTCACTCACAAATTCACCCACCCAACATCAATGAACGAAACCATCAGAAATAAAACAAAATGTAAAAATCCAATAGAAACAGAAAAAGTAACAGCACACTGTTCTTTACTTCACAATAGTACCTTTAGAACAGCACTTTGAGCCTGCTGTTCATTATTAATCATTTCCAAAATGACTGCTACTGTTTACACTTTCATCAATGTACAGTCTCTTCTTTATATCTAAAATATTTTCCTCAACTATTCTGACAGATTTCTTTCATAATTTAAGACTCAGACAGCTATGTGAAGTCTTCCTTGATTCTGGCTATCTTTCCTCAGATAAACGGTTTTATTTAATACAGGTTTTATAACATATGTAGTTAAGGTTTCTAAAGTGAGATTATGTCTCAACTAACTATAACTGAAATAGAAGAGTGTATCTATTCCAATGTAAACATGTTGACTGATAATGAGAAAAATGATCCTTATAAAGAATAGCAAATCATGATCCTGAGAGAGTAAGTATCAAAGCTGATGGGAGGATGCTATGGCCTATCTTTAATGCAATACTTCAGATTCAATTACACCATTATACTACAAGCATTTATCATGTCCAACTGTTTTTCCTATTATTTAGGAAGTACAAAATTGTGAGGACACTTCCAATAAATATACAATTTATTTCTCATCAGAGAAACTGTTTAAAATTAATCAGCTTAGATAGACAGTTGTAGAATAAAAATTAATAAAACTATTCATTTTTTTCATTCCTAGGTAGGCTACTGCTATGTCTACATTGCTTGTATCCTGCAGTTTGGCCCTGTCAAGAACTTTCTGAATCCACTCATGCAAGAAGATATGTAAACCACATCAAAAATAGTGTATAGGCTGGGTGTGGTGGCTCACGCCTGTAATCACAGCACTTTGGGAGGCTGAAGCAAGTGGATCACAAGGTCAGGAGGTCAAGACCAGCCTGACTAACATGGTGAAACCCCATCTCTACTCAAAATACAAAAATTAGCTGGGCATGGTGTCATGTGCCTGTAATCTCAGCTACTCAGGGGGCTGAGGCAGGAGAATCGCTTTAACCCGGGAGGTGGAGGTTGCAGTGAGCCGAGATTGTGCCATTACACTCCAGGCTGGGAGACAGAGCAAGACTCTGTCTCAAAAAAAAAAAAAAAAAAAAGTGTATAATAAGCTTTCAATATGTAAATAATTGTCAAAAATGAAAAAATTAAATTTCCACAGACTTATTAATAACATTTTATACTTCAAAATCAGTGCAACGTTCACTGATTATTTTGGTTTTGTTATTCAAAGAATGAATGCTATAACTTTTTGTTTCTAAAATTAGTTTGATTTGATATACCATGCTAATCTCTAAGGCACTTTCATGGAACTGTGATCTTATTAAAAAAATAGGTTTCTTAGTAAAATCAGTCAAAGTTTCTTAGTTCAAATAAATTTCATTTGATTAACTAATATCAACACTTCTATATAGCTCTCATAAATTATTCCCACCACAAATGAAGAGGAAAGCCTCTTAATTTAGCAGTAGTACCTTACATGTATAATTTCTATTTCCTAAATTTGTGTTCCTTTCCCTCTGGCTAGAAACATGCTCAGAAATAGTAGCAAAATGACACTGTTATGTTTCAAACTGCTATCAGAAGGCAAACAGGTATATGGAAAGGTGCTCGACATCACTGATCATCACAGAAATGCAAATCAAAGCTACAATGAGGTATCGTCTCACCTCAGTTAAAATGGCTTTTATCCAAATGGCAGGCATTAAGAAATGCTGGTGAGGATGTGGAGAAAGCAGAACCCTCCTACACCATTGGTGGCATTGTGAATTAGTACAGTCACCATGGAGAACACTATAGAGTCCTCAAAAAATTAAAAATACAGCTACCCACATGATCCAGCAATCCCATTGCTAGGTAACGATTCAAAAGCAAGAAAATCTCTTCACAGAATTGGAAAAAACTACTTTAAAGTTCATATGGAACCAAAAAAGAGCCCGCATCGCCAAGTCAATCCTAAGCCAAAAGAACAAAGCTGGAGGCATCACACTACCTGACTTCAAACTATACTACAAGGCTACAGTAACCAAAACAGCCTGGTACTGGTACCAAAACAGAAATATAGATCAATGGAACAGAACAGAGCCCTCAGAAATAATGCCACATATCTATAACTATCTGATCTTTGACAAACCTGAGAAAAACAAGCAATGGGGAAAGGATTCCCTATTTAATAAATGGTGCTGGGAAAACTGGCTAGCCATATGTAGAAAGCTGAAACTGGATCCCTTCCTTACACCTTATACAAAAATCAATTCAAGATGGATTAAAGATTTAAATGTTAGACCTAAAACCATAAAAACCCTAGAAGAAAACCTAGGCATTACCATTCAGGACATAGGCGTGGGCAAGGACTTCATGTCCAAAACACCAAAAGCAATGGCAACAAAAGCCAAAATTGACAAATGGGATCTAATTAAACTAAAGAGCTTCTGCACAGCAAAAGAAACTACCATCCGAGTGAACAGGCAACCTACAACATGGGAGAAAATTTTCACAACCTACTCATCTGACAAAGGGCTAATATCCAGAATCTACAATGAACCCAAACAAATTTACAAGAAAAAAACAAACAACCCCATCAAAAAGTGGGTGAAGGACATGAACAGACACTTCTCAAAAGAAGACATTTATGCAGCCAAAAAACACATGAAGAAATGCTCATCATCACTGGCCATCAGAGAAATGCAAATCAAAACCACTATGAGATATCATCTCACACCAGTTAGAATGGCAATCATTAAAAAGTCAGGAAACAACAGGTGCTGGAGAGGATGTGGAGAAATAGGAACACTTTTACACTGTTGGTGGGACTGTAAACTAGTTCAACCATTGTGGAAGTCAGTGTGGCGATTCCTCAGGGATCTAGAACTAGAAATACCATTTGACCCAGCCATCCCATTACTGGGTATATACCCAAAGGACTATAAATCATGCTGCTATAAAGACACATGCACACGTATGTTTATTGCGGCACTATTCACAATAGCAAAGACTTGGAACCAACCCAAATGTCCAACAATGATAGACTGGATTAAGAAAATGTGGCACATATATGCCATGGAATACTATGCAGCCATAAAAAATGATGAGTTCATGTCCTTTGTAGGGACATGGATGAAATTGGAAATCATCATTCTCAGTAAACTATCGCAAGAACAAAAAACCAAACACTGCATATTCTCACTCATAGGTGGGAATTGAACAATGAGATCACATGGACACAGGAAGGGGAATATCACACTCTGGGGACTGTGGTGGGGTCGGGGGAGGGGGGAGGGATAGCATTGGGAGATATACCTAATGCTAGATGACACGTTAGTGGGTGCAGCGCACCAGCATGGCACATGTATACATATATAGCTAACCTGCACAATGTGCACATGTACCCTAAAACTTAGAGTATAATAAAAAAAAAAAAAATTAAAAAAAAAAAAGAAAATTAAAAATTAAAAAAAAAAAAAAAAAAGCAAGAAAATCAGTATTATAAAAGAGAAATCTGTCCTGACATGTTTATTGCAGCACTTTTCACAATAGCCATAATTTGGAATCAACCTAAATGTACATCAACAGAAAAATGGGTTCTAAAAATGTGATACATATACGGCTCAGCCATGTGAAAGAATAAGATCCTCTCATTCGCAATGACATGGATGGAACAGGAGGACATTATGTCAAGTAAAATAATCCAGGCAAAGAAAGGAAGGCTTCACATGTTGTCAATCCTTTGTGGGTGTGAGAAATTTAAAAAATAGAGCTCATGGAGATGAAGAGAAAAATCACCATTACCACAGTCTAGGAAGGGTGTGGGGGTGGTAGGAAATGAGGATGCTTAATAAGTACAAACTATAGTTAGAAACAATGAATAAAATGTAGCATTTTATAGCACAAAAACATGACTACAGTCAGCAATAACTTGTCCATTTTAGCATTACTGAGGAAGTACAAATGAAAAGATAGCACAAAGAAATGGTTAATGCTTGAGGTGATGGATAACCCATTAACCATGATGTCATTATTACACATTGTATGCCTGTATCAAACTATCTCATCTACTCCATAAACATAAACACCTACAATTTACTCATTAAAATTAAAAACAAAAAAATAAAACACACACACACACACACACACACACACACACACAGTGTGCTAATCAGAACATCCGATTGGCTTAATATAATAAGTGTAACAAAATTGACCAGAACCAATAAAAGTTAAAACAAAATATGTTACAAAATAAAACATTTCATTAGCTAAAAGCCATAATTTTAATTGACTTTTAAAGCAAAACAAATATTTTACAGTATCAAAATTGATCTCTTTAATTCGCTAAAAACTATTGAAATTCCAAATTGGAAACTTCAGAGTATCAAAATGTAAAAGTAGAAACATCTGAATAAAACCTTATATTTTTAGGCCAGGCATGGTGGTTCACACCTGTAATCCCAGCACTTTGGGAGGGCGAGGCGGGAGGATCACCTGAGGTCGAGAGCTCAAGACCAGCCTGACCAACATGGAGAAAGCCTGTCTCTACTAAAAATACAAAATTAGCCGGGCATGGTGGGGCATACCTGTAATCCCAGCTACTCGGGAGGCTGAGGCAAGAGAATTGCTTGAACCAGGAAGGTGGAGGTTGTCGTGAGTTACAATTGAGCCATTGCACTCCACCCTGGGCAACAAGAGCAAAGCTCTGTCTCCAAAAACAAAAAACAAAACAAAACAAAAAACAAAACAAAACAAAAAAACCTTATGTTTTAAAAATATATTTTCTTTATGCATGTAAATCTCATTTTTGAAAATATAAATAAAAATGATAACAGCTGCATTATTTAGATGAAATCCTGAAATAAAATATAAAAAGTGAAATAATTGAGAATAGAAAGACTATGAGCATTACAAACAGATTAATGTACTTCTTTCCAGAGTTAAATCTACAATGCAAAGTTTACCTGGTGTGGATGTTTGTACATCCTTCATTTTGGTGGCTGTATTCAGAACAGAATTTTTATTTTCAATTGTAGCCTGAATGGGTTTTAAAACAAAGTGATTAGCACATGATGTATATTGGTATAGGTTATGCAGTTAATAATTAAAAATATAAATGTAAGAGTAATTACCTTCAAGGTGGGCAGATTCTCAGGATACTCTAACAAGCAAGAGAAATATATAATCAATCATATGTAAATATGGTAAGGCCAACCATACATTCGTGGAGTGTTAGCATCAAACTGAATACTCTTGCCTGTATTAGTGTAGGGTTTCATATTTTTCTAGTTTGTTTCTTTGGGACAGTAATATGATAGAAATGCAATGAAGAAAATAGGAATACAAGCTTCAAAACATACAGTTACAAGTTAAAAAGTGAGATTATGCACCACATCTATTGCTAAAAAAAAGTGTTAATATCAATGTGGGTATACTGATTAACAAGGAGAAATGTGATCTAAAATCAGAGGAGCAAGTCATAACCCTAGAAATAAGTGTAAAAGCTAGTGCTAACTGCGACTGCATGACTTTCATACAAGACATCAGAAGGCTTTATACCAGTATAACATAAACATTCATCATGCTCTATAGCTTGTCTGATAACTGAGAAGGTACACAATTACAATGACACTTCAGTTGAACATACACTTCACGTGTCTTCAGTGTAAGTGTCCTGAATTGATCTGCTTGGATATATGTTTGGTGAATCCTAGTAGTTAATATTCATTATTTATCATGCCCATGTGGTGTAATAATCTGCCTACATTTCTTATATCCTCTAGTTTAGCCTTCAGAAACTTTCTTCATCCACTAATGGCAAGAAGGTATAATATATAAACCCCATCAAAAAGTATAATAAATTATACATATTTATACAAAATGGAATTACTCCAGGCATTAGATATTAATAAACTTATACATTTGGAAATCAGTCTAATATTCATTGAAAATAATCACTTTAGGATTCAATTAATGAATTCAACATTATTTTTGTCTGTAAAATTAGTCTGCTCTGGAATATCACTTTACTATAAAGAATTTTCATTAAATAGCTATTTTAACAAGACAGCCAGCACTTTGGAAAAAAACTAAATATTCATATTAAACTTCAACTCATTTGAATAACTAATAAAAAATATATGTGTGATGTCTGATACTAAGAAACATGAATAATGAGGCACTGTGGTTTATCCCAATTCTAGCACTCCTTCCTGATTCCAGTAGTCATTGGAGCAGCCAGAAATCAGATGATCCGGTATGCAAATATTCAAAATGCATCTGAAGTGAGTTCACTCAGGCTTCCTCAGCAGAAACCCCAAAATTACCTAAATAACTTCTTCCTTCCCCTCTTTCTTGCCTTGCAATCCCTCTTTCTTGATGAAAATAATTACTACATCAGTGGTCACCTTGCTCCTCATTCTCCAGTGTTTATGGGTTATTATGACAACTTCCTCCCTCTGGTTTAAGTAGTACCATCTGACATCTATAATTTCTATTACTTTTTTCTCTTTCTCCTTCCCCTTTCCATAGAAACATGCTCTGAAATAAGAGCAAAATTATGCTGTCCCCGGATCCTCTTATCTCTTATGTCTTGAACTGTTTTCCAATGGTTCTTCTACACAATTTCCATGTAGGGAAGTCTATAAGCTTGTTACTAAGATCATGGCCAAGGACCAGCAGCATCAACAACACCTGACAACTCAGTAGAAATGCACAATCTCAGGCCTGCTGAATCAGAAAGTGCATTTTCAATGAGCACCCTGCTGATCTATTCAGGGGTGGGATGTTGTCTTCTATCTTGAGTGCACATGACATTAAATGTATATTGCTAAATTACCTGTTCCAGATTTCCAACCGCCTGTTATTCTTGTGGCAATATTCAAAAGAGAAACTTTCTTTTTAAATATAACCTGAATGGAAAGAGAAACAAAATAGTCAATACATAATATATATTTCATAGGCTATGCAATAAATAATTCAAAATATAAATGAAAGAGTAACTACCTTCTGGGCCGATTGTTTCTGAGGAGACACTGAAAAGTAAAAGAAATATATAATTCATCATATGTAAATATGACAAAGTCGTCCATACATTCATGCAGTGTTAGCATCAAGCTGTATCCTTCTGCCTGTATTAGGGTAGGATTTGATGTTTCCTACTTTGTGTCTGGGGATTGGAACATGACAGAAATACACTGAATAAAGTAATACAGCCTTCATGAAAAATATACTTACAATTTCAAGCATGGTATGATTTGTCATATGTCTAAAACTAAAATAAAACCGTGTCAATATCAACGTGGATATGCTGAGTGATGAGGACAAATGTGATCTAAAATCAGAGGATCAACTCATACAATTGAGAATCAATGTCAAAGTAGGTGGTACTTGATCCCACAGGTCTTTCATGCAAGAAATCAAAAGGATTTACACCATTATACTACAGACATTCATCATGCTCTTTAACTTGCCCCATAACTGAGAAGGTACACAATTACAATGACACTTCAGTTGAATGTACACTTCACGTCTCTTCAGTGGAAGTGTCCTAAATTGATCACCTTGGATATCTGTTTGCTGAAACTGAGTAGATAATATTTATTATTCCTCACACCCACGTGGTGTAATAATTTGCCTAAGTTTCTTGTATCCACTCGTTTAGCCTTCCAAAATTTCTTCATCCATTCATGGCACCAAAGGATAATATATTAGCCTCAATAAAAATATCATCAATTATCAATTTTGACATACTTCTACAAAGTAAAACTGCTACAAGCGTTAGATATTAATATGTTTTACATTCACAAATCACTCCAATATTCATTGAAAATGACCACTTTAGGAGTTAATTAGAATTCCACATACTTTTTGTTTCTATAATAGTCTTGTTGGGAGTATCATGCTATTCTCTAAAGAAGTTTCATCCAATAGCTATTTTACCCAAGAGTTAGCTCCTTGAACAATGAAGCCAATGTATTCATATTCAAGTTTATCTCATTTTTATAACTAAAATCAACAAAACATGTATCTCTGATGCCTAACAGTAACAAAGAGGAGTAACGAGTCAGTGTGCTTTATCCCAATTCTAGCATTGTTTCCTGCTTCCAGTAGTTCTTGGAGAAGCCAAAATTTAATATTCTTTTATGCAAATATTCCAAATTTATCTGAAGTGAGTTCACTCAGCTTTCCTCAACAGAAACCCCAAAATTACATAAATAACTTCTTCTTTTCTCTCCTTCCTGCCTCACAATCCCTCTTCCTTGCGGAAAATAATTACTACTTCAGTGATCTTGTTCGTTCTCATTCTATGCTGTTTTTGAGGTATTAGGATCACTTTTCCCTCTGTTTATAACAATATGATCTGACGCCTATAATATCTATTACTTCATCTCTTTCTCCTTCCCCTCTTGATGGAAACTTGCTGTAGAATTAAAGCAAAATGATGCTGTCCCCTGAGGCTGTTATGTGCTGAACCGCTCTCCTATGGCTCTTCTTCCCAATTTCAATGTAGGGAAGTCTACAATCTTACTACTCAGATCATGGTCAAGGACCAGCACCATCAGGGTCACCTGAGGACTTATTACAAATGAAGAATCTCAGGCATGCTGAATCCAAACATAAAACTTCAATGAACCCCCCGCTGATTTATTTAGGGAAGTGAATTTCTCTTCTATTTGATCGAACATTACATTAAAGGTGTATTCCAAAATACCTGTCCCACGTATTTGTCCATCCTTTATTTCTGTGGCTATATTCGAAACAGAATCTTTCTTGACACTTGTAGCCTGAATGGGATTTGAAACAAAATAATCAATACATAAAGTATATATTCATAGACTATACAGTTAATAGTTCAAAATATATATGAGTGTTTAATTACCTTCCAGGCCGGTTGTTTCTGAGAAGACACTGAAAAGCAAAACAGATACATAATCACTCATATGTGCATATGATAAAGTTATTCAAACATTCATGCAGTGTTAGCATCAAGCTGCCTCTGTCTGCAGTTATTAGTGTAGGCTTTGATGCTTTATACTTTGTGTTTTGGGATGGGAACATGACAGAAATACACTGAAGAAAACAGGAATACAGGTTTCAAGAAATATACACTAAGCATTTCAAACGTAGTATGATTTGTCATATGACTAAAACTAAAATAAAAGTGTCAATTTCAATAAGGATATGCCGAGTGATGAGGACAAATGTGGTCTAAAATCACAGAAGAAACTAATCACCTGGGAATCAATGTCAAAGCAGGTGGTACATGCACCCGCATGACTTTCATGCAAGATATCCGAATGATTAAACCATTATACTGCAAACATTCAACATGCTCTTTAACTTGCCCAATAACTGAGAAGGTACACAATTACAATGACACTTCACTTGAACGTGCACTTCACATCTCTTAAGTGGAAGGGACCTAAATCGATCAACGTGGATGTATGTTTCCTGAATCCAAGTAAATAATTCATTATTTCTCACACCCATGTGCTGTAATAATTTGCCTAAGCTTCTTGTATTCTCTAGTTTAGCCTTTTGAACATTTCTTCATCCACTCGTGGCAACAAAGTATAATATATAACCTCAATAAAAAGCATCATCAATTATCAATTTTGACATAATTCTACTAAATAAAACTGCTACAAGTATTGGATATTAATAAGCTTTTACACTTGGAAATCACTCCAATATTCATTGAAAATTACCATTTTAGGAGTCAGTTGTTGAATTCAACATTATTTTTGTTTCTAAAATAGTCTTGTTAGGAATATCATGCTATTCTCTAAAGAATATTCATTAAATACCTATTTTATCCAAGAGTCAGCTCTTTGATCAATGAAGCCAATGTATTCATATTCAAGTTTATCTAACTTCTATAAAAAACTAAAATCAACAAAACGTGTTTAAGTCTGATATCTAACAGTAACAAAGAAGAGTAATTAGTAAATGAAGTTTATCCCAATTCTAGCATTATCTCCTGCACCCAGTAGTTCCAGCAGCTGCCAAAATCAAATCTTCTTTATGCAAATATGCTAAATGCCTCTGAAGTGAGTCCACTCAGGTTTCCTCAGCAGAAACCCCAAAATTACATAAATAACTTCTTCTTTTCCCTCCTTCCTGCCTCACAATCCCTCTTCCTTGGGAAAAATCATTGCTATATCAGTGGTCTCCTTAGTTCTCATTCTACAGCGTCTACAGGTTATTAGGATCACTATTCTGTCTTTTTTATAGCAGTATGATGTGACGTCTGTAAAATATATACTTCATGTCTTTCTCCTTCTACCCTTATTGAAAACATGCTGTAGAATTAAAGCAAAATTATGCTGTTCCCCTGAGCCCCTTATGTCTTGAACTGCTCTCCATATTTCTTCTTCCCAATTTCAATGTGGGGAAGTCTATAATCTTACTGCAAAGATCATGTCCAAGACCAGCAGCATCAGCGTCACCCAAGAACTTATTAAAAATGAAGAATGTCAGGCCTGCTGAATCAGAATGTGCAGTTTTGATGAGCCCCACACTGATTTGTTCGGGGAAGAGAAGTACTTTTCTATCTGGACTGAACATGACATTAAATGTGTTTTGCAAAATTACCTGTTCCAGATTGTTGTCCATCCTTTATTTCTGTGGGTATATTCGAAACAGAATCTTTCTTGTCACTTGTAGCCTGAATGGAATTTGAAACAAAATAATCAATACATAAACTATGTTTCATAGACCACACAGTTAATAGTTCACAATATAAATGAGAGTTTAATTACCTTCAAGGCTGGTTGTTTCTGACAAGACACTGAAAAGCAAAAGGGATACATAATCACTCATATGTAAATATGATAAAGTTATCCATACATTCCTGCACTGTTGGCATCAAGATGTATCTTCCTGCCTGTATTAGTATAGGCTTTGATGTTTTCTACTTTGTGACTCGGGACTGGAATATGACAGAAATACACTGAAAAAGGTGAATACAGGCTTCACAAAATATACTTACAATTTCAAACATGGCATGATTTGTCATATGTCTAAAACTAAAATAAAACCGTGTCAATATCAATGTGGATATGCCAAGTGATGAGGACAAATGTGATCTAAAATCAGAGGAGCAACTCATACAATTGAGAATCAATGTCAAAGCAGGTTCTACATGATGCCACATGTCTTCCATGCAAGAAATCAGAAGGATTTACACCATTATAGTACAAACATTCATCATGCTCTTTAACTTGCCCAATAACTGAGAAGGCACACAATTACAATGACACTTCAGTTGAACGTACACTTCACGTCTCTTCAGTGGAAGTGTCCTAAATTGATCAGCTTGGATTATGTTTGCTGAAACCTAGTAGAGAATATTCATTATTTCTCACACCCCTGTGGTGTAATAATTTGCCTAAGTTTCTTGTATCCACTCGTTTAGCCTTCTGAAAGTTTCTTCATCCACTCATGGCACCAAAGGATAATATATTAGCCTCAATAAAAATATCATCAATTACCAATGTTGACATATTTCTACAAAGTAAAACTGCTACAAGCATTAGATATTAATAAGTTTTACATTCAGAAATCAATCAAATATTCATTGAAAGGACCACTTTAGGAGTTAATTAGAATTCAACATATTTTTTGTTTCTAAAAAGTCTTCTTTGGAGTATCATGCTATTCTCTAAAGAAGTTTCATTCAATAGCTATTTTATCCAAGACTTAGCTCCTTGAACTTTGAAGCCAATGTATTCATATTCGTTTATCTCAGTTTTATAACTGAAATCAACAAAACATGTATCTCTGATGCCTAATAGTAAATTACTCCTAAAGAGGAGTAATGAGTCACTGTGGTTTATCCCAATTCTAGCATAGTTTCCTGCTTCTAGTAGTTCCTGGAGCAGCCAAAATCAAATCTTCTTTTATGCAAATGTTCCAAATGTATTGAAGTGAGTTCACTGAGGTTTCCTCAGCAGAAATCCCAAATTACATAAATAACTACTTTTCCCTCCTTCCTGACTCACAATCCCTATTCCTTGAGGAAAATAATTGCTACATCACTGCTCTTGCTAGTTCTCATTCTACAGTGTTTTTGTGGTATTAGGATCACTTTTCCCTCTGTTTATCACAATACAATCTGACGCCTCTAATATCTATTACTTCATCTCTTTCTCTTTTCCCTCTTGATGGAAACATGCTGTAGAATTAAAGCAAAATGATGCTGTCCCCTGAGCCTGTTATGTGTTGAATTGCTGTCAGATGGTTCTTTTTCCCAATTTCAAAGTACAGACATCTATAATCTTAGTACTTCCATCATGGCCAAGGACCACAGCATCAGGGTCACCCGAGAACTTATTACAAATGAATAATCTCAGGAATACTGAAGCAGAACATGAAGGCTTGACGAACCCCCCGCTGTTTTATTTGGTGAAGAGAAGTTCTCTTCTACCCTGACCGAACATCATATTAAATGTGTTTGCAAAATTACCTGTCCCAGATATTTGTTCATCCTTTTTTTCCGTGGCCATATTCGGAACAGAATCTTCCTTGTCACAGATAGCCTGAATAGAATTTGAAACAAAACAGTCAATAAATAAAGTATATTTCATATACTATACAGTTAATAGTTCAAAATATAAATGAGAGCTTAATTACCTTCAATGCTGGTTGTTTCGGAGAAGACACTGAAAAGCAAAAGGGATACATAATCACTCATATGTAAATATGATAAAGTTATCCATACATTCATACAGTGTTAGCATCAAACTCTGTCCCCCAGCCTGTATTAGTGTAGGCCTTGACGGCTTCTACTTTGTGTCTGGGGACCAGAACATGACAGAAATACACTGAAAAAAGGGAATACAGGCTCCATGAAATATATCCTTACAATTTCAAAGATGCTATGATTTGTCATATGTCGAAAACTAAAATAAAGCCCTGTCAATATCAATGTCGATATGCCGGGTGATGAGGACAAAGTGATCTAAAATCAGAGGAGCAACTCATACACCTGAGAATCAATGTCAAAGCAGGTGCTACAGGATCCCACATGTCTTTCATGCAACAAATCAAAAGGATTTACACCATTATAGTACAAACATTCATCATGCTCTTTAACTTGCCCAATAACTGAGAAGGCACACAATTACGAAGACATTTCAGTGGAACGTACACTTCACATCTCTTCAGTGGAAGTGTCCTAAATTGATCACCTTGGATATCTGCTTGCTGATACCTAGTAGATAATATTCATTATCTCTCACCCCCATGTGGTGTAATAATTTTCCTAAGTTTCTTGTATCCACTAGTTTAGACTTCCAAAAGTTTCTTCATCCACTCATGGCACCAAAGGATAATATATTAGCCTCAATAAAAATATCATCAATTATCAACTTTGACATACTTCTTCAAAGTAAAACTGCTACAAGCATTAGATATTAATCAGTTTTTCATTCAGAAATCACTGCAATATTCATTGAAAATGACTATTTTAGGAGTTAATTAGAATTCAACATCATTTTTGTTTCTAAAATAGTCTTTTTGGGAGTATCACGTTATTCTCTAAAGAAGTTTCATTAAATAGCTATTTCATCCAAGAGGTAGCTCCTTGAACAAGGAAGGAAATTTATTCATATTCAAGATTATCTCATTTTTATAACTAAAATCAACAAAACATGTATCTCTGACGCCTCCTAGTAACAAAGAGGAGTAATGAGTCAGTGTGGTGTATTCCAATTATACCATTGTTTCCTGCTTCCAGTAGTTCCTCGAGCAGCCAAAATCAAATTTTTTAATGAAAATATTCTAAATGCATCTGAAGTGAGTTCACTCAGGTTTACTCAGCAGAAACCCCAAAATTATATAAAAGAATTCCTCTTATTCCGCCTTCCTGCCTCACAATCCGTCTTCCTTAGGAAAATAGTTGCTACACCAGGGGTCTCCTTAGTTCTCCTACACTGTACACGGGTTATTACAACAAGTTATCTGTCTGTTTTTAGCAGTACGATGTGACGTCTGTAAAATCTATACTTCCTCTCTTTATCCTTCCACCCTTACTGAAAACAAGCTGTAGAATTAAAGTAAAATTATGTTGTTCCCCAGAGCCCCTTATGTCTTGAGCTGCTCTCCGTATTTCTTCTTCCCAATTTCAATGTGGGGAAGGGTATAATCTTAGAGCGAAGATCATGTTCCAGGCCAGCAGCATCAGCACCACACAAGAACTTATTTGAAATGAAGAATCTCAGGACTGCTGAATCAGAATGTGCAGCTTCAACGAGCCCTCCGCTGATTTATTCAGGGAAGAGAATTTCTTACCTATCTGGACTGAACATGACATTAAATCTGTTTTCAAAATTACCTGTCCTAGATTTTTCTCCATCCTTTTTTTCTCTGGCTATATACAAAACAGAATCTTTCTCGTCACTTGTAGCCTGAATGGAATTTGAAATGAAATAATAAGTAAGGTATCTTTCATAGGCTATACGTTTACTAGCTCACAATATGAATGAGAGTTTCATTACCTTCAAGGCTGGTTTTTTCCGAGAAGACACTGAAAAGCAAAAGGGATACATAATCACTCACATGTAAATATGATAAAGTTATCCATACATTCACACAGTGTTAGCATCAACCTCTGTCCTCCTGCCTGTATTAGTGGAGGCTTTGATGGCTTCTACTTTGTGTCTGGGGATCAGAACATGACAGAAATACACTGAAAAAGGGAACACAGGCTCCATGAAATATACCCTTACAATTTCAAACATTATATGATTTGTCACGTGTCAAAAACTAAAATAAAACCGTGTCAATCTCAATGTGGATATGCCGAGTGATGAGGACAAATGTGATCTAAAATCAGAGGAACAACTCATATACGTGAGAATCAATGTCAAAACAGGTGCTACATGATCCCATATGTCTTTCATGCAACAAATCAAAAGGATTTACACCATTATACTACAAACATTCTTCATGCTCTTTAACTTGCCCAATAAATGAGAAGGCACACAATTACAATGACACTCCAGTTGAAAGTACACTTCACATCTCTTCAGTGGAAGTGTCCTGAATTGATCACCTTGGATATCTGTTTGCTGATACCTAGTAGATAATATTCATTATCTTTCACACCCATGTAGTGTAATAATTTGCCTAAGTTTCTTGTATCCACTAGTTTAGCCTTCCGAAAGCTTCTTCATCCACTCTTGGCACCAAAGGATAATATATTAGCCTCAATAAAAATATCATCAATTATCAACTTTGACATACGTCTACAAAGTAAAATGGCTACAAGCATTAGATATTAATCAGCTTTTCATTCAGAAATCACTGCAATATTCATTGAAAATGACTATTTTAGGAGTTAATTAGAATTCAACATCATTCTTGTGTCTAAAATAGTCTGGTTGGGAGTATCGTGTTATTCTCTAAAGAAGTTACATTAAATAGCTATTTTATCCACGAGGTAGCTCCTTGAACAAGGAAGCAAATTTATTCACATTCAAGATTATCTCATTTTTATAACTAAAATCAACAAAACATGTATCTCTGATGCCTCCTAGTAACCAAGAGGAGTAATGGGTCAGTGTGGTGTATTCCAATTATACCACTGTTTCCTGCTTCCAGTAGTTCCTGGAGCAGCTAAAAGCAAATATTTTTTATGAAAATATTCCAAATGCATCTGAAGTGAGTTCACTCAGGTTTCCTCAGCAGAAACTCCAAAATTATATAAATGACTTCCTCTTTTCACACCTTCCTGCCTCACAATCCGTCTTCCTTAGGAAAACTGTTGCTACACCAGGGGTCTCCTTAGTTCTCCCACAGTGTCTACGGGTTGTTACAACAAGCTTTCTGTCTTTTCTTGGCAGTACGAGCTGAAGTGTGTAAATTCTATACTTCCTCTCTTTCTCCTTCCACCCTTACTGAAAACAAGCTGGAGAATTAAAGCAAAATTATGTTGTTCCCCAGAGCCCCTTATGCCTTGAACTGCTCTCCATAATTCTTCTTCCCAATTTCAATGTGGGGAAGTGTATAATCTTACTGCGAAGATCATGTTCCAGACCAGCAGCATCAGCATCACCCAAGAACTTATTTGAAATGAAGAATCTCAGGACTGCTGAATCAGAATGTGCAGCTTCAACGAGCCCCCCGCTGATTTATTCAGGGAAGAGAACTTCTTATCTATCTGCACTGAACATGACATTAAATCTCTTTTCAAAATTACCTCTCTTAGTTTTTTCTCCATACTTTTTTCCTCTGGCTATATTCAAAACAGAATCTTTCTCGGCACTTGTAGCCTGAATGGAATTTCAAATGAAATAATAAATTAATAAAGTATGTTTCATAGACTATACATTTACTAGTTCACAATATAAATGACAGTTTCATTACCTTCAAGCCTGATGGTTTCTCAGAAGACACTGAAAAGTAAAAGGGATTCATAATCACTCATGTGTAAAAATGACAAAATTATCCATACATTCATACAGTGTTAGCATCAACCTCTGTCCTCCTGCCTGTATTAGCGTAGGCTTTGATGGCTTCTACTTTGTGTCTGGGGACTAGAACATGACAGAAATACGCTGAGAAAATGGAATACAGGCTCCATGAAATATAGTCTTAGAATTTCAAACATGGTATGATTTGTCATATGTGAAAAACTAAAATAAAACCGTGTCAATATCAACGTGGATATGCCGAGTGATGAGGACAAAGTGATCTAAAATCAGAGGAGCAACTCATACACCTGAGAATCAATGTCAAAGCAGGTGCTACATGATCCCACATGTCTTTCATGCAGGAAATAAAAAGGATTTACACCATTATACTACAAACATTCATCATGCTCTTTAACTTGCCCAATAACTGAGAAGGCACACAATTACCATGACAATTCAGTTGAACGTACACTTCACATCTCTTCAGTGGAAGTGACCTAAATTCATCACCTTGGATATCTGTTTGCTGATACCTAGTAGATAATATTCATTATCTCTCACCCCCATATGGTGCAATAATCTGCCTAAGTTTCTTGTATCCACTAGTTTAGCCTTCCGAAAGTTTCTTCATCCAGTCATGGCAACAAAGGATAATATATTAGCCTCAATAAAAATATCATCAATTATCAATTTTGACATACACATACAAAGTAAGACTGCTACAAGCATTAGATATTGATCAGTTTTTCATTCAGAAATCACTGCAATATTCATTGAAAATGAGCATTTTAGGAGTTAATTAGAATCCAGCATAATTTTTGTTTCTAAAATAGCCTTCTTGGGAGTATCATGTTGTTCCCTAAAGAAGTTTCATGAAATAGCTATTGTATCCAAGAGGTGGCTCCTTGAACAAGGAAACCAATGTATTCAGATTCAAGTTTGTCTGATTTCTATACCTAAAATCAACAAAACATGTATCTCTGATGCCTAATAGTAACAAAGGGGAGTAATGAGTCAGTGTGTTTTTATGCCAATTCTAGGATTGCTTCCTTCTTCCAGCAGTTCCTGAAGCAGCCAAAATCAAGTACTTTTTATTAAAATATTCCAAATGCATCTGAAGTGAGTTCACTCAGGTTTCCTCAGCAGAAACCCCAAAATTATATAAATGACTTCTTCTTTTCACACCTTCCTGCCTCACAATCCGTCTTCTTTGGGAAAGTGATTGCTACACCAGGGGTCTCCTTAGTTCTCCTACAGAGTGTACGGGTTATTACAACAAGTTTTCTGTCTGTTTTTAGCAGTATGATGTGACATCTGTAAAATCGATACTTCCTCTCTTTCTCCTTCCACCCTTAGTGAAAACAAGCTGGAGGATTAAAGCAAAACTATGCTGTTCCCCAGAGACCCTTATGTCTTCAACTGCTCTCCATATATCTTCTTCCCAACTTCAACGTGGGGAAGTGTATAATCTTACAGCGAAGATCATGTTCCAGACCAGCAGCATCAGCATCACCCAAGAACGTACTACAAATGAAGAATCTCCGGCCTGCTGAATCAGAAAGTGCAGCTTCGATGAGCCCCCCGCTGATTTACTTGGGGAAGAGAACTTCTTATCTATCTCGACTGAACATGGCATTAAATCTGTTTTCAGAATTACCTGTCCTAGATTTTTCTCCATCCTTGTTTTCTCTGGCTATACTCAAAACAGAATCTTCCTCATCACTTGTAGCCTGAATGGAATTTGAAACAAAATAATAAATAAATAAAGTATGTTTCATAGACCATATATTAACTCGTTCACAATATAAATGGGAGTTTCATTACCTTCAAGGTTGGTGGTTTCTGAGAAGACACTGAAAAGCAAAAGTGATTCATAATCAGTCATATGTAAATATGATAAAGATATCCATACATTCAAGCAGAGTTAGCATCAACCTCTGTCCTCCTGCCTGTATTAGCATAGGCTTTGATGGCTTCTACTTTGTGTCTGGGGACTAGAAAATGACACAAATACACTGAGAAAAGGGAATACAGGCTCCATGAAATATACCCTTACAATTTCAAACGTGGTAAGATTTCTCATATGTCGAAAACTAAAATAAAACCGTGTCAATATCAATGTGCTTAGGCCGAGTGATGAGAACAAATGTGATCTAAAATCAGAGGAGCAACTCACACACCTGAGAATCAATGTCAAAGCAGGTGCTACATGATCCCACATGTCTTTCACACAACAAATCAATAGGATTTACACAATTATACTACAAACATTCATCATGCTCTTTAACATGCCCAATAACTGAGAAGGCACACAACTGCGATGATGCTTCAGTTGAACTTACACTTCACATCTCTTCAGTGGAAGTGTCCTAAATTGATCACCTTGGATACCTCTTTGCTGATACCTAGTACATAATATTCATTATCTCTCACACCCATGTGGTGTAATAATTTGCTTAACTTTCTTGTATCCACTAGTATAGCCTTCCAAATGTTTCTTCATCCACTCATGGCACCAAAGGATAATATATTAGCCTCAATAAAAATATCATCAATTATCAATTTTGACATATTTCTACAAAGTAAAACTGCCACAACCATTAGACAATAATAAGTTTTACATTCAGAAATCATTCCAATATTCATTGAAAATGATCACTCTAGGACTTCATTGGAATGCAACATAATTTTTGTTTCTAAAATACCCTTGTTGGCAATATCATGTTATTTTCTAAAGAAGTTTCATTAAACAGCTATTTTATCCAAGAGGTAGCTCCTTGAACAAAGAAGCCAATGTATTCATATTCAAGTTTATCTCATTTCTATAACTAAAATCAACAACACGTGTATCTCTGATGCCTAATAGTAACAAAGAGGAGTAATGAGTTATTGTGTTTTTATGCCAATTCAACCACTGTTTCCTGCTTCCAGCAGTTGCTGGAGCAGCGAAAATCAAATATTTTTTATGAAAATATTCCAAATGCATCTGAAGTGAGTTCACTCAGGTTTCCTCAGCAGAAACCCCAAAATTATATAAATGACTTCCTCTTTTCACACCTTCCTGCCTCACAATCCGTCTTCCTTAGGAAAACTGTTGCTACACCAGGGGTCTCCTTAGTTCTCCTACAGTGTCTACGGGTTGTTACAACAAGCTTTCTGTCTTTTCTTGGCAGTGCGAGCTGAAGTGTGTTAATTCTATACTTCCTCTCTTTTCCCCTCCACCCCTACTGAAAACAAGCTGGAGAATTAAAGCAAAATTATGTTGTTCCCCGGAGCCCCTTATGCCTTGAACTGCTCTCCATATTTCTTCTTCCCAATTTCAATGTGGGGAAGTGTATAATCTTACTGTGAAGATCATGTTCCAGACCAGCAGCATCAGCATCACCCAAGAACTTATTTGAAATGAAGAATCTCAGGACTGCTGAATCAGAATGTGCAGCTTCAACGAGCCCCCCGCTGATTTATTCAGGGAAGAGAACTTCTTATCTATCTGCACTGAACATGACATTAAATCTCTTTTCAAAATTACCTGTCCTAGTTTTTTCTCCATCCTTTTTTCCTCTGGCTATATTCAAAACAGAATCTTTCTCATCACTTGTAGCCTGAATGGAATTTGAAATGAAATAATAAATTAATAAAGTATGTTTCGTAGACTATACATTTACTAGTTCACAATATAAACGACAGTTTCATTACCTTCAAGCCTGGTGGTTTCTCAGAAGACACTGAAAAGTAAAAGGGATTCCTAATCACTCATATGTAAAAATGACAAAATTATCCATACATTCATGCAGTGTTAGCATCAGCCTCTGTCCTCCTGCCTGTATTAGCGTATGCTTTGATGGCTTCTAATTTTGGTCTGGGGATTAGAACGTGACAGAAATACGCTGAGAAAAGCAATACAGGCTCCATGAAATATAGTCTTAGAATTTCAAACATGGTATGATTTGTCATATGTGAAAAACTAAAATAAAACCGTGTCAATATCAATGTGGATATGCCGAGTGATGAGGACAAAGTGATCTAAAATCAGAGGAGCAACTCATACACGTCAGAATCAATGTCAAAGCAGGTGCTACATGATCCCACATGTCTTTCATACAGGAAATAAAAAGGATTTACACCATTATACTACAAACATTCATCATGCTCTTTAACTTGCCCAATAACTGAGAAGGCACACAATTACCATGACAATTCAGTTGAACGTACACTTCACATCTCTTCAGTGGAAGTGTCCTACATTCATCACCTTGGATATCTGTTTGCTGATACCTAGTAGATAATATTCATTATCTCTCACCCCCATATGGTGTAATAATCTGCCTAAGTTTCTTGTATCCACTAGTTTAGCCTTCCAAAAGTTTCTTCATCCAGTCGTGGCACGAAGGGATAATATATTAGCCTCAATAAAAATATCATCAATTATCAAATTTGACATACACATACAAAGTGAAACTGCTACAAGCATTAGATATTGATCAGTTTTTCATTCAGAAATCACTGCAATACCCATTGAAAATGAGCATTTTAGGAGTTAATTAGAATCCAGCATAATTTTTGTTTCTAAAATAGCCTTCTTGGGAGTATCATGTTGTTCTCTAAAGAAGTTTCATGAAATAGCTATGGTATCCAAGAGGTAGCTCCTTGAACAAGGAAACCAATGTATTCAGATTCAAGTTTGTCTCAATTATATAACTAAAATCAACAAAACATGTATCTCTGATGCCTAATAGTTACAAAGGGGAGTAATGAGTCAGTGTGTTTCTATGCCAGTTCTAGGATTGCTTCCTTCTTCCAGCAGTTCCTGCAGCAGCCAAAATCAAGTATTTTTTATTAAAATATTCCAAATGCATCTGAAGTGAGTTCACTCAGGTTTCCTCAGCAGAAACCCCAAAATTATACAAATGACTTCCTCTTTTCACCCCTTCCTGCCTCACAATCCGTCTTCTTTGGCAAAATGATTGCTACAACAAGGGTCTCCTTACTTCTCCTACAGTGTGTACGGGTTATTACAAGAAGTTTTCTGTCTGTTTTTAGCAGTACGATGTGACGTCTGTAAAATCGATACTTCCTCTCTTTCTCCTTCCACCCTTACTGAAAACAAGCTGGAGGATTAAAGCAAAACTATGCTGTTCCCCAGAGCCCTTTATGTCTTCAACTGCTCTCCATGTATATTCTTCCCAACTTCAATGTGGGGAAGTGTATAATCTTACAGCGAAGATCATGTTCCAGACCAGCAGCATCAGCATCACCCAAGAACTTACTACAAATGAAGAATCTCCAGCCTGCTGAATCAGAAAGTGCAGCTTCGACGAGCCCCCCGCTGATTTATTTGGGGAAGAGAACTTCTTATCTACCTGGACTGAACATGACATTAAATCTGTTTTCAAAATTACCTGTCCTAGATTTTTCTCCATCCTTGTTTTCTCTGGCTATACCCAAAACAGAATCTTCCTCGTCACTTGTACCCTGAATGGAATTTAAAACGAAATAATAAATAAAGTATGTTTCATAGACCATACATTAACTCGTTCACAAGATAAATGGGAGTTTCATTACCTTCAAGGCTGGTGGTTTCTGAGAAGACACTGAAAAGCAAAAGGGATTCATAATCAGTCATACGTAAATATGACAAAGATTTCCATACATTCGAGCACTGTTAGAATCAACCTCTGTCCTCCTGCCTGTATTAGCATAGGCCTTCATGGCTTCTACTTTGTGTCTGGGGACTAGAACGTGACAGAAATACACTGAGAAAAGCGAATACAGGCTCCATGAAATATACCCTTACAATTTCAAACATGGTATGATTTCTCATATGTCGAAAACTAAAATAAAACCATGTCAATATCAATGTGGATATGCCGAGTGATGAGAACAAATGTGATCTAAAATCAGAGTAGCAACTCACACACCTGAGAATCAATGTCAAAGCAGGTGCTACATGATCCCACATGTCTTTCATGCAACAAATCAAAAGGATTTACACCATTATACTACAAACATTCATCATGCTCTTTAACATGCCCAATAACTGAGAAGGCACACAATTGCGATGATGCTTCAGTTGAACTTATACTTCACATCTCTTCCGTGGAAGTGTCCTACATTGATCACCTTGGATACCTCTTTGCTGATACCTAGTACATAATATTCATTATCTCTCCCACCCATGTGGTGTAATAATTTGCATAAGCTTCTTGTATCCACTAGTTTAGACTTCCAAAAGTTTCTTCATCCACTCATGGCACCAAAGGATAATATATTAGCCTCAATAAAAATATCATCAATTATCAATTTTGACATATTTCCACAAAGTAAAACTGCCACAACCATTAGATATTAATAAGTTGTACATTCAGAAATCATTCCAATATTCATTGAAAATGATCACTCTAGGACTTAATTGGAATGCAACATAATTTTTGTTTCTAGAATACCCTTGTAGGCAGTATCATGTTATTTTCTATAGAAGTTTCATTAAACAGCTATTTTATCCAAGAGGTAGCTCCTTGAACAAGGAAACCAACATATTCATATTCAAGTTTATCTCATTTCTATAACTAAAATCAACAAAAGATGTATCTCTGATGCCTAGTAGTAACAAAGAGGAGTAATGAGTTATTGTGTTTTTATGCCAATTCAAACACTGTTTCCTGCTTCCAGCAGTTGCTGGAGCTGCCAAAGTCAAATATTGTTTATGCAAATATTCCAAATGCATCTGAAGTGAGTTCACTCAGGTTTCCTCAGCAGTAACCACAAAATTATATAAATGACTTCCTCTTTTCCCACCTTCCTGCCTCACAATCCGTCTTCATTCAGAAAATAATTGCTACATCAGGGGTCTTCTCAGTTCTCCTTCTACAGTGTCTACGGGTTATAATGAACAGTTTTCTGTCTGTTTTTAGCACTATGATGTGACGTCTGTAAAATCTGTACTTCCTCTCTTTCTCCTTACACCCTTAATGAAAAGATGCTACAGAATTAAAGCAAAATTATGCTGGGCCCCAGAGCCCCTTATGTCTTCAACTGCTCTCCATGTTTCTTCCTCCCAATTGTAATGTGGGGATGCGTATAATCTTACAGCGAAGATCATGCTGCAGACAAGCAGCATCAGCATAACCCAAGAACTTGTTAGAAAAGAAGAATCTCAAGCTTGGTGAATCAGAACGTGCAGCTTCAACCAGCCCCCGACTGATTTATTCGGGGAAGAGAACTTCTTATCTGGACTGAACATGACATTAAATGTGTTTCGCAAAATTACCTTTCCTAGATATTTCTCCATCCTTTTTTTCTCTGGTTATATTCGAAAAAGAATCCTTCTCATCACTTGTGGCCTGAATGGAATTTGAAACAAAGTAATAAATAAGGTATGTTTCATAGGCTATACGTTTACTAGCTCACAATATGAATGAGAGTTTCATTACCTCCAAGGATGGTTTTTTCCGAGAAGACACTGAAAAGCAAAAGGGATACATAATCACTCACATGTAAACATGATAAAATTATCCATAGATTCACACAGTGTTAGCATCAACCTCTGTCCTCCTGCTTGTATTAGTGGAGGCTTTGATGGCTTCTACTTTGTGTCTGGGGATCAGAACATGACAGAAATACACTGAAAAAAGGGAACACAGGCTCTGTGAAATACACCCTTACGATTTCAAACATGGTAAGATTTGTCATGTGTCGAAAACTAAAATAAAACCGTGTCAATCTCAATGTGGATATGCCGAGTGATGAGAACAAATGTGATCTAAAATCAGAGGAGCAACTCATATACGTGAGAATCAATGTCAAAACAGGTGCTACATGATCCCACATGTCTTTCATGCAACAAATTAAGAGGATTTACACCATTATACTGCAAACATTCATCATGCTCTTTAACTTGCCCAATAACTGAGAAGGCACACAATTACGATGACACTCCAGTTGAACGTACACTTCACATCTCTTCAGTGCAAGTGTCCTGAATTGATCACCTTGGATATCTGTTTGCTGATACCTAGTACATAATATTCATTATCTCTCACACCCATGTAGTGTAATAATTTGCCTGAGTTTCTTGTATCCACTAGTTTACCCTTCCGAAAGTTTCTTCATCCACTCTTGGCACCGAAGGATAATATATTAGCCTCAATAAAAATATCATCAATTATCAACTTTGACATACTTCTACAAGGTAAAATGGCTACAAGCATTAGATATTACTCAGTTTTTCATTCAGAAATCACTGCAATATTCATTGAAAATGACCATTTTAGGAGTTAATTGGAATTCAACATCATTCTTGTGTCTAAAATAGTCTTGTTGGGAGTATCGTGTTATTCTCTAAAGAAGTGTCATTAAATAGCTATTTTATCCAACAGGTAGCTCCTTGAACAAGGAAGCAAAATTTATTCACATTCAAGATTATCTGATTTTTATAACTAAAATCAACAAAACATGTATCTCTGAGGCCTCCTAGTAACAAGAAGAGTAAGGGGTCAGTGTGGTGTATTCCAATTATACCATTGTTTCCTGCTTCCAGTAGTTCCTGGAGTAGCCAAAATCAAATATTTCTTATGGAAATATTCCCAATGCATCTGAAGTGAGTTCACTCAGGTTTCCTCAGCAGAAACTCCAAAATTATATAAATGACTTCCTCTTTTCACACCTTCCTGTCTCACAATCCATCTTCCTTAGGAAAATAGTTGCTACACCAGGGGTCTCCTTAGTTCTCCTACAGTGTCTACGGGTTGTTACAACAAGCTTTCTGTCTTTTCTTGGCAGTGCGAGCTGAAGTGTGTAAATTCTATACTTCCTCTCTTTCTCCTTCCACCCTTACTGAAAACAAGCTGGAGAATTAAAGCAAAATTATGTTGTTCCCCGGAGCCCCTTATGCCTTGAACTGCTCTCCATATTTCTTCTTCCCAATTTCAATGTGGGGAAGTGTATAATCTTACTGCGAAGATCATGTTCCAGACCAGCAGCATCAGCATCACCCAAGAACTTATTTGAAATGAAGAATCTCAGGACTGCTGAATCAGAATGTGCAGCTTCAACGAGCCCCCCGCTGATTTATTCAGGGAAGAGAACTTCTTATCTATCTGCACTGAACATGACATTAAATCTCTTTTCAAAATTACCTCTCTTAGTTTTTTCTCCATCCTTTTTTCCTCTGGCTATATTCAAAACAGAATCTTTCTCGGCACTTGAAGCCTGAATGGAATTTGAAATGAAATAATAAATTAATAAAGTATGTTTCATAGACTATGCATTTACTAGGTCACAATATAAATGACAGTTTCATTACCTTCAAGCCTGGTGGTTTCTCAGAAGACACTGAAAAGTAAAAGGGATTCATAATCACTCATATGTAAAAACGACAAAATTATCCATACATTCATACAGTGTTAGCATCAACCTCTGTCCTCCTGCCTGTATTAGTGTACGCTTTGATGGCTTCTACTTTGTGTCTGGGGACTAGAACGTGACAGAAATACGCTGAGAAAAGGGAATACAGGCTCCATGAAATATAGTCTTAGAATTTCAAACATGGTATGATTTGTCATATGCCAAAAACTAAAATAAAACCGTGTCACTATCAACGTGGATATGCCGAGTGATGAGGACAAAGTGATCTAAAATCAGAGGGGCAACTCATGCACCTGAGAATCAATGTCAAAGCAGGTGCTACATGTACCCACATGTCTTTCATGCAACAAATCAAAAGGATTTACACCATTATACTACAAACATTCATCATCCTCTTTAACTTGCCCAATAACTGAGAAGGCACACAATTACGATGACAATTCAGTTGAAGTACACTTCACATCCCTTCAGTGGAAGGGTCCTAAATTGATCACCTTGGATATATGTTTGCAGATATCTAGTAGATAATACTCATTATCTCTCACCCCGATATGGAGTAATAATCTGCCTAAGTTTTTTGTATCCACTACTTTAGCCTTCCGAAATTTTCTTCATCCAGTCTTGGCACCAAAGGATAGTATCTTAGCCTCAATAAAAATATCATCAATTATCAATTTTGACATACCTATACAAAGTAAAACAGCTACAAGCATTAGATATTGATCAGTTTTTCATTCAGAAATCACAGCAATACTCATTGAAAATGACCAGTTTAGGAGTTAATTACAATGCAGCATAATTTTTCTTTCTAAAATAGGCTTGTTGGGAGTATCATGTCATTCGCTAAAGAAGTTTCATGAAATAGCTGTTGTATCCAAGAGGTAGCTCCTTGAACAAGGAAACTAATGTATTCAGATTTAAGCTTGTCTCATTTCTATAACTAAAATCAACAAAACATATATCTCTGATGTCTAACAGTAACAAAGGAGAGTAATGAGTCAGTGTGTTTTTATGCCAATCCCAGAATGGTTTCCTTCTTCCAGCAGTTCCTGCAGCAGCCAAAATCAAGTATTTTTTATTAAAATATTCCAAATGCATCTGAAGTGAGTTCACTCAGGTTTCCTCAGCAGAAACCCCAAAATTATACAAATGACTTCCTCTTTTCACACCTTCCTGCCTCACAATCCGTCTTCTTTGGCAAAATGATTGCTACAACAGGGGTCTCCTTAGTTCTCCTACAGTGTGTACGGGTTATTACAACAAGTTTTCTGTCTGTTTTTAGCAGTATGATGTGAGGTCTGTAAAATCGATACTTCCTCTCTTTCTCCTTCCACCCTTACTGAAAACAAGCTGGAGAATTAAAGCAAAACTATGCTGTTCCCCAGAGACCCTTATGTCTTCAACTGCTCTCCATATATCTTCTTCCCAACTTCAAAGTGTGGAAGTGTATAATCTTACGGCGAAGATCATGTTCCAGACCAGCAGCATCAGCATCACCCAAGAACCTACTGCAAATGAAGAATCTCCGGCCTGCTGAATCAGAAAGTGCAGCTTCGATGAGCCCCCCGCTGATTTATTTGGGGAAGAGAACTTCTTATCTATCTGGACTGAACATGACATTAAATCTGTTTTCAGAATTACCTGTCCTAGATTTTTCTCCATCCTTGTTTTCTCTGGCTATACCCAAAACAGAATCTTCCTCGTCACTTGTACCCTGAATGGAATTTGAAACGAAATAATAAATAAATAAAGTATGTTTCATAGACCATACATTAACTCGTTCACATGATAAATGGGAGTTTCATTACCTTCAAGGTTGGTGGTTTCTGAGAAGACACTGAAAAGCAAAAGGGATTCATAATCAGTCATACATAAATATGACAAAGATATCCATACATTCAAGCAGAGTTAGCATCAACCTCTGTCCTCCTGCCTGTATTAGCATAGGCTTTGATGGCTTCTACTTTGTGTCTGGGGACTAGAACATGACAGAAATACACTAAGAAAAGGGAATACAGGCTCCATGAAATATACCCTTATAATTTCAAACATGGCATGATTTCTCATGTGTCGAAAACTAAAATAAAACCGTATCAATATCAATGTCTTAGGCCGAGTGATGAGAACAAATGTGATCTAAAATCAGAGGAGCAACTCACACTCCTGAGAATCAATGTCAAAGCAGGTGCTACATGATCTCACATGTCTTTCACGCAACAAATCAAAAGGATTTACACCTTTATACTACAAACATTCATCATGCTCTTTAACATGCCCAATAACTGAGAAGGCACACAATTGCGATGATGCTTCAGTTGAACTTACACTTCACATCTCTTCAGTGGAAGTGTCCTACATTGATCACCTTGGATACCTCTTTGCTGATACCTAGTACATAATATTCATTATCTCTCACACCCATGTAGTGTAATAATTTGCTTAAGTTTCTTGTATCCACTAGTTTAGCCTTCCAAATGTTTCTTCATCCACTCATGGCACCAAAGGATAATATATTAGCCTCAATAAAAATGTCATCAATTATCAATTTTGACATATTTCTACAAAGTAAAACTGCCACAACCATTAGATAATAATAAGTTTTACATTCAGAAATCATTCCAATATTCATTGAAAATGATCACTCTAGGACTTAATTGGAATGCAACATAATTTTTGTTTCTAGAATACCCTTGTTGGCAGTATCATGTTATTTTCTAAAGAAGTTTCATTAAACAGCTATTTTATCCAAGAGGTAGCTCCTTGAACAAGGAAGCCACCATATTCATATTCAAGTTTATCTCATTTCTATAACTAAAATCAACAAAATATGTATCTCTGATGCCTAATAGTAACAAAGAGGAGTAATGAGTCATTTTGTTTTTATGCCAATTCAACCACTGTTTCCTGCTTCCAGCAGTTGCTGGAGCTGCCAAAATCAAATATTGTTTATGCAAATGTTCCAAATGCATCTGAAGTGAGTTCACTCAGGTTTCCTCAGCAGTAACCCCAAAATTATATAAATGACTTCCTCTTTTCCCACATTCCTGCCTCACAATCCGTCTTCATTCAGAAAATAATTGCTACATCAGGGGTCTCCTCAGTTCTCCTTCTACAGTGTCTATGGGTTATTATGAACAGTTTTCTGTCTGTTTTTAGCACTACGATGTGACGTCTGTAAAATCTGTACTTCCTCTCCTTCTCCGTACACCCTTAATGAAAAGATGCTACCGAATTAAAGCAGAATTATGCTGGGCCCCAGAGCCCCTTATGTCTTCAACTGCTCTCCATATTTCTTCCTCCCAATTGTAATGTGGGGATGCGTATAATCTTACAGTGAAGATCATGTTCCAGACCAGTAGCATCAGCATAACCCAAGAACTTATTAGAAATGAAGAATCTCAGGCCTGCTGAATCAGAATGTGCATCTTTGACCAGCCCCCCACTGATTTATTCGGGGAAGAGAACTTCTTGTCTGGACTGAACATGACATTAAATGTGTTTCGCAAAATTACCTTTCCTAGATATTTCTCCATCCTTTTTTCCTCTGGTTATATTCGAAAAAGAATCCTTCTCATCACTTGTAGCCTGAGTGGAATTTGAAACAAAATAATAAATAAGGTATGTTTCATAGGCTATACGTTTACTAGCTCACAATATGAATGAGAGTTTCATTACCTTCAAGGCTGGTTTTTTCCGAGAAGACACTGAAAAGCAAAAGGGATACATAATCACTCACATGTAAATATGATAAAGTTATCCATACATTCACACAGTGTTAGCATCAACCTCTGTCCTCCTGCCTGTATTAGTGTACGCTTTGATGGCTTCTACTTTCTGTCTGGGGACCAGAACATGTCAGAAATACCCTGAAAAAAGGGAACACAGGCTCCGTGAAATATACCCTTACAATTTCAAACACAGTATGATTTTTTATGTGTCGAAAGCTAAAATAAAACCGTGTCAATCCCAATGTGGATATGCCGAGTGATGAGGACAAATGTGATCTAAAATCAGAGGAGCAACTCACACACCTGAGAATCAATGTCAAAACAGGTGCTACATGATCCCATATGTCTTTCATGCAACAAATCAAAAGGATTTACACCATTATACTACAAACATTTTTCATGCTCTTTAACTTGCCCAATAAATGAGAAGGCACACAATTACGATGACCCTCCAGTTGAACGTACACTTCACATCTCTTCAGTGGAAGTGTCCTGAATTGATCACCTTGGATATCTGTTTGCTGATACCTAGTAGATAATATTCATTATCCCTCACACCCATGTAGTGTAATCATTTGCCTAATTTTCTTGTATCCACTAGTTTAGGCTTCTGAAAGTTTCTTCATCCAATCTTGCCACCAAAGGATAATATATTAGCCTCAATAAAAATATCATCAATTATCATTTGACATACTTCTACAAAGTAAAATGGCTACAAGCATTAGATATTACTCAGTTTTTCATTCAGAAATCACTGCAATATTCATTGAAAATGACTATTTTAGGCGTTAATTGGAATTCAACATCATTCTTGTGTCTAAAATAGTCTTGTTGGGAGTATCGTGTTATTCTCTAAAGAAGTTTCATTAAATAGCTTTTTTATCCAAGAGGTAGCTCCTTGAACAAGGAAGCAAAATTTATTCACATTCAAGATTATCTGATTTTTATAACTAAAATCAACAAAACATGTATCTCTGATGCCTAATAGTAACAGAGGAGTAATGGGTCAGTGTGGTGTATTCCAATTATACCATTGTTTCCTGCTTCCAGTAGTTCCTGGAGTAGCCAAAAGCAAATATTTTTTATGAAAATATTCCAAGTGCATCTGAAGTGAGTTCACTCAGGTTTCCTCAGCAGAAACCCCAAAATTATATAAATGACTTCTTCTTTTCACACCTTCCTGCCTCACAATCCGTCTTCCTTAGGAAAATAGTTGCTACACCAGGGGTCTCCTTAGTTCTCCTACAGTGTCTACGGGTTGTTACAACAAGCTTTCTGTCTTTTCTTGGCAGTGCGAGCTGAAGTGTGTAAATTCTATACTTCCTCTCTTTCTCCTTCCACCCTTACTGAAAACAAGCTGGAGAATTAAAGTAAAATTATGTTGTTCCCCGGAGCCCCTTATGCCTTGAACTGCTCTCCATATTTCTTCTTCCCAATTTCAATGTGGGGAAGTGTATAATCTTACTGCGAAGATCATGTTCCAGACCAGCAGCATCAGCATCACCCAAGAACTTATTTGAAATGAAGAATCTCAGGACTGCTGAATCAGAATGTGCAGCTTCAACGAGCCCCCCGCTGATTTATTCAGGGAAGAGAACTTCTTATCTATCTGCACTGAACATGACATTAAATCTCTTTTCAAAATTACCTGTCCTAGATTTTTCTCCATCCTTGTTTTCTCTGGCTATACTCAAAACAGAACCTTCCTCGTCACTTGTAGCCTGAATGGAATTTCAAATGAAATAATAAATTAATAAAGTATGTTTCATAGACCATACCTTAACTCATTCACAATATAAATGAGTGTTTCATTACCGTCAAGGCTGGTGGTTTCTGAGAAGACACTGAAAAGCAAAAGGGATACATAATCACTCATATGTAACTATGACAAAGTTATCCATACATTCATGAAGTGTTTGTATCAACCTCTGTTCTCCTGCCTGTATTAGCGTAGGCTTTGATGGCTTCTACTTTTAGTCTGGGGACTAGAACGTGACAGAAATACACTGAAAAAAGGGAATACAGGCTCCATGAAATATACCCCTACAATTTCAAACATGGTATAATTTGTCATATGTCAAAAACTAAAATCAAACTGTGTCAATATCAATGTCCATATGCCAAGTGATGCGGACAAATGTGATCTAAAATCAGAGGAGAAACTCATACACCTGAGAATGAATGTCAAAGCAGGTGCTACATGATCCCACATGTCTTTCATGCAACAAATCAAAAGGATTTACACCATTATACTACAAACGTTCATCATGCTCTTTAACTTGCCCAATAACTGAGAAAGCACACAATTATGATGACACTTCAGTTGAACGTACACTTCACATCTCTTCAGGGGTAGTGTCCTAAATTGATCACCTTGGATATCCATTTGCTGATACCTAGTAGATAATATTCATTATCTCTCACACCCATGTGGTGTAATAATTTGCTTAAGTTTCTTGTATCCACTAGTTTAGCCTTCCTAAAGTTTCTTCATCCACTCATGGCACCACAGGATAATATATTAGCCACAATAAAAAATCATCAATTATCAATTTTGACATATTCTACAGAGTAAAACTGCTACTAGCATTAGATATTATTAAGTTTTACATTCAGAAATCATTCCAATATCCATTGAAAATGATCACTCTAGGACTTAATTAGAATCCAACATAATTTTTATTTCTAAAATAGCCTTGTTGGGAGTATCATGTTATTCTCTAAAGAAGTTTCATTAAATAGCTATTTTATCCAAGAGGTAGCTCCTTGAACAAGGAAGCCAATATATTCATATTCAAGTTGGTCTCATTTCTATAACTAAAATCAACAAAACATGTATCTCTGATGCCTAATGCTAACAAACAGGAGTAATGAGGCAGTGTGTTTTTATGGCAATTCTAGCATTGTTTCCCACTTCCAGTATTTCCTTGTGCTGCCAAAATCAAATATGTTTTATGAAAATATTCCAAATGCATCTGAAGTGAGTTCACTCAGGTTTCCTCAGGAAAAACCCCAAAATTATATAAATGACTTCCTCTTTTCCCACCTTCCTGCCTCACAATCCGTCTTCCTTGGGAAAATAATTGCTACAGGAGGGGTCTCCGTAGGTCTCCTTCTACAGTGTCTATGGGTTATTACAATCAGTTTTCTGTCTGTTTTTAGCAGTACGATGTGACGTTTGTAAAATCTATACTTCCTCTCTTTCTCCTTCCACCCTTACTGAAAACGCTGTAGAGTTAAAGCAAAATTATGCTGTTCCCCAGAGCCCCTTATGTCTTCAACTGCTCTCCATATTTCTTCTTCCAAATTTGAATGTGGGGAAGTGTATAATCTTACTGCGAAGATCATGTTCCAGACCAGCAGCATCACCATCACCCAAGAACTTACTGCAAATGAAGAATCTCAGGACAGCTGAATGATAATGTGCAGCTTCGACGAGCCCCAGGCCAATTCATTCAGGAAAGAGAAATTCTTATCTATCTGGACTGAATATGACATTAAATGTCTTTTGCAAAATTACCTGTCCCAGATTTTTCTCCATCCTTTATTTCTGTGGCTATGTTCGAAACAGAATCTTTCTCATCAGTTGTAGCCTGAATGGAATTTGAAAGAAAGTAATAAATAAATAAATCAATGAAGTATATTTCATAGACTATAGATTTACTAGTTCACAATATAAATGAGAGTTTAATTACCTTCAAGGCTGGTTGTTTCTGAGAAGACACTGAAAAGCAAAAAGGGATACATAATCACTCATATATAAACATGATAAAGTTATCCATACATTCACACAGTGTTAGCATCCAGCTGTATCCTTCTGCCTGTACTAGTGTAGGCTCTGATGTCTTCTACTTTGTCTCTTGGGACTGGAACATGACAGAAATACACTGGTAAAAGGGAATACAGGCTCCATGAAATATATCCTTACAGTTTCAAACATGGTATGATTCGTCATATGTCGAAAACTAAAATAAAACCGTGTCAATATCAATGTGGATATGCCGAGTGATGAGGACAAAGTGATCTAAAATCAGAGGAGCAACTCATACACGTGAGAATCAATGTCAAAGCAGGTGCTACATGATCCCACATGTCTTTCATGCAGGAAATCAAAAGGATTTATACCATTGTACTACAAACATTCATCATGCTCTTTAACTTGCCCAATAACTGAGAAGGCACACAATTACCATGACAATTCACTTGAAAGTACACTTCGCATCTCTTCAGTGGAAGTGTCCTAAATTGATCACCTTGGATATCTGTTTGCTGATACCTAGTAGATAATATTCATTATCTCTCACACCCATGTGTTGTAATAATTTGCCTAAGTTTCTTGTATCCACTAGTTTATCCCTCCGAAAGTTTCTTCATCCAGTCGTGGCACCAAAGGATAATATATCAGCCTCAATAAAAATATCATCAATTATCAATTTTGACATACTTCTACAAAGTAAAACTGCTACAAGCATTAGATATTAATCAGTTTTTCATTCAGAAATCACTGCAATATTCATTGAAAATTACCATTTTAGGAGTTAATTAGAATTCAACATAATTTTTGTTTCTAAAATAGCCTTCTTGGGAGTATCATGTTGTTCTCTATAGAAGTTTCATGAAATAGCTATTTTATCCAAGAGGTAGCTCCTTGAACAAGGAAGCCAATGTATTCATATTCAACTTTATCTCATTTTTATAAGTAAAGTCAACAAAACATGTATCTCTGATGCCTAATAGTAACAAAAAGGAGTAATGAGTCAGTGTGCTTTATCCCAATTCTAGCATTGTTTCCTGCTTCCAGTAATTCCTGGAGCTGCCAAAATCAAATATTTTTTAGGCACATATTCCAAATGCATGTGAAGTGAGTTCACTCAGATTTCCTCAGCAGAAACCCCTAAATTATATAAATAACTTCTTTTCCCTCCTTCCTGTCTGACAATCCATCTTCCTTGGGAAAATAATTGCTACATCAGGGGTCTCCTTAGTTCTCGTTCTACAGTGTCTATGGGTTATTACTATCAGTTCTCTGTCTTTTCTTAGCAGTACTATGTGACGTCTGTAGAATCTATACTTCCTCTCTTTCTTCTTCCACCCTTAGTGAAACCATGCTGTAGAATTAAAGCAAAACTATGCTGTTCCCCAGAGCCCCTTATGTCTTGAACCTCTCTCCATGTATCTTCTTCCCAATTTCAATGTGGGGAAGTGTATAATCTTACTGCGAAGATCACGTTCCAAGCCAGCAGCATTAGCGTCACCCAGGAATTTATTACAAATGAAGACTCTCAGGCCTGCTGAATCAGAATGTGCAGATTAGGCGAGCCCCCCACCCACCCTCCGCTGATTTATTCGGGGTAGAGAAGTTCTTTTCTATCTGGATTGAACATGACATTGAATGTGTTTTGCAAAATTACCTGTCCCAGATTTTTCTCCATCCTTTATTTCTGTGGCTATATTCGAAACAGAATCTTCCTCGTCAGTTGTAGCCTTAATGGAATTTGAAAGAAAATAATAAATAAATAAATCAATGAAGTATGTTTCATAGACTATAGAATTACTAGTTCACAATGTAAACGAGAGTTTAATTACCTTCAAGGCTGGTTGCTTCTGAGAAGACACTGAAAAGCAAAAGGGATACATAATCACTCATATGTAAATATGATAAAGTTATCCATACATTCACACAGTGTTAGCATCCAGCTGTATCCTTCTGCCTGTACTAGTGTAGGCTCTGATGTCTTCTACTTTGTCTCTTGGGACTGGAACATGACAGAAATACACTGGTAAAAGGGAATACAGGCTCCATGAAATATATCCTTACAATTTCAAACATGGTATGATTCGTCATATGTCGAAAACTAAAATAAAACCGTGTCAATATCAATGTGGATATGCCGAGTGATGAGGACAAAGTGATCTAAAATCAGAGGAGCAACTCATACATGTGAGAATCAATGTCAAAGCAGGTGCTACATGATCCCACATGTCTTTCATGCAGGAAATCAAAAGGATTTACACCATTGTACTACAAACATTCATCATGCTCTTTAACTTGCCCAATAACTGAGAAGGCACACAGTTACCACGACAATTCAGTTGAACGTATACTTCACATCTCTTCAGTGGAAGTGTCCTAAATTGATCACCTTGGATATCTGTTTGCTGATACCTAGTAGATAATATTCATTATCTCTCACCCCCATGTGGTGTAATAATTTGCCTAAGTATCTTGTATCCACTAGTTTAGCCTTCCGAAAATTTCTTCATCCAGTCGTGGCACCAAAGCATAATATATCAGCCTCAATAAAAATATCATCAATTATCAATTTTGACATACTTCTACAAAGTAAAACTGCTACAAGCATTAGATATTAATCAGTTTTTCATTCAGAAATCACTGCAATATTCATTGAAAATTACCATTTTAGGAGTTAATTAGAATTCAACATAATTTTTGTTCTAAAATAGCATTCTTGGGAGTATCATGTTAGTCTCTAAAGAAGTTTCATGAAATAGCTATTTTATCCAAGAGGTAGCTCCTTGAACAAGGAAGCCAATGTATTCATATTCAACTTTATCTCATTTTTATAAGTAAAGTCAACAAAACATGTATCTCTGATGCCTAATAGTAACAAAAAGGAGTAATGAGTCAGTGTGCTTTATCCCAATTCTAGCATTGTTTCCTGCTTCCAGTAATTCCTGGAGCTGCCAAAATCAAATATTTTTTAGGCACATATTCCAAATGCGTGTGAAGTGAGTTCACTCAGATTTCCTCAGCAGAAACCCCTAAATTATATAAATAACTTCTTTTCCCTCCTTCCTGTCTGACAATCCATCTTCCTTGGGAAAATAATTGCTACATCAGGGGTCTCCTTAGTTCTCGTTCTACAGTGTCTATGGGTTATTACTATCAGTTTTCTGTCTTTTCTTAGCAGTACTATGTGACGTCTGTAGAATCTATACTTCTTCTCTTTCTCCTTTCACCTTAGTGAAACCATGCTGTAGAATTAAAGCAAAACTATGCTGTTCCCCAGAGCCCCTTATGTCTTGAACCTCTCTCCATATATCTTCTTCCCAATTTCAATGTGGGGAAGTGTATAATCTTACTGCGAAGATCATGTTCCAAGCCAGCAGCATTAGCGTCACCCAAGAATTTATTACAAATGAAGACTCTCAGACCTGCTGGATCAGAATGTGCAGCTTCGGCGAGCCCCCCCACCCGCCCTCCGCTGATTTATTAGGGGTAGAGAAGTTCTTTTCTATCTGGATTGAACATGACATTGAATGTGTTTTGCAAAATTACCTGTCCCAGATTTTTCTCCATCCTTTATTTCTGTGGCTATATTCGAAACAGAGTCTTCCTCGTCAGTTGTAGCCTGAATGGAATTTGAAAGAAAATAATAAATAAATAAATCAATGAAGTATATTTCATAGACTATAGATTTACTAGTTCACAATATAAATGAGAGTTTAATTACCTTCAAGGCTGGTTGTTTCTGAGAAGACACTGAAAAGCAAAAGGGATACATAATCACTCATATGTAAATATGATACATTTTCCATACATTCATGCGGTGTTAGCATCAAGCTGTATCCGCCTGCCTGTATTAGTGTAGGCTTTGATGTTTTCTACTTTATGTCTTAAGCCAGGAGCATGACACAAATATACTAAAGAAAACAGAAATAGATGTGCCACGATATATTCCTAACTATTTCAAACATAATATGATTTCTCGTATATCTAAAAGAAAAATAAATCAGTGTCAATATCAAAAAGGGTATGCCAAGTGATCACGACAAATGTGATCAAAAATCAGAGGGGAAACTCAATCACCTGGGAAAATGTCAAAGCAGGTGGCACATGCACCCACATGTCTTTTATGCAAGATATCCAAATGATTTACGCCATTATACTGCAAACATTCATCATGTTCATTAACTTGCCCAGTAACTGAGAAGGTACACAATTACAGTGACACTTCAGTTGAATGTACACATTATGTCTCTGTCTCTTCAGTGAAGTGTCCTAAATTGATCAGCTTGGATATATGTTTCCTTAATCCGAGTAAATAATATTCATTATTTCTCATATCCATGTGGTGCAACAATTTGCCTAAGTTTCCTGTATTCTCTAGTTTAGCCTTCCTGGACATTTCTTCATCCACTCATGGCCACAAAGTATAATATATAAACCTCAATAAAAAGCATCATCAATTATCAATTTTGACATACTTCTACTAAATAAAACTGCTAAAAGCATTGGATATTAATAAGCTTTTATATTTGGAAATCACTCCAATATTCATTGAAAATGACCATTTTAAGAGTCAGTTGATGAACTCAACATTATATTTGTTTTTAAAATTGTCTTGTTAGGAGGATCATACTATTCTCTAAATAATATTCATTAAATAGCTATTTTATCCGTGAGATAGCTCTTTGATGAAAGAAGCCAATGTACTGATATTCAAGTTTATCTAATTTTTATAACAAAAATCAACAAAAGATATATGTCTTATGCCTAATAGTAGCAAACAGAAGTAATTAGTCAATGTGGTTTATCCCAATTCTAGCTTTCTTTGCTTCATCCAGTAGTTCCTGGAGCTGCCAAAATCAAATCTTTTTTGTGTAAATATGCTAAATGCATCCGAAGTGAGTTCACTCAGGTTTCCTCAGCAGAAACCCCAAAATTGCATAAATAACTTCATCTTTTCCCTCCTTCCTGCCTCACAACCCTCTTCCTTGAGGAAAATAATTGCTACATCAGTGGTCTCGTTAGTTCTCATTCTACAATTTTTACTGGTTATTACGATCACTTTTCCATCTGTTTTTAGCAATAAGATGTGACGTCTGTAAAATCTATACTTCAACTCATTCTCCTTCCACCCTTGGTGAAAACATGCTGTAGAATTAAAGCAAAATTATGCTGTCCCCTGAACCCCTTATGTCTTGATCTGCTCTCCAATGTTTCTTCTTCCCAATTTCAATGTGGGGAAGTCTATAATCTTACTGCGAAGATCAGGTCCAAGACCAGCAGCATCAGCATCACCCGAGAACTTATTACAAATGAAGAATCTCGGGCCTGCTGAATCAGAATGTGCAGCTTTGACGAGCCCCCCGCTGATTTATTCAGGGAAGAGAAGTTCTTTTCTATCTGGACTGAACATGACATTAAATGTGTTTTGCAAAATTACCTGTCCCACACTGTAGTCCATCCTTTATTTCTGTAGCTATATTCAAAGCAGAATCTGTCTTGTCACTTGTAGCCTGAAAGTAATTTGAAGCAAATTATCAATAAAGAAAGTATGTTTCATGGACTATACAGTTACTAATACAAAATATAAATGAGAGTTTAATTACCTTTGAGGCTGGTTGTTTCTGAGAAGACACTGAAAAGCAAAAGGGATACATAATCACTCATATGTAAATATGATAAAGTTATCTATACATTCATGAAGTGTTAGCATCAAGCTGTATGCTCCTGCCTGTATTAGTATAGGCTTTGATTTTTGTGTCTGGGGACTGGAACATGACCAGAAATACACTGAAAAAAAAGAAATACAGGTTTCACAAAATAAACCCTTACAATGTCAATCATGGTATGATTTTTCATATGTCTAAAACTAAAATGAAACAGTGTTACTATCAATGTGAATATGCTGAATGATGAGGACAAAAGTGATCTAAAATCAGAGGAGCAACTCATACACCTGAGAATCAATGTCAAAGCAGGTGCTACATCATCCTCCATGTCTTTCATGCAAGGTATCAAAAGGATTTACACTACTATACTACAAACATTCATCATGCTCTAACTTGCCTGATAACTGAGAAGGTACACAATTACAATGACACTTCAGATGAATGTACACTTCACGTCTCTTAAGTGGAAGGGATCTAAATTGATCAGCTTGGATATATGGTTGGTGAATCCTAGTAGATAGTATTCATTATTTATCATACACATGTGGTGGAATAATCTGCCTACATTTCTTGTATCCTCTAGTTTAGCCTTCAGTAATTTTCTTCATCCACTAATGGCAGGAAGGTATAATATATAAACCTCATCAAAAAGTACAATAAATTACACATATTTATACAAAATGCAATGGCTCCTGGCATTAGATATTAATAAGCTTTTACATTTGGATATCAGTCCAATATTCACTGAAAATAACCATTTTAGGATTCAATTAATACATTTAGTATTATTTTTGTCTGCAAAATTAGTCTACTCTGGAATATCATTGTATTATAAAGAATTTTCACTAAATAGCTATTTTAATGAAAAAGCCAGCACTTTGGAAAAAAGCTAATATAATCGTATTAAATTTTAACTCATTTGAATAACTAAAAAAAAATATATGTCTGATGCCTGATACTAATAAACAGGAATGAGGCACTGTGGTTTATCCCAACTCTAGCACTCCTTCCTGATTCCAGTAGTCATCGGAGCAGTCAGAAATCAAATCTTCTGGTATGCAAACATTCTAAATGCATCTGAAGTGAGTTCACTCAGGTTTCCTCAGCAGAAACCCCAAAATTACATAAATAACTTCTTCCTTCCCCTCTTTCTTGCCTTGCAATCCCTCTTTCTTGATGAAAATAATTACTACATCAGTGGTCACTTTGTTTCTCATTCTCCAGTGTCTACGGGTTATTATGACAACTTCCTCCCTCTGGTTTTAGCAGTACCATCTGACATCTATAATTTCTGTTACTTCTTCTCTTTCTCCTTCCCCTCTCCATAGAAACATGCTCTGAAATAAGAGAAAAATTATGCTGTCCTCCGATCCTCTTATGTCTTGAACTGTTTTCCAATGGTTCTTCTATCCAAATTCAATGTAGGGAACTCTACAAGCTTGTTACTAAGATCATGGCCAAGGACCAGCAGCATCAGCACCACCTGACAACTTACTAGAAATGCATAATCTCAGGCCTGCTGAATCAGAAAGTGCATTTTCAATGACACCCCACTGATCTATTCAGGGGTGGGACGTTCTCTTCTGTCTTGAGTGCACATGACATTAAATGTGTATTGCCAAATTACCTGTTCCAGATTTCCCACCACCCATTATTCTTGTGGCAATATTCAAAAGAGAAACTTTCTTTTTAAATATAACCTGAATGGAAAGAGAAACAAAATAGTCAATATATAATACATATTTCATAGGCTATAAAATAAATAATTCAAAATATAAATGAAAGAGTAACTACCTTCCAGGCCGATTGTTTCTGAGGAGACACTGAAAAGTAAAAGAAATATATAATCCATCATATGTAAATATGACAAAGTCATCCATACATTCATGCAGTGTTAGCATCAAGCTGTATCCTCCTGCCTGCACTAGTGTAGGATTTGATGTTTTACAGTTTGTGTCTTTGGGACGGGAACATGAGGAAATACACTGAAGAAAACAGGAATACACGCTTCCAGAAAATATACAGTCAGAAATTACAAAGAGGTATTATGCATCATGTGTGTATTACTGAAATAAAAAGTGTCAATATCAATGTGGATATGCCGAATGATGAAAAGAAATGTGATCTAAAATCAGAGGAGCAACTCATACACCCAGGAATCAATGTCAAAGAAGGTACTAAATGCTACTGCATGTTTTTCATGCAAGACATCAGAAGGATTTATACCATTATACTGCAAGTATTCATCACGCTCTTTTAACTTGCCTGGTAATTGAGGAGGTACACAATGACAATGACACTTTAGTAGAATGTACACTTCACGAGTCCTCGGTGGAAGTGGCCCAGCCTCAACAGCTTGGATATAGGTTGGGATAATCCTGAATATAATATTCTTTATTTCTCAAACCCATGTGGTGTAATAATGTGCCTACATTTGTTGTGTCCTCTAGTTTAGGCTACAGAAAGGTTCTTCATCCACTCATGGCAACAAATATAATACATAAACCTTATCAAAAAGTATAATAAATGATCAAATTTGACATACTTATACAAAATAAAGTTGCTACAAGCATTAGATATGAATAACCTTTGACATTTGGAAATCCCTCCAATATTCATTGAAAATAAGAATTTTAAAAGTCAATTAATGAATTCACCATTAATTTTTTTTTCTAAAATAGTCTGGTATAAAATATCATGTTATTCTCTAAAGCATTTTCATTAAATTGTTATTTTTATCCAAAAGTTAGCTAATTGAAAAGCAAAGCCAATATATGCATATTCATGTTTATCTCATTTGAATAACTAATATCAACAAAACGTATATCTCTGATGCCCAACAGTAACAAAGAGGAGTAATGAGTCACTGTGGTTTATCCCAGTTCTAGTACTCCTTCCTGCTTCCACTGTTTCCTAAAGCAGCCAAAATCAAAGCTTCTTTTACAAAAATGTTCAAATATGCAACTGAACTCAGGTTTCCTCAGAAGAAACCCCAAAATTACATAAATAACTTATTTTCCCTCCTTCCTGCCTGACAATCCTCTTCCTTGAGGAAAGTCATTGCTACATCAGTGGTCTCCTTAGCTCTCGTTCTACAGTGTTTATGGGTTATTACCATGATTTCCCCATCTGTTTTTAGCAATACGATGTGATGTCTGTAAAATCTATACTTCATCTCTTTCTCCTTCCTCCCTTGGTGAAAACATGCTGTAGAATTAATGCAAAATTATGCTGTCCCCTGACTCCTTATGTCTTTAATGGCTCTCCAACGTTTCTTCTTCCCAATTTCAATGTGGGGAAGTCTATAATCTTATTGCAAAGATCATGTCGAAGACCAGCAGCATCAGTGTCACCTGAGAACTGAAGAATCTCAGGCCTGCTGAATCAGAATGTGCAGCTTCAATGAATCCCCTGCTGATTTATTCGGGGAAGAGAAGTACTTTTCTATCTTGACTGAACATGACATTAAATGTGTTTTGCAAAATTACCTGTCCCAGATTGTTGTCCCTTCTTTATTTCTGTGGCTATATTTGAAACAGAATCTTTCTCGTCACTTGTAGCCTGAATGGGATTTGAAACAAAATAATCAATATGTAAAGTAGGTTTCATAGACTATACAGTTAATAGTTCAACATATAAATGAGACTTTAATTACCTTCTCAGCTGGTTGTTTCTGAGAAGACACTGAAAAGCAAAAGGGAAACATAATCACTCACATGTACATATGATAAATTTATCCATACATTCATGCAGTGTTAGCATCAAGCTGTATCTTCCTGCCTGTACTAGTGTAGGCTTTGATGTTTTCTACTTTTTGTCTGGAGACTGGAACATGACAGAAATACACTGAAAAAAAAGGAATACAGGCTTCACAAAATATACCCTTACAATTTCAAACATGGTATGATTCGTGATACATCTAAAACTAAAATAAAACCGTGTCAATATCAATGTGGATATGCCGAGTGATGAGGACAAATCAGAGGAGTAACTCACACACCTGAGAATCAATGTCAAAGCAGGTGGTATATGATCCCTCATGTCTTTCTTGCAAGAAATCAGAAGGATTTACACCATTATACTTCAAACATTCATCATGCCCTTTAACTTGCCCAATAACTAGGAGGTACACAATTACGATGACAATTCAGTTAAATGTTCTCTTCACATCTCTTCAGTGGAAGTGTCCTAAATTGATCACCTTGGATATGTTTCCTAAAATCTAGTAGATAATATTCATTATTTCTCACACCCATGTGGTGTAATAATTTGCCTAAGATTCTTGTATCCACTAGTTTAGCCTTCTGAAAGTTTCTTCATCCGCTCATGGCAACAAACGATAATATATTAGCCTCAATAAAAATATCAATTACCAATGTTAACATACTTCTACAAAGTAAAACTGCTACAAGCATTAGATATTAATAAGTTTTACATTCAGAAATCACTCCAATATTCATTGAAAATCACCACTTTAGGAGTTAATTAGAATTCAACATCATTTTTGTTTCTAAAATAGCCTTGTTGGGAGTATCATGTTAGTCTCTAAGGAAGTTTCATTAAATACCTATTTTATCCAAGAGTTAGCTCCTTGAACAAGGAAGCCAATGTATTCATATGCAAGTTTATCTCATTTTTATAAGTAAAGTCAACAAAACATGTGTCCCTGATGCCTAATAGTAGCAAAGAGGAGTAATGAGTCACTGTGGTTTATCCCGATTCTAGCACTGTTTCCTGCTTCCAGTAGTTCTTGGAGCAGCCAAAATCAAATCTTCTTTTATGCAAATATTCCAAATGCATCTGAAATGAGTTCACTCAGGTTTCCTCAGCAGAAACCCCAAAATTACATAAATACCTTCTTTTTCCTCCTTCCTGCCTCACAATCCCTCTTCCTTGAGGAAAATAATTGCTACATCAGTGGTCTTCTTAGCTCTCGTTCTACAGTGTTTATGGAGTTATTAGGATCACTTTTCCCTCTGTTGATAACAATATGATACGATGCCTATAATATCTATTACTTCATCTCGTTCTCTTTTCCCTCTTGATGGAAACATGCTGTAAAATTAAAGCAAAATTATGCTGCTCCCTTAGCCTGGTATGTGTTGAACTTCTCTCCAATGGTTTTTCTTCCCAATTTCAATGTAGGGAAGTCTACAATCTTACTACTCAGATCATGACCAAGGACCAGCAGCATCAGGGTCACCTGAGAACTCACTACAAATGAAGAATCTCAGGTGTACTGAATCAGAACGTGCAGCTTAGATGGACTCCCCACTGATTTATTTGGGTAAGGGAAGTTCTCTTCCATCTTGATTGAACATGACATTAGATGTGTTTTGCAAAATTACCTGTCCCAGATATTGGTCCCTCCTTTATTTCTGTGGCTATATTTGAAACAGAATCTTTGTCGTCACTTGTAGCCTGAATGGGATTTGAAGCAAAATAATCAATATGTAAAGTAGGTTTCATAGACTATACAGTTAATAGTTCAACATATAAATGAGACTTTAATTACCTTCTCAGCTGGTTGTTTCTGAGAAGACACTGAAAAGCAAAAGGGATACATAATCAATCATATGTAAATATGATAATGTTATCCATACATAAATGCATGGATAGCATGTTAGCATCAAGTTTTGTACTCCTGCCTGTATTACTGTAGGCTTTGATATTTTATACTTTGTTTCTTGGGACTAAACATGAAGGAAATACACTGAAGAAAATAGGAATACAGGCTTCAAGAAATATACACTGACAATTTCATATGTGATATGACTTTCTCCATATGTCTAAAACTAAAATAAAACCATGTCAATATCAATGTGGATATGCTGAGTGATGAGGACAAATGTGATCTAAAATCAGAGTCCAACTCATACTCCTGGGAATCAACGTCAAAGCAGGTGATACACGCATCCGCATGTCTTTCATGCAAGATATCAGAATGATTTGGAACATTTTACTGCAAACATTCATCATGCTCTTTAACTTGATTGATCAGTGAGAAGGTACACAATTATAATGACACTTTAGTTGAAATCTCTTCAGTGGAAGTGTCCTAACTTAATCAGCTTGGATATATGTTTGGTGAATTCTAGTATGTAATATTCATTATTTCTCACACCCATATGATGTAATAATGTGCCTACATCTCTTGTATCTTCTAGTTTAGACTTCTAAAAGTTCCTTCATCCACTCATTGCAACAAGGTATAATATATAAACTTCATCAAAAAGTGTAATAAATTACCAAATTTGACATACTTATACAAAATAAAGTTTCTACAAGCATTAGATATGAATAAGCTTTTACATCTGGAAATCACTCCAATATTCCCTGAAAATAACCATTTGGGAGTCAAGTAATGAATTCAACATTATTTTCACTTCTAAAATAGTCTGGTTAAAGTATCATGTTATTCTCTAGAGAATTTTTATTAAGTTGCTTTTTTTTATTATACTTTAAGTTTTAGGGTACATGCGCACATTGTGCAGGTTAGTTACATATGTATACATGTGCCATGCTGGTGCGCTGCACCCACTATCTCATCATCTAGCATTAGGTATATCTCCCAATGCTATCCCTCTCCCCTCCCCCCACCCCACAAAAGTCCCCAGAGTGTGATATTCCCCTTCCTGTGTCCATGTGATCTCATTGTTCAATTCCCACCTATGAGTGAGAATATGCGGTGTTTGGTTTTTTGTTTTTGCGATAGTTTACTGAGAATGATGATTTCCAATTTCATCCATGTCCCTTCAAAGGACATGAACTCATCATTTTTTATGGCTGCATAGTATTCCATGGTGTATATGTGCCACATTTTCTTAATCCAGTCTATCATTGTTGGACATTTGGGTTGGTTCCAAGTCTTTGCTATTGTGAATAATGCCGTAATAAGCATGCGTGTGCATGTGTCTTTATAGCAGCGTGATTTATAGTCCTTTGGGTATATACCCATTAATGGGATGGCTGGGTCAAATGGTATTTCCACTTCTAGATCACTGAGGAATCTCCACACTGACTTCCACAATGGTTGAACTAGTTTACAGTCCCACCAACAGTGTAAAAGTGTTCCTATTTCTCCACATCCTCTCCAGCACCTGTTGTTTCCTGACTTTTTAATGATGGCCATTCTAACTGGTGTGAGATGGTATCTCATTGTGGTTTTGATTTGCATTTCTCTGATGGCCAGTGATGATGAGCATTTTTTCATGTGTTTTTTGGCTGCATAAATGTCTTCTTTTGAGAAGTGTCTGTTCATGTCCTTTGCCCACTTTTTGATGGGGTTGTTTGTTTTTTTCTTGTAAATTTGTTTGAGTTCATTGTAGATTCTGGATATTAGCCCTTTGTCAGATGAGTAGGTTGCAAAAATTTTCTCCCATTTTGTAGGTTGCCTGTTCACTCTGATGGTAGTTTCTTTTGCAGTGCAGAAGCTCTTTAGTTTAATTAGATCCCATCTGTCAATTTTGTCTTTTGTTGCCATTGCTTTTGGTGTTTTAGACATGAAGTCCTTGCCCATGCCTATGTCCTGAATGGTAATGGCTAGGTTTTCTTCTAGGGTTTTTATGGTTTTAGGTCTAACGTTTAAGTCTTTAATCCATCTTGAATTGATTTTTGTATAAGGTGTAAGGAAGGGATACAGTTTCAGCTTTCTACATATGGCTAGCCAGTTTTCCCAGCACCATTTTTAAATAGGGAATCCTTTCCCCATTGCTTGTTTTTCTCAGGTTTGTCAAAGATCAGGTAGCTGTAGATATGCAGCATTATTTCTGAGGTCTCCGTTCTGTTCCATTGATCTATAGCTCTGTTTTGGTACCAGTACCATGCTGTTTTGGTTACTGTAGCCTTGTAGTATAGTTTGAAGTCAGGTAGTGTGATGCCTCCAGCTTTGTTCTTTTGGCTTAGGATTGACTTGGCGATGTGGGCTCTTTTTTGGTTCTATATGAACTTTAAAGTAGTTTTTTCCAATTCTGTGAAGAAAGGCATTGGTAGCTTGATGGGGATGGCATTGAATCTGTAAATTACCTTGGGCAGTATGGCCATTTTCACGATATTGATTCTTCCTATGCATGAGCATGGAATGTTCTTCCATTTGTTTGTATCCTCTTTTATTTCCTTGAGCAGTGGTTTGTAGTTCTCCTTGAAGAGTTCCTTCACATCCCTTGTAAGTTGGATTCCTAGGTATTTTATTCTCTTTGAAGCAATTGTGAATGGGAGTTCACTCATGATTTGGCTCTCTGTTTGTCTGTTGTTGGTGTATAAGAATGCTTGTGATTTTTGCACATTGATTTTGTATCCTGAGACTTTGCTGAAGTTGCTTATCAGCTTAAGGAGATTTTGGGCTGAGACAATAGGGTTTTCTAGATATACAATTTTCATATCCAGCCAAACTAAGCTTCATAAGTGAAGGAGAAATAAAATACTTTACAGACAAGCAAATGCTGAGAGATTTTGTCACCACCAGGCCTGCCCTAAAAGAGCTCCTGAAGGAAGCGCTAAAAATCGAAAGGAACAACCGGTACCAGACTCTGCAAAATCATGCCAAAATGTAAAAACCATCAAGACTAGGAAGAAACTGCATCAACTAACGAGCAAAATAACCAGCTAACATCGTAATGACAGGATCAAATTCACACATAACAATATTAACTTTAAATGTAAATGGACTAAATGCTCCAATTAAAAGACACAGACTGGCAAATTGGATAAAGAGTCAAGATCCATCAGTGTGCTGTATTCAGGAAACCCATCTCACGTGCAGAGACACACATAGACTCAAAATAAAAGGATGGAGGAAGATCTACCAAGCAAATGGAAAACAAAAAAAAGGCAGGGGTTGCAATCCTAGTCTCTGATAAAACAGACTTTTAACCAACAAAGATCAAAAGAGACAAAGAAGGCCATTACATAATGGTAAAGGGATCAATTCAACAAGAAGAGCTAACTATCCTAAATATATATGCACCCAATACAGGAGCACCCAGATTCATAAAGCAAGTCCTGAGTGACCTACAAAGAGACTTAGACTCCCACACATTAATAATGGGAGACTTTAACACCCCACTGTCAACATTGGACAGATCAACAAGAGAGAAAGTCAACAAGGATACCCAGGAATTGAACTCAGCTCTGCACCAAGTGGACCTAATAGACATCTACAGAACTCTCCACCCCAAATCAACAGAATATACATTTTTTCAGCACCACACCACACCTATTCCAAAATTGACCACATACTTGGAAGTAAAGCTCTCCTCAGAAAATGTAAAAGAACAGAAATTATAACAAACTATCTCTCAGACCACAGTGCAATCAAACTAGAATTCAGGATTAAGAATCTCACTCAAAACCGCTCAACTACATGGAAACTGAACAACCTGCTCCTGAATGACTACTGGGTACATAACAAAATGAAGGCAGAAATAAAGATGTTCTTTGAAACCAATGAGAACAAAGACACAACATACCAGAATCTCTGGGACACATTCAAAGCAGTGTGTAGAGGGAAATTTATAGCACTAAGTGCCCACAAGAGAAAGCAGGAAAGATCCAAAATTGACACCCTAACATCACAATTAAAAGAACTAGAAAAGCAAGAGCAAACACATTCAAAAGCTAGCAGAAGGCAAGAAATAACTGAAATCAGAGCAGAACTGAAGGAAATAGAGACACAAAAACCCCTTCAAAAAATTAATGAATCCAGGAGCTGGTTTTTTGAAAGGATCAACAAAATTGAGAGACCACTAGCAAGACTAATAAAGAAAAAAAGAGAGAAGATTCAAATAGACGCAATAAAAAATGATAAAGGGGATATCACCACCGATCCCACAGAAATAAACTACCATCAGAGAATACTACAAACACCTCTACGCAAATAAACTAGAAAATCTAGAAGAAATGGATAAATTCCTAGACACATACACTCTCCCAAGACTAAACCAGGAAGAAGTTGAATCTCTGAATAGACCAATAACAGGATCTGAAATTGTGGCAATAATCAATAGCTTACCAACCAAAAAGAGTCCAGGACCAGATGGATTCACAGCCGAATTCTACCAGAGGTACAAGGAGGAACTGGTACCATTCCTTCTGAAACTATTCCAATCAATAGAAAAAGAGGGAATCCTCCCTAACTCATTTTATGAAGCCAGTATCATTCTGATACCAAAGCCAGGCAGAGACACAACAAAAAAAGAGAATTTTAGACCAATATCCTTGATGAACATTGATGCAAAAATCCTCAATAAAATACTGGCAAAACGAATCCAGCAGCACATCAAAAAGCTTATCCACCATGATCAAGTGGGCTTCATCCCTGGGATGCAAGGCTGGTTCAATATATGCAAATCAATAAATGTAATCCAGCATATAAACAGAGCCAAAGACAAAAACCACATGATTATCTCAATAGATGCAGAAAAAGCCTTTGACAAAATTCAACAACCCTTCATGCTAAAAACTCTCAATAAATTCAGTATTGATGGGACATATTTCAAAATAATAAGAGCTATCTATGACAAACCCACAGTCAATATCATACTGAATGGGCAAAAACTGGAAGCATTCCCTTTGAAAACTGGCACAAGACAGGGATGCCCTTTCTCACCACTCCTATTCAACATAGTGTTGGAAGTTCTGGCCAGGGCAATTAGGCAGGAGAAGGAAATAAAGGGTATTCAATTAGGAAAAGAGGAAGTCAAATTGTCCCTGTTTGCAGATGACATGATTATATATCTAAGTTGCTATTTTATCCAATAGCTCCTTGAAAAACAAAGCCAATGTATGCATATTCACGTTTATCTCATTTGAATAACCAATGTCAACAAAACATATACCTCTGGTGCCCAATGGTAACAAAGAGGAGCAATGAGTCACTGTGGTTTATCCCAATTCTATCACTCTTTCCTGCTTCCAGTAGTTCCTGGAGCAGCCAAAAATCAAATCATCCCTTATGCAAATATTCTAAATGCATCTGAAGTGAGTTCACTTAATCTAAGAGTTATAATTTTAAAAATCATTTTATTTATACTCATGAAGACTCCTGATGTTTTTACATTTCCTGGATTCAGCAGTTCGACTTTCTCACTGTCTCTTCGTCCACTTTTGCAAAAACATACACATCAATGAAATAATGTGTAATCAGATTCCTATGAAAATAAACTAAACAAAGTTTCTAAATCACTAGAGACTTCTTTTCTTATAAATAACCAACCAATATGACATAATACATATATATACATATGTCATGATTGTCATGATTATTGGCAGTTATCTGTTTAGTACTCTTAAAATACATTCTTTGATTCCTTTTTTTTTTAAATCTAGTTTCACATGATATACCATCGGGGTCTCTCAGGTTCTTTTACAAAATAACTACCTCAGCAAACACAGCTTTCAAAAAAAAACCAAAAAACAAAAATCTGATGTGAACAAAGCATGTATCACTGATGTGCAAAACTTCTAGGGAGAAGAAATGAGACCCTGTGGGTTACCCTCATCCTTCTAACTTCTGCTTCTGCTTTCCATTAAGCGACTTCCCACAAGTCTCCTCATCAGAAACCTCCAAATTACCTCACTAGCTGCTTTCTTTGTTTACACCTGCCCAATTTGACATACACTCTTTTTTGTTCATAAATCTAACATCCATATTGGTGGACTTGATTCTTTGACCTCCACATTCGTTTCTTCATTATTTTCACCACCACTGTATGTGACATCTGTACAATCCCATTCTGACACATGTGAGGATAAGGTTTTGCTTTATTAAAATGTTAAATGTGTCAGACACTTGACTAACGTGTACAAATTCCTTCTTCACAAAAGCAGCCCCATGGCCTCCTCTCTCCCATAGACACTCTTTCACAGCTGTTCTTCACTCACATCGGTTTGAGTATCTATCATCTCTCATTTTGTCTCTATGCTTTCACCTCATATTATGAGTTATTATCATAGGCTCAGCAGCCTATCCTACCTGTTTTCCTCTCCAGCAGACAGTACTGAGCAATAAACTAGAATTTTCCAGGATATGAACACTTTTATGTACACAACACTTTGTGGAGCTATTTTATGTTTAACTACCCATAACACCACTATGTCTATGCTTTCCAGAGAAACAAGCTCTGAAATTTTATTCAATATAACCTATTTAGAAACTTCTTTAACTACAATGACAGTCTCTCCTTGATGCACCAAAATCTTCAGAAATAACTTGTGAAGACTTGAAAACATGTCAGTAATTGACATGAAAAATGAAGCACTGACATAATTTTTTGCAGGTATAAAAAAGACAAGCTGAGATCCTTACTAGATCCAAGAAGAGCAAAGTACATTAGACAGGAAATAAATATGGAACAGAAACATTTTCATTTGTAATGAAAATTCCTCTATTTACAGTTTTCAGAAGAGAAAAAAATACACACACATACACACACACACACACACACACACACATTCACACACAAAAACCAGAGCAATATGGCTTTACGGGGTGTTTCTTCATCAAAGTCCTATTTGCCATTTGACATCTGGGAACACTCTATAGGGATCAACAAAGGGGTTCTAAATTGTGATCTGAGTAGTTTAGAGTTTAACATTCATGAAGGGGAGCCAAGAGGACAAGTAACACTTTGACCATTGGCCATTTCCACTCCTTACTGTTAGTCTCTGAAAAGCACACACTGGATTTTCTCAGAGTCAGGACATGTCAAAAAGACATGCTTTAAGGGGGAAACAGGTGCAATCAACACAGCCATGGGAGAGATACAGCTATGCTTGCTAGGATTTCCAATACTTCTGTTTCATTTCTAATATAGTACAAATCAATAAAAGCAACCACATAAGCATATCCATGTTGGTATGTCATCATATTTAAGTCTATATGGTATCGGCATGAAGAGAGCATAATATGCTGTAGTCATCACATGGCATATCATGAGATCATACAATAAATCAAGAAATACCTCACTGGGTCAATGTGGATAGATCTGAAATATATATCACTGATTTTACAAAGACCAAGTTGCATTCATTAAGTGCACTGCCTGAACTTTTCTACAAGTTTTTAATATACAAAATCAAGTCCTACATGTTATCTATGAATGTGCACATGTGTTGTAAGAGGTTTTTAATGTGCATTTGGGTGATTTTTTTAAATTAATTCAAGCTCTTGATTACATGTCAGCAGTAAGCTTCAGTATTATAGGAAACCCAAAACCGTAACAGCTCAGAATCACCGTCTTAAAAGGCTGTGTCTACCAAAGAGTCAGGAAAGCATGACCACTTACTTTCTTCATTTTTGAAACTCAGAGGTACCTCATGCACACTCCCAAATAAAACTGCACAAGTTCCTTAGTTTAATTAGATCCCATTTGTCAATTCTGGCTTTTGTTGCCATTGCTTTTGGTGTTTTAGTCATGAAGTCTTTGCCCATGCCAATGTCCTGAATGGTATTGCCTAGATTTTCTTCTAGGGTTATTATGGTTTTAGGTCTCACTTAAACGTTTAAGTCTTTAATTTATCTTGAGTTAATTTTTGTTTTTTTTGTTTTTGTTTTTTTTTTTACAGAACACTTTTTTTTTTTAATTATACTTTAAGTTTTAGGGTACATGTGCACATTGTGCAGGTTAGTTACATATGTATACATGTGCCATGCTGGTGCGCTGCACCCACTAACTCGTCATCTAGCATTAGGTATATCTCCCAATGCTATCCCTCCCCCCTCCCCCCACCCCACCACAGTCCCCAGAGTGTGATATTCCCCTTCCTGTGTCCATGTGATCTCATTGTTCAATTCCCACCTATGAGTGAGAATATGCGGTGTTTGGTTTTTTGTTCTTGCGATAGTTTACTGAGAATGATGATTTCCAATTTCATCCATGTCCCTTCAAAGGACATGAACTCATCATTTTTTATGGCTGCATAGTATTCCATGGTGTATATGTGCCACATTTTCTTAATCCAATCTATCATTGTTGGACATTTGGGTTGGTTCCAAGTCTTTGCTATTGTGAATAGTGCCGCAATAAACATACGTGTGCATGTGTCTTTATAGCAGCATGATTTATAGTCCTTTGGGTATATACCCAGTAATGGGATGGCTGGGTCAAATGGTATTTCTAGTTCTAGATCCCTGAGGAATCGCCACACTGACTTCCACAATGGTTGAACTAGTTTACAGTCCCACCAACAGTGTAAAAGTGTTCCTATTTCTCCACATCCTCTCCAGCACCTGTTGTTTCCTGACTTTTTAATGACTGCCATTCTAACTGGTGTGAGATGGTATCTCACAGTGGTTTTGATTTGCATTTCTCTGATGGCCAGTGATGATGAGCATTTTTTCATGTGTTTTTTGGCTGCATAAATGTCTTCTTTTGAGAAGTGTCTGTTCATGTCCTTCGCCCACTTTTTGATGGGGTTGTTTGTTTTTTTCTTGTAAATTTGTTTGAGTTCATTGTAGATTCTGGATATTAGCCCTTTGTCAGATGAGTAGGTTGCAAAAATTTTCTCCCATTTTGTATTGCCTGTTCACTCTGATGGTAGTTTCTTTTGCTGTGCAGAAGCTCTTTAGTTTAATTAGATCCCATTTGTCAATTTTGTCTTTTGTTGCCATTGCTTTTGGTGTTTTGGACATGAAGTCCTTGCCCATGCCTATGTCCTGAATGGTAATGGCTAGGTTTTCTTCTAGGGCTTTTATGGTTTTAGGTTTAAATCTTTAATCCATCTTGAATTGATTTTTGTATGAGGTGTAAGGAAGGGATCCAGTTTCAGCTTTCTACATATGGCTATGTAGAAAGTTTTCCCAGCACCATTTATTAAATAGGGAATCCTTTCCCCATTTCTTGTTTTTGTCAGGTTTGTCAAAGATCAGATAGTTGTAGATATGCAGCGTTATTTCTGAGGGCTCTGTTCTGTTCCATTGATCTATAGCTCTGTTTTGGTACCAGTACCATGCTGTTTTGGTTACTGTAGCCTTGTAGTATAGTTTGAAGTCAGGTAGTGTGATGCCTCCGTTAATTTTTGTATAAGGTGTAAGGAAGGGGTCCAGTTTCAGTTTCCTGCATAAGGCTAGCCAGTTTTCCCAACATCATTTATTAAATAGGTAATCTTTTCCCCACTGATTGCTTTTTGTCAGGTTTGTCAAAGATCATACGGTTGTAGATGTATGGTGTTGCTTCTGAGGCCTCTGTTCTATTCCATTGGTCTATATCACTGTTTTGGTAGCTGTACCATGCTGTTTTCATTACTATAGCCTTGTAGTGTAGTTTGAAGTCAGGTAGCGTGATGCCTCCAGCTCTGTTCTTTTTACTTACAATTGTCTTGGCTATATGGGCCCTTTTTTTGTTCCATATGAAATTTCCAGTAGTTTTTTCTAATTCTGTGAAGAAAGTCAATGGTAGTCTATAGCATTGAACCTATAAATTACTTTGGGCAGTATGGCCATTTTCATGATATTGATTCTTCCTATCCATGAGCATGGAATGTTCTTCCATTTGTTTGTGTCCTCTCTTATATCCTTGAGCAGTGGTTTGTAGTTCTCCCTGAAGAGGTCTTTCTCATCCCTTGTGAGTTGTATTCCTAGGTATTTTATTCTCTTTGTAGCAATTGTGAATGGGCGTTCACTCACGATTTTGCTATTTGTCTTTTATCGGTGTATAGGAATGCTTGTGATTTTTGCACACTGATTTTGTATCCTGAGACTTTGCTGATGTTGCTTATCAGCTGAAGGAGATTTGGGGCTGAGACAATTTGGTTTCCTAAATATACAATCATGTTATCTGCAGAGACAATTTGACTTCCTTTCTTCCTATTTGAATACCCTTTATTTTTTCCTCTTGTCTGATTGCCCTGGCCAGAACTTCCAATACTATGATCAGAGTGAACAAGCAACCTACAGAACAGGAGAAAATGTTCGCAATCTCTCCATCTGACAAAAGGCTAATATCCAGAATCTAAAAGGAACTTAAACAAATTTATGAGAAAAGAACAAACAACCTCATCAAAAAGTGGGTGAAGGATATGCTCAAAAGAAGACATTTATTCAGCCAGTAAACACATGAAAAAAAGGCTCATGATCACTGATCATTAGAGAAATGCAAATCAAAACCACAATGAGATACCATCTTATGCCAGTTAGAATGGTGATCATTAAAAACTCAGGAAACAACAGATGCTGGAGAGGATGTGGAGAAATAGGAACGCTTTTATATTGTTGGTGGGAGTGTCAATTATTTCAACCACTGTGGAAGACAGTGTGGTGATTCCTCAAGGATCTAGAACAAGAAACACCATTTGACCCAGCAATCCCATTACTGAATACATACCCCAAAGATTAAAAATCATTCTACTATAAAGACACATGCACATGTATGTCTATTGCAGCACTATTCACAATAGCAAAGACTTGGAACCAACCCGAATGCCCATCAGTGATAGACTGGATAAAGAAAATGTGGCATATACACATCATGGAATACTATGCAGCCATAAAAAAGGATGAGTTCATGTCCTTTGCAAAGACATGGATGAAGCCTGAAACCATTATTCTCAGCAAACTAACACAGGAAAAGAAAACCAAATGCCACATTTTCTCACTCATAAGTGGGAGTTGAACAATGAGAACACATGGACACAGGGAGGGGAACATCACACACCGGGGCCTGTCAGGGAGATGGGGTCCTAGGGGAGGGACAGTATTATTAGAAATACCTAATGTAGCTGATGGGTTGATGGGCACAGTAAACCACCATGGCACATGTATGCCTATGTAAAAAACCTGCATGTTCTTCACATGTATCCCAGAACTTAAGGTATAATACAAAGCAAACAAACCAACATTAATTCAGGTTGTTGGTTACCTGTAGGCAATGAATTGTAGTAGTATCAAAGACTCTAAGGCTAAAACAGCTCAGAGTCATTGCTTTAAAACCCTGTATCTACCAAAGAGTCACGAAAAAATGATTAATGACTTTATTCATTTTCCAGAATCAGAGGTATCACACACACCCAAACTCACAAACAAAAGCGCACACACACATACACATGCAGAAATTCAAGCTGGTAATCAGAGCATGTGATTGGGTGAAGACTCGAAGGTTCTCAGTGTGACAACACCGACATAAAGAAGATGAAGTTCTAACACAATTGTAATGTCAGCTGGTATAGCTTTTCTCTAGGTAAAGGACAGTATTGCAACCAGAAATTGAAGCACTGAAAAATATTTATAGTTTCAAAATTCATCTCCTTGAACCCCTAACATGCACACAAATTCCACATTGGGATCTTTATCACAACCTAAAAGGAAAAGCATCTGAGCTAGAGCTCACATTTTTAAAATTTCTTTTCCTTGTTCTTCTAAATATCATTTTATAAGCATAGACACTAACAACAGCATCAGCATCATTTAGATCAAATCCTTCTATCTTATTGGGGTAAAAGAAGTAAGAATCAGAAGGCTATGAACATTTCCAGTATATTCATGTCCTTCTTTCCAGATGAAATTTGTATTGGCAAATTTACCTTTTCCTGGAGGTGGTGAATCCTTCCTTCTCATGGCTGCTTTTGAACTGGGATCTGCCTCTTTCAGAGTAAGCTGAATGGGTTTTACAACATAATGATTAATATGTCATGTATATATCACAAAGCATTTTGTTAATTAAAAATGAAAATATATTTGTTTACCGTGGATAAAGGAGGTCGCTCAGAAGATTCTACAAAGCAAAAGGGACACATAATTAAGTTTTCATAAAACATGTAGTCCAGATTTCAAGAGAGAGATTAGGTTTCACATGACTACAACTAACACAGGAAAGTACTTCTACCAATGTGATCCTCTTAACTGAAGCCAAAAAATGTGATGTCAAAAGAAAGGACCAAATAGGACCCCAGAAGGATAAATGTCAAAGCCCATGGTAGAATACTATGGTGTACCCTGAAGAAAATCACCCAAGAACCATTTATACTATAATACTACAATAGTTCTCCTGTTCTTCATTTTGTCCTCTAACTTAAAAACTATCAATTTCATTAAAATCTATCATTCACTTCTGCTTGCAGGATGTATTCTCAGTTCATTAGTTCAGATATCTACATACAGAAGCATAGTTAACAAAAATACTCATGTTGTCCACAGTCATGCACGCTTCTGGTGTTTTTCCATTTCCTGGATTCTCAACTTTAGCCCTCCTGCCATCTCTTCATTCACTTATGCAAAAAAGTATACATTACACTCCAAATACCTAATGTGTAATTAGATTCCCATAAAACAAATCTAACCAAAATATTTGAAACATCAGAGGCTTTTTTCATGTTAATCAAAATATTTGCCATGATTATCGACAGTTACATTTTAACAAACCCGCACATTGTGCACATGTACCCTAAAACTTAAAGTATAATAATAAAATAAATAAATAAATAATACTTAAGAAATATATTTCTTGATTGTTTTGCTTCCACAGTCAGTTTGACATGCAGTGCATCACATTTTGCTAACATGAAGCACCTGTCCTATTGTTGCTGTGTGACCCCTACAGAGAGAAGAATTGAGTCCCTGTGGTTTACTCTCATTCTTCCACCTCTGCTTCCATTAATCTCTGAAGCAACAATAATCCAATATTCTGTTCGAGTGCGAATATACCAGGTCCACATAAAGTCAGTGTTCTCAGGTTTCCTCATCAGAAACCCCCAAACACCTAGCCAGCTGCTATCTTTATTTACACCATCCCACCCCACTTGTACTCTTTTTTGTTGATAAATCTAATCTCACTATCTGGTCTTCATTCTTTGCCTTCCACATTTTGTTCTTCATTATTCTCACCACCCCTGTGATCAAACCAGTAAAATCTCATTTTTATAAATATGAAGATATGGTTTTCCTTTATTAGAATATAAAAGTTACAGAAAATGGACTAACTTGTACAAATTCCTTCTTCACAACAGCAGCCCCATGTCCTCCTCTCTCCCATAGACACAGTTTCATAGTTTCTATTCACTCACATCAGTTTCATCGAGTATCAACTCTCATTTTATCTTTACGGCTTTATTTTACATGAGGGTTATTATCAAAGACTCAGCAAACTATGTTACATATTTTCTTCTACACAAGAGATTACTGAGCAGTAAATAAGAATTTCTTTGGATATAAACACTTTTATGTACACAAACTTTTTGTGAAGCTAATTTATGGTTAAATACACATTACACCATTATGTGTTATGTGTTCCAGATAAACAGAACTCTAAAATTTTATTAAACATATTTAATTTTAAAACTTCTGCAATTACAATGACATAGTCTCTGCTCAATGCAGCAACATCTTCAGAAATCACTTGTGAAGACTTGGGAAAATGTCAGTCATTTACATGAAAAATGAGAGCATTAAGTGACAACACTGCTTGCTGGTATAAATAAGACAAGGCTAGATCCTTACCAGATTCAAAGAGATCAGAGTGCCATGGACAGAAACAAATATATAAAACAGAAAGATTTTCATTTCTACCAAAAATTCATGTATTTAAAGTTTTCAGAAAAGCACAAAATACAGGAAAACACAGCGGTGAGGCATTATAGAGCATTTCTTTATCTGGAGACTATCATTTGACACCTGGAAACCCTTTATAGGGCCCAACAAAGGGGTTCTAAACTGTGATTTGATCATTCCTGGAGTTCATCATCTATGTAAGGAAGCCAAGGTACCAAATGATACTTTGGCCATTTCTTCTTTCCAATGTCATTCTCTGAAAAGCATACACTGGAGTTTTTCAGCTATGGCAGTGTATACAGCTATACTCGGGGTATCTGAAATACTTCTATTTAATTTCTTTATAGTACAAATCAATAAAGGCAACCACATAAGCAAATCTATGTTGGTATGTCATCATATTTATGTTCATTTTGTATCAGCATGAAGAGATTTTAATTAATTGTGGTGCAGTCATAAAACAAATCAAATATGTGGTGCAGTCATAAAACAAATCAAAGATGACCAAACTGTGTCAACCTGGACAGATCTGAAATATATTCCACTGATTACAAAAGCCGAGTTGCAGCTATTATGTACACTGTGTGAAATCGTATAGAAGACTTGATACTTGGAAACAGATTCCACATATTACCTATGAAAGTGCAAGTATCTTGTAAAGTATTTTTAATGTGCATTGCAGTGACTTAAAAGTAAAAACGTTAATTCAGGCTGTTGGTTACCTGTAGGCAATAAATAGTAGTAGAAGAAAATATTCTAAGGCCAAAACAGCTCAGAATCATTGTTTTAAAACACTGTATCTACCAAAGAGTTACAAAAGAATGATTAATCATTTTATTCATTTTTAATCAGAGATACACACACACACACATGCAGAAACTCAATCCGGTAATCAGAAGATGTGATTAAGATTCTCAATGTAACAACGCTGAAATAAAGGCGTTGAAGTTCTAAAACAATTGTAAAGTCAGCAGGTATAGCTTTTCTCTAGATGAAGAAGACAGAAGAGTATTGCAATCAATTTTGAAGCACTGAAAATATTTAGTGTCAAAATACACCTCCTCAAATCCCTAACATGCACAGGAATTCAAAACTGGGATCTTTAGCTGATGACAACTTTAAAGGAAAAGCATTTGGGCTAGAGCTCACCGTGTAAAATGTCCGCCTTATGCCTTAAAAATCATTTTATAAACAAAGATATTAACAAGAACATCAGCATATTTACATCAAATCCTTCCATCTCACTTGGATAAAAAGTGGGAATCAAAAAACTATGAGCATTTTCAATATTTTCATCTACATTTTCTAGAACGAAATTTGTAGCGGCAAATTTACCTTCACTGGAAGTTAGTGAATCCATACCTCCTAAGAATCTAGTTGAAATGTGATCTCTGTCTTTCACCGTATGCTGAATGGGTTTGACAACATAATGATTAACATATCATGTATATATCACAGAGCATTTTGTTAATAATTAAAGAAAATATGTTTACCGTGAATAAAGGCGGTTGCTCAGGAGACACTACAAAGCAAAAGGAACACATAATTGACTACAGGTAAATATGACACAGCCTACCATCAATCATGCAGTGTTTGTATCCAGCTGAAATCTTCGTGCTTGCCCTTGAAATTGTTACCCATTAGGCTTTGGGTTGCTTTGCTCTTGTTTTGGTTAGCAAACAAACATGACAGGAATATACACATGAAAAATCACAATATAGATTCTATAAAACATGCAGTCCAGATTGCAAGGGTGAGATTAGGTTTCACATGACTACAAGTAACATAGAAAAGTATTTCTACCAATGTGAATCAGCTGGATGAAGCCAAAAAAGATGACGTCAAATGAGAGAACCAAAGCGGACCCCAGAAGAATAAATGTTAGAAACTATGAAGTTGCAATGAGAGTGCATGAAAATGTATCATTCGCGGCCGGGCGCGGTGGCTCACGCCTGTAATCCCAGCACTTTGGGAGGCCGAGGCGGGCAGATCACAAAGTCAGGAGATGGAGACCATCCTGGCTAACACGGTGAAACCCCGTCTCTACTAAAAATGCGTAAAATTAGCCGGGTGTGGTGGCAGGCGCCTGTAGTACCAGCTACTCAGGAGGCTGAAGCAGGAGAATGGCGTGAACCCGGGAGGCGGAGTTCGCAGTGAGCCGAGATCCCGCCACTGCACTCAAGCCTGGGTGACAGAGTGAGACTCCGTCTCAAAAAAAAAGAAAAGAAAATGTATCATTCGCTTCTGCTGGCAGGAAATGCTCTCAATCATTACTTTAGATATCTACTTGGAGAAAAATCGTTTCTAAAAATACTCATGTCATCCACAGTCATGAAGGCTTCTGATATTTTCAACTTCTGGATTCTCAACTTTAGTTCTCTTGCCATCTTTTCATTCACTTATGCAAAAAAAAAAGTATGCATTACACATCAAATAACTAATGAGTACTCAGATTTTCATTTACAAAATGTAACCAAAAATCTCTGAATCACCATTGACTTTTTTTTCATAACAATCAACTTTCTTTTTTTTATTTTTGACATGGAGTCTTGCTCTGTTGCCTAGGCTGGAGTGCAGTGGCACAATCTCGGCTCACAGCAACCTCCGCCGCCTGGGTTCAAGTGATTCTCCTGCCTCAGGCTCCCTAGTAGCTGGGACTACAGGCACATGCCACCACGCCTGGCTAACTTTTTGTATTTTTAGTAGAGATGGGGTTTCACCATGTTAGCCAGGATGGTCTCCATCTCCTGACCTCATGATCCTCCCGCCTCAGCCTCCCAAAGTGCTGGGATTACAGCCGTGAGCCACCGTGCCCGGCTTAATCAACTTTTACCTATCAAAATATTTGCCATGATTATTGACAGTTACACTTTTAGTACTCAAGAAAGAAATTTCTCGTTTGTTTTTTTCTAAAGTCAGTTTGATATGCTATAGCATAGCAGCCTCTGAGGTACATTTATACAATGGCTATTTCATCAAAAACAGCACTGTTTTTAAAGAAAACTGCCAATGTTTTGATATCCAAGTGCATCCCAGTTCACTAACAAACATGAATGAAGCGCATATCATTGATGTGTAACCCCTATAGAGAGAAGAAATGAGTTCCTGTGGTTTCCTGTCGTTTTTCTACCCTCTGCTTCCAGTAAGCTCCAAAGCAGCAATAATTTAATCTTCTCTTTGAGTGGGAATATACTGAGTCTACATAAAGTGAGTTCCCTCAAGTTTCCTCATCAGAAACCTCCAAATTACCTAGCCAGCTGCTTTCTTAATTTACACCATCCCACCTCACATTTTTTTGTAAATATACTAATGTCCATTTCTCAACAATGAACATTATATTTTGATCTACAAGTTTAAGTGTTCACCAAAGTTTTAAGAAAAAGTATGTTTAAATTAAATTATATTTACTATTAAAAATTAATAAATTATATTTATAATTTAATTAAAATTAGGCTTATAATTTAATGTAATTTAACAATTAATTTAATTTTAAATTTATTTTAAATTATATTTAAATTAGTTATATTTATTTTCAAAAATTATATTAAAGCATAGAAAATTATTCAGCTATATTCACTACCTCACCACCTTTGTTTCTTTGTACACAAAAAATAACATTATCATTATTTCATTGCTCTCATGGAGCACTTTTTATAATACCAATACCATTTGCTTTTTGTCCAGTTGCTGGTAGTGCTTTTCCTTCCTATTAAAAAAAAAAAAGAAATCTTCAGAAAATGTTATATTTACTACTCAATCAGTCAGTAATTCAAGAAACATTTTCTGTGTCTATAAATTCATAAGGTCTATACTGGAAAATCTGATAATATGAATAAAATACTAATTTTATTTATTTATCAAGTGAAAAAAGAAACTTATAAAAACAAAAGCAGAAAGACACAATTCATTATTTCTACAACTCAAGTCAATAAAATACAGTGACAGCACAAAGGCAATAACACTTATTTCTACTTGGGAAGCTTCTGAGACACTGCAAATTTAGGGTCCTATTTTTAAAATAGACAAGTGAAGACTAAGAGTGTGAAGTGTTTCTAGTGAGGGCAGCATGTGCAAAAAAATGAAACAGCATAGCCAATAAGAACTACCACAATAACGTGGTAAAACTTGGGCACAGACAGAGAAAGTGGAGTGGAGAGATAAAATGGGAGAAACAGGCCAAACCGCAAAATAAGTGTTATGCTAGAATGTAAATGTTTCTTTCGTGTAATGAGGGTCCAGCCATAAGCAGATGAGTTAGATCAAAGTAAACATGTTTAAGAAAGGTCACCCTGAAAGACATATACAGATAAACATGGGGAGAAGAGAGAAACAAAAACGAACATTCCAAAAGTATAGGGCAGACAGTGTATTACAGTAATAAGATATGAGAAATGGTTAAAGGTATTTTAAAGGTATTTTAAAGGTAGAAAATACAAAATTTGGTGAGTCACTGGATTGGCAATGTGAGGGAAACCTGGAGTGCAGTTTTTCTGCTTCAATGTTTCATTGCTACTTTCTTGGTGTTATTTACTAAAATTGGGAAGCCAGATGACAGAGTAGATTACAAAGAGTCAGGAAAGAATCTGGAAGGCAGTTTGAGACCTGTCAAATTTGAGGCACAAAGGGGACTTAGAAGACTGATCTGGGTAAATACATTTGGAGTAGAAATAGATGACCTTACTCAAAAAAACCATATGTTGTTGAGAAGGTCAACATTTGTAAAATATACTAAACTGGTAGGATTCGATAATTTAAACCTATGAAGAACCCTGAAGTTTTGAAAATAAAAAGAAAACAAAATATGGGATTCAAAATTTCAATTATATATTTCTATACTGGATTAAAAGATATAAAATATATTTTCTTAATGTATGCAGACATTTATTTCTGGAATATTATGGTCATCTGCACTTTTGAACTTAATGAAAACAGTTATCTAAAGGAATAATTCAAGTTATCCTAAGAAAGCTCATTTTTAAAAAATCATCTTAAAAGTTTTTAACTTGTATGAATGTTTATTCTATTATGGAATTATAAGGCATTTTAAGTACTACTAAAATATAAGAGAGAAATGTAAAACCTATTTTAAAGTTCATATGGTTTTCTGATTCTCCTGTAAATGATATACTAATAGCTCTAATTGCCTACTTATGCCATAAAGATAATAGTTAAAAATCAGAGAAAGGATCAAGTAAAATAATCATGTCACCATGCAAGCTGAAGATTTACATGTCTTCAAATACACTATGCCTGTCAGTCAGGACCCAATACTCACATGAAGAGAGAAGAAATTTATTTGAAACATCAAGTCAAAAGGATTCCTGAGCTTTAGAGCTGAATAAATTTATGTGCAAGGTATAACAACTATAAATACTAAAGTTAATAATGCTTCCAGAGAATAACACAAAATGTCCCAACTGTAGGAGATAATTTTAAAAGTAAAAAGTAATATTCCAGAGATAATTCTGTGTACTCTGTTGGCAATATTTCTTTCCTTACGATTCTATAAAAATAGGTACTTTGTTTAGAAAACAATCATGAGTGTTGACTGCATTCATCACATGTATGTTCTTAAGTACAGATGTTATCAGCACAAGGTAAGTCAGACTAGCTCCAGAAATAAGTAATAATTTATTTCTTTAAGAGGGTTCCAGGTTAAAAATATATTTTTTCTCATTCAATGAATATAAATTAGAAACCTCCTATAAAATTAACCAGAAATGGCTAGGCGTGGTGGCTCACGCCTGTAATCCCAGCACTTAGGGAGGCCGAGGCGGGCAGATCACGAGGTCAGGAGATCGAGACCATCCTGGCTAACACAGTGAAACCCCGTCTCTACTAAAAATATTAAAAAAATTAGCCGGGCGTGATGGCGGGCGCCTATAGTCCCAGCTACTCGCGAGGCTGAGGCAGGAGAATGGCGTGAACCCGGGAGGTGGAGCTTGCAGTGAGCCGAGATCGCCCACTGCCCTCCAGCCTGGGCGACAGAGCGAGACTCCGTCTCAAAAAAAAAAATTAACCAGAAATTTTAATTTTTATTAATTTATGTATTAATTAATTTTTATTATTTTTTATTATTTAATTACTTATTTATTTTCCCTCTTATTATCAAAAAAGGCTAAAACAGCTCCAAGATTATGGAAAAGTGAAATAAATTAGTTAAGCAACTTAGGAGTATACCAAATATTACTTTAAAAAACTTTTAACAAGAGTCAAAAAGTAATGATTCATTCAAAATCTGATATAGCCTAAAACACATTTTATTTTGCATTATCTATGAACACAGCATTCACTAGATAAAATATAAGACATCACTTTACTGAAATTTAAAAAAGTGAGGATGAAATTTTCTTTCCATTTAGAATTTTTAAATTAATAAATAGATGCATATATTTTCAGTGTACGTGTGATGATTTGATCCATCTATATAATCTAATGAGGGTAACAGAGATACACATTACCTTAAATATGTATGTTTTATTTAAACTAGAAATATTGAAGTTATTCTCTCCTGGCTATTTTTAAATGTAAAACAGAATGTTAAATACAGTCACCCATAAATTTTCTTCCAATCCTTTATTAAAATCACCCGTAAGTCACTCAGAAGAATCTGAGAATTTTTCAATTACTTGGCTTTCTTTTCTTAATCTATATTTAAAATAATTCTATAATTTGATATGGAGACATTCTACTGTCATTTAAATTCACTGTTTTTGAGGTGTTTTATACTAATCTTTGTCATCTTGACACTCTTATTCAACTCTGTATTCTTACTTCTTTCCCCTCCTCACCTTTGTATTTGTGGAGCTGTTCTTTCAGGTTGCTTTCTACTTCTTTCCTTCCCTAATGGCAAACCTAAGAATCATTTACTCCCATGACCTTTTAGGAATCCTAGTCCCATGCATACATTTCCCTTGTTGTCACACTTCTTTTCTATTATTACCTTGAGAACTTCCATTCCTTTATAGGATCCTTGTCATCGTTATAAAGACAGGGAGATGGCAAGTGAATAAAGCACGGGAAAAATATTTTCCAAATAAAACAATTTACCATTGTAAAACTAAAGATCATTAACAGATAAGAGTGAGTTGGTGAACAGGACTGGACTCTGATTATTCTATGTTGGCTTTTAACCACATCTTCATTTACCTTATCAACATTTTGGTCTTCAAACATGTTTCCATTTTCTGTTTTGTCAATGCCACATGCAGCATCTACTACAGTAAAAACAAAGTCAAGAGTAGATGAAATGCATGTAATTAAGAATCAAGAAATAAGAACCGGGTGTGGGGGCTCACAGCTTTAATCCCAGCAGTTTGGGGGGCCAATGCAGGCAGATCATATGAGGTCAGGTGTTCAAGACCAGCCTGGCCAACATGGTGAAACTCCATCTCTACCAAAAATACAAAAATAGCCAGGTGTGGTGGTGCACACCTGTAATCCCAGCTACTCAGGAGGCTGAGGCAGGAGAATCACTTGAACCCAGGAGGTAGAAGTTGCAGTGAGCCAAGATCATGCCACTGCACTCCAGCCTGGGCAACAGTGAGTAACACTCTGTCTACAAAAAATAAGAAAGAAAAAGAAAGAAAAAAAAAGATTCAGTAGATAATATAATAGTCAGGTTTCAAATAGCTTACAATTTTCTGCAGATTGTTGAGAAATAGTCCTTCTGTTCGTAAAGTATGGTTCTGAAATATTCTAGAAGACACAATAGGTTTAAGAATAACATGCAGCAAGTTAAAATAATGATAATTGCCACCATTACTACATGATCTAACACAAAAAGGATGGACTTTGAAGTCACTCATATGTAGATTCAAACCTCAAGTCTGCCATTTACTTATCTACATATTCACATGGGATGATGATTATGATTGGTGATACAGATATTCTCAAAATGTTACTCCTTTCAACCCCAGTTGAGTTATTATACAAATACTATGATATCCATTAGTTTCTTTTATTAACCACAACAAACTGGGAAAAAAATTTACTCATCTGTAATTTAGAGTATGACTGAACAAAACTAATAATAAAAAGTCAATTAATCACTTTATTTTTCAAAATACTTAGGCATGATATATATTTGTGTGAATTACTTTCTGCGGGAAAAAATGTGAGAATGTAGTTTTTAGTAGTACTATCTTTAAACAGTGTAAGTTGCTTCTATTCTGTGTGTCAAAAGCTAAAAACAAATTATTGTATAACCTCCGCTCCTTCCAAAAAAGACAGAACAAAGCAACCATCCACCTTATGGAGCAATGATTCATGAATGAAGGCCACACATAGTTACTAAATAGAAAGTTGTAACTAAGTATCCTGACAACAGAAACAGAGGTGAAATGAAAGAATAGACACTAAAGACATGCGGTCTGCAAGGAAAATATTAGACTGAGGTAAGTTATTTTTAAACAAAGGGGAAGGAGGGAGCAACAAACAAAAAAAGAGACATGACCAGTCAATCAAATATGAGCTTAAAAGAAAAGCTTGTGTTCATAATATATGCCTAATAATACTGGTTAGCATTTATTCGACAATTTGTTTTGTGTAAATACTTATGTAATAAAAAGTTTAATTTGTTTACTATAAAATAACACATCCCAAGAATTAACCATGATCATTCACCTGAAAGCTGAAACATTCTTACTACAAACAGAGAGAGAGAGAGAGAGAGGAAAAAAAAACAAAAACCAATAAAATTCCAGCAACTTAACACCTGGAGAAAGGATTTTTATTCAGAATTCGAAAGAGTAATGTATGTCCTTGAACAGACACTTCTCAAAAGAAGACATTTATGCAGCCAAAAAACACATGAAAAAAACGCTCACCATCACTGGCCATCAGAGAAATGCAAATCAAGACCACCATGAGATACCATCTCACACCTGTTAGAATGGTGATCATTAAAAAGTCAGGAAACAACAGGTGCTGGAGAGGATGTGGAGAAATAGGAACACTTTTACACTGTTGGTGGGACTGTAAACTAGTTCAACCATTGTGGAAGTCAGTGTGGCGATTCCTCAGGGATCTAGAACTAGAAATACCATTTGACCCAGCCATCCCATTACTGGGTATATACCCAAAGGACTATAAATCATGCTGCTATAAAGACACATGCACACGTATGTTTATTGCGGCACTATTCACAATAGCAAAGACTTGGAACCAACCCAAATGTCCAACAATGATAGACTGGATTAAGAAAATGTGGCACATATACACCATGGAATACTATGCAGCCATAAAAAATGATGAGTTCATGTCCTTTGTAGGGACATGGGTGAAATTGGAAATCATCATTCTCAGTAAACTATCGCAAGAACAAAAAACCAAACACCGCATATTCTCACTCATAGGTGGGAATTGAACAATGAGATCACATGGACACAGGAAGGGGAATATCACACTCTGGGGACTGTTGTGGGGTGGGGGTAGGGGGGAGGGAGAGCATTGGGAGATATACCTGATGCTAGATGACGAGTTAGTGGGTGCAGCGCACCAGCATGGCACATGTATACATATGTAACTAACCTGCACAATGTGCACATGTACCCTAAAACTTAAAGTATAATAATAAAAAAAAAAGAGTAATGTATGTCCTGAAAAATATGTATTTAATAGAACATGGTTGGGGCTTTAAAAATTTAAGAAAATTTAATCTAAAATCCTAATCTAAGCTTCCAGTTGGAAGATATTAGAAAACACGCTGTATCCGCCTTTCCTATTTCCTTTCCATCTTTTCCAATTTTCATTTTCTTCTATAACATATTTTCTCAGGATAACTCACCTCAACTTATAGATTCTCAACATTAGAACAAAAGATAAATTCAGAACATTCAAGACATTTAATAGATTTAATTATTAGATATCTTAGGCATATTATGTTACCTGTAACAGTCCATTAAAAAAAAGCCCATTTCCCTGTTTGTTGATTCACATTAAAAACTAATAAAATATTTCTTACATGCAAGACATTATTCTGGGTGCTTAAGATACATACAAATAGGTTTTCTAGCTTCAAGTGGCTCATAGTAATGCAGGAGTTTTACAATTATTTTTTCAATAACTAAGCACAAAAGCCTCTGAAATTTGAAATTTAGAATGAGATACAAAGACCCTGAGTGGATTTTTTTTAATTACAACGCAGAAACCATGAGAAATTAAAGTCTGATCATAGAAATATGAAGAGTCTCTGCTTATCAAACAGGTTGTTATTTTAAACAAAATGCATATTCTTCAATTAGATAAAGAGTTTAAAGTATACTCTTAATAAAAAAGACTTGGAAAACACACTGTAAACCCTCTCTACTGTAGATCTGAGAACAGAATTTAAATTTCTAATATTCCACAATTTTTTAAATTAGAGATAAGCTCTTGCTGTATTGCCAAGCTTGGTCTTAAACTCCTGGGATTAAGAAATTCTCCTGGCTTGAACTCTTGAGTAGGTGGGACTACAGGCACATGATACCATGTCTAGTTAAATTTCCACAATTTGTAATATTATTTTAGCCTAAATATATAGAACCAAGAATAAAAATAAAGAAGTAGCTCTCTGCAAAAATACTGTATGATGTTAAAATAGGTGTACAAGAAATGAAAAGAAACTATATGCTATGTGTAACAGGGTGATTCCATGATTCCCATAATAAGTCATCTGATGTAACAAAGATTCATTTAAACAGAGGTATTATTAGTCATACTCATATGATATACAACTCAGATTAAAAACACTTACTCAGATAAGCCTAGACCAAAATTTGTATCTCCTCTGTTGTGGGAAAGTGTTCCAAAACCATATTTTCCTGTCACTATGTATTTTCCAGCAATTTTTTTTTCAGATCACACCTCTCAAAGTATTTATCAACTATTTCTTATTTGCAAAGTAAAAAAAAATTAAAATTAACCCCCCCTATTTCTTTAAAATGGTTATCTCTAATAAAAGTTTTAATACTAACATAAAACAATGATAGGTAGACAATTGCTACCTATTATTTGCTAGAAGAAAATAATACAAAAAATGAGATTCAGAATGAGAAAATTAATTTCACAAGAGAGTACTCTACCTCAGATTCCAAAGCAAACTTATCCTTTGTCACAGGCTGTGCAAAACGGTCCAGTAGGTAGAGACACCTACAGAGCAAAAAGATATTACAAAAATGAGCACGTTCATTTCTTAAAAGAAAACAAAAACCGTCAGTCTATACATGCAGGTCCCCTCCAAAAAAAATGGTAAAACAAAGTCTGAGGAAACTCAGTTATCTGCATATTAAATAATATTTCTTGGTATAATTAAGATATGGCTTCCATTTTAGAAAACATTTCAGTTACCTATTTCTGCTGCCACTTCTCCCAACCTATGAAATATCCAATGCAGACTCACCCTTAAACCCATAACAAATAGTGACAGGCATTATAATGGCACAGCCAGACAATAATTTGTCCTTATAAATTATCTACCCTAAAGACTAAACTGAAAATCCAATTGATATCTGACACAACTTTTGTTACTGAACTGCAGTAAACCTGATAACCTAAAACAAGGTAGAAAAGGCACGGTCTCTTCTCCATTATCTATTTCTGATTCAAAGACTAATCTGTGTCACTGGAAAATGGGAGTCTTAGATCTTCAGCATGTAAGCTACTTAAAGAGGGCCCATTGATTCTCTTCACCCTAGAACACTACAGGGAACCCCCTGAAACACTGCAAATGTTTGAAAGCTGAGTGTACAAAAGTCAAAGTACAAATGTACTTTGGGAATATTCTTCACAGAAGATTAAAACATTAAAAATTATAAAATCCAATTATTGTCATTATATAGATCCTGCCTTATTCAGGTCCACAAAAACCAGCAAGCTTAAGAACCTTCATAGACACTCAGATATCCAAGAGAGGGACTAGTGGAAAAGTCTCCCTCCTGAGTACTTAGAGCTTCATTTCATTCATCACTATCTAAATATCTTCCTTCCTATGGGCTCCCCCTTCTGGATCCCTCTTCAGCAGGGATCCATGGCAATCTCCAATCTACATCTTCAAATTTGGCTGTCCCCTGCAAATTCCATTCTTATCCACTTTCATTGGGTTCAACAGCTCATTCAATTCTCATCCTCTTCCACTGTGTTCACTAGAGCCACTCCTGCTTTCTAAAACTAAAATCACTCAATGACAGAATGATGTAAAAGAAGACTGCGTTTTGAACTAAGAAACCTGAGTGCAATTCTCATTTCTCTGATTTACTGTATCCAAATAATTTTCTTTCTTTGAATTTCAGGTTCTCCACCTGAACAACCACTTGATCAGGATGTTGAGCAAGGATTCAAGTATAGAAGATATTTTGTTTAGTCTCTAGGATTTCTTAACATTCTGAAATTCTATGCACCTCTGATTTTGTCTATAGGAAAATGGGGACTACTTAGCTGTCTTAAATGAAAACTATAATAGAAGATCATAAACCCTTAGAAAAGCAGAAAAGAAAGTAAAAAGAAATCAAGAAAATATTATTAAAATGTCACAGAAGGAAAAAAAAGAATCCAGAAAATAAGAAAAAGCTTCAGCAAACTAGGCAGGGTACTCACTTAAAGAGAAAACCTAACTGGGTAGGGAGTAAGTGGAGAAATGAATTAGAAATATCCTTTTAATATATGCTAAATATAGTTAACATAACATGGACTATATTTAGATATTCTCCAAGCACAGTAAGATAATATTTTTCTAGGACTGGCCTGGTCTTGCTTATGAAAAACTTAGGGTCCTGTGGCCACAGATAACTGATAACTGCCTTTAAAATTTGATGGTTAAAAAAAAAAGTAATATGGTTACCACTGCCATTTCAAAATATTTGGAAAAACTTTTGGAGTAGCCAGGCTTCTAAATAACACTCTAAAGACAGTTAATATATAACAAAATGTGACTTTCTGAATTGATCTGATGTAAATAAGTACCATGGCCCCATTGCTGCATAGGCCTCTATCCATCTATGCTTAGGGGCAAATGAAGTGATTTGAGAGCCAGGCAGCATGATGGTCTAATGTTGGGTTGGCTACCTGTTAACTGTGGAATCATGAGCCAATATTTCAACCTCTTTAAAGCAGAGTTGCCTAATTAGTAAAAAAGCAATAACAGCACAAATAGTTTCTAAAGTTGTGTGACATGATAAATGTTAAGCATGTAATATGGTGTCCAGCACAGAGTAGAATACTAAACAAATACTAGTTTCTCTTCTCTCTATTCACTTAGTTAACATATCACTTTAAAAAATCTCTGAAATCATACCTGTCAACAGCCTCTTCAACAGGAGGAAGCACTATTAAAGAAAAAGTAAAATGCATTTTAAATCAACAATAGAACACTATAGAATACTAAAAACATAAAAGAGCACAGTGGCTTGTTCCTATAATCCCAGCTACTCAGAAGGCTGAGGCAGAAGTATCACTTGAGAAGCCAAGGAGTTTGAGACCAGCCTGGGTAACATAGCAAGACTCTATCCTTATAAACATAATAATAATAATCAACAAGGCCTGGTGTGGTGGGTCATGCCTGTAATCCTAGCAGCTTGGGAGGCCTAGGCAGGGGAATCACTTGAGGTCAAAAGTTTGAGACCAGCCTGGACAACATGGTGAAACTCCAAATCCACTAAAAATACAAAAATTAGCCAGGTGTGGTGGTGCACGCCTGTAATCCCAGCTACTCGGGAGGCTAAGGCAGGAGAATCACTTGAACCCAGGAGATGGAAACTGCAGTGAGCCAAGATCGCACCACTGCACTCCAGCCTGTGCTGCAGACTAGTAAGACTGTGTTTCACAAAGAAAAAAAAAAAACAAATGAAGAATCAGTAAATACTACAATAGGCAGCCTTCAAATAACTTACCATCTTTTATAGATCGTGGAGAAATAATCTTTCTCTTTGGGATGTATAGTTTTGAAATAATCTAGAAGAAAAACACAATAGGTTTAAGAATAACATGGAGCAAGTTAAAATAGGATAATACCCACCATTACTACATGATCTAACAGGAAAAGTATGGACGTTGAAATCACTCATATGTAGATTCAAACCTCAAGTCTGCCATTTACTAATCTACAGATTCACATGGGGTGATGGTTATGATTGGTGATACAGATATCTTCAAAATGTTACTCCTTTCAACCCATGTTGATTATTATACAAATACTATGATATCCATTAGTTTCTTTTATTAACCACAACAAACTAGGACAAAAATGTACTCATATGTAATTTAGAGTATTGCTGAATAAAACTAATAATAAAAAAAGTAAATTAATCACATTATTTTTCAAAATAGGTATGCATGATGTATGTTTGTGCGAATTACTTTCTGTGGGAAAAAATGTGAGAATGTAGTTTTTAGTAGTACTATCTTTAAATGGGTTGGCATCAGAAACAGCACAAGTTGCTTCTATTCAGCGTGTCAAAAGCTAAAAACAAATTATAGTACAACTTCAGCTCCTTCCAAAAAAGACAGAAAAAAGCAATCATCCACCTTATGGAGCAATGATTCACGAATGAAGGCCACACATAGCTACTAAATAGAAAGCTGTAACTAAGTATCCTGACAATAGAAACAGAAGTGAAATGAAAGAATAGACACTAAAGACATGTGGTCTGCAAGGAGAAAGTTAGACTGAGGTAAATCATTTTTAAACAAAGGGAAAGGAGGGAGCAACAAACAAAAAAAGAGACATGACCAGTCAATCAAATATGCGCTTAAAAGAAAAGCTTGTGTTCATAATATATGCCTAATAATACTGGTTAGCATTTACTCGACAATTTGTTTTGTGTAAATACTTATGTAATAAAGAGTTTCATTTGTTTACTATAAAATAACACATCCCAAGAGTTAACCATGATGATTGATCTGAAAACTGACACATTCTTACTACAGAGAGAGAGAGGGGGAAAGAAAAAAAAAAAAACAATAAAATTCCAGCAACTTAACACCTGGAGAAAGAATTTTTATTCAGAATTTGAAAGAGTAATGTATGTCCCAAAAAAAAGGTATTTAATAGAACATGATTGGGGCTTTAAAAATTTAAGAAAATTTAATCTAAAATCCTAATCTAAGCTTCCAGTTGGAAGATATTAGGCTGTATCCACCTCTCCTATTTCCTTTTCATCTTTTCTAAATTTTATTTTCTTCTATATGACATATTTTCTCAACATAACTCACCTCAACTTATACATTCTCAACATTAGAAAAAAAGATAAATTCAAAACATTCAAGACATTTAATAGATTTAATTATTAGATATGTCATGCATATTAGGTTACCTGTAACATTCCATCATGAGAAAGCCCATTTACCTGTTTGTTGATTCACATTAAAAACTATTAAAGTGTTTCTTACATGCAAGACCTTATTCTGTGTATTCCAGGACACATACAAATAGGTTTTCTAGTTTCAAGTGCCTCATAGTAATGCAGGAGCTTTACAATTATTTTTTCAATAACTAAGCACAAAAGCCTCTGAAATTTGAAATTTAGAATGCCATACAAAGACCCTGAGTGGATTCTTTTTAATTACAATTCAAAAACATTGTGAAATTAAAGTCTGACCATAAAATATGAAGAGTCTCTGTTTATCAAACAGGTTATTTAAACAAAATGCATATTTTTCAATTAAATAAAGAGTTTAAAGTATACTCTAAATAAAAAAGGCTTGGAAAACACAGTGTAAACCCTCTCTAATACAGATTTGAGAACAGAATTTGAATTTCTAATATTCCACAACTTTTTAAAATTAGAGATAAGCACTTGTTATATTGTCAAGCTTGGTCTTAAAATCCTGGGCTCAAGAAATTCTCCTGACTTGATCTCTTGAATAGGTGGGACTACAGGCACATGATACCATGTCTAGTTAAATTTCCACAATTTCTAATATTATTTTAGTCTAATTACAGAGCCAGGAATAAAAATAAAGAAATAGCTCTGCAAAAATACAGTATGATATCAAAATATGTGCACAAGAAATAAAAAGAAACTATATGCTATGTGTAACAGAGTGATTCCATGATTTCTTTGATAAGTCATCTGATGTATTAAAGATTCATTTAAACAGAGGTATTATTAGTCATACTCATATGATATACAACTCAAAGTAAAAACACTCAAATAAGCCTAGACCAAAATTTGTATATCCTCTACTGTGGGAAAGCATTCCCGAACATCATTTTTCTGTCACTGTGTATTTTCCAGCAATTTTTTTTCAGATCACACCTCTCAAAGTATTTATCAACTATTTCTTATTTGCCAAAGTAAAAAAAATTAAAATTAACCCCTCCCATTTCTTTAAAATGGTTATCTCTAATAAAAGTTTTAATAGTAACATAAAACAATGATAGGTAGACAACTGCTAAGTTTTAGAAGAAAATAATATAAAAAATGAGATTCAGAGGGAGAAAATTAATTTCACAAGAGAGTACTCTACCTCAGATTCCAAAGAAAACTCATTCTCTGTCACAGGCTGTGCAACAGCATCAGGTCTGTAGAGACTCCTACAGAGCAAAAAGATATTACAAAAATGAGCTCATTCATTTCTTAAAAGAAAACAAAAACCGTCAGTCTATACACGTATGTCCACTCCAAAAAAATGGTAAAACAAAGTCTGAGGAAACTCAGTTATCTGCATGTTAAATAATATTTCTTGGTATAATTAAGATATGGCTTCCATTTTAGAAAACATTTCAGTTACCTATTTCTGCTGCCACTTCTCCCAACCTATGAAATATCCAATGCAGACTCACCCTTAAACCCATAACAAATAGTGACAGGCATTATAATGGCACAGCCAGACAATAATTTGTCCTTATAAATTATCTACCCTAAAGACTAAACTGAAAATCCAGTTGATATCTGACACAACTTTTGTTACTGAACTGCAGTAAACCTGATAACCTAAAACAAGGTAGAAAAGGCACGGTCTCTTCTCCATTATCTATTTCTGATTCAAAGACTAATCTGTGTCACTGGAAAATGGGAGTCTTGGATCTTCAGCATGTAAGCTACTTAAAGAGGGCCCATTGATTCTTTTCACCCTAGAACACTACAGGGAGCCCCCTGAAACACTGCAAATGTTTGAAAGCTGAGTGTACAAAAGTCAAAGTACAAATGTATATGTTGTTAGATTGTTATTGGGAATATTCTTCACAGAAGATTAAAACATTAAAAATTTTAAAATCCAATTATCGTCATTATATAGATTCTGCCTTATTCAGATCCACAAAAACCAGCAAGCTTAAGAACCTTCATAGACACTCAGATACCCAAGAGAGAGACTGCTGGAAAAGTCTCCCTCCTAAGTACTTATAGCTCCATTTCATTCATCCCTATCTAAATATCTTCCTTCCTATGGGCTCCCACTTCTGGATCCCTCTTCTGCAGGGATCTGTGGCAATCTCCAATCTACATCTTCAGCCTAGGAAAGCCCAGATTTCTCAAAAGATGGGCTAACATAATTGAGAGTAGGAGCTCTCTATTCCTCTGCTTCTGGAAAGTAAGTTAGTCTCAGTCATCCACCCCAAGCATACGCATGTTACCAACTACCCAAATGAAGCTTCATTGCTGGTTTGCCGGCCAATCCTACATTTGTCCCACCCTACATGTACATGAGAGAATTGAGAAAAGAGTCAGAAAAAAAGAGACATCCACCCTGGATCACAGATCTATGTACTTAAGCAATCTCCAGCTCCCTGGTTCTTGAGGGATTCTAAGCCCTCTGTAAGCTGGGATGGAAGAAGATGATACCACATTCCTATCTCCTCTGGAGACTCTTTCCAGTGGCTCAAATTCTTTTAACATTTTTCAATAAAACCTTGAAGTTTGTTAGTTCCTCCAGTTAAACAAACAAAAAGGCAGCAAACTCTTCAGAACTCCTTGAACGCCATATTCTAATATGCCTTTCTTGATAGCTCCCAACATCCTGTGTTATCATTTCCCTTATCTTTATCAAACTTGCATTAAACCAAATATTCAGATTTTTCCCTAAAATCCTCATTTCTATCAAACTAAGAGTTTGTTTCTCTTCAAATTTGGCTGCCCCCTGCAAATTCCATTCTTATTCACTTTCATTAGGTTCAACAGCTCATTCAATTCTCATCCTCTTCCACTGTGTTCACTAGAGCCACTCCCTCTTTCTAAAACTAAAATCACTCAATGACAGAATGATGTAAAAGAAGACTGCGTTTTGAACTAAGAAACCTGAGTGCAATTCTCATTTCTCTGATTTACTGTATCCAAATAATTTTCTCTCTTTGAGTTTCAGGTTCTCCACCTGAACAACCACTTGATCAGGATGTTAAGCAAGGATTCAAGCACTAGAGGATACTTTGTTTAGTCTCTAGGATTTCTTAACATTCTGAAATTTTATGCACCTCTGATTGTGTCTATAGGAAAATGGGGAATATTTAGCTGCCATACATGAAAACTATAAAAGAAGATCTTAAACCCTAAGAAAAGTGGTAGAGAAAGTGAAAAGAAATCAAGAAAATACTAAAATGTCATAGAAGGAAAAAAGAAGAATCCACAAAATAAGAAAAAGCTTCAGCAAACTAGGCAGGGTGCTCACTTAAAGAGAAAACCTAACTGGGTAGGGAGTAAGTAGAGACATGAATTAGAAATATCATTTTAATATATGCTAAATATAGTTGTCATAACATGGTCTATATTTAGGTATTCTCCATGCACAGTAAAATAATATTTTTCTAGGACTGGCCTAGTCTTGCTTACAAAAAACTTACGGTCTTGTGGCCACAGGTAACTGATATCTGCCTTTAAAATTTTGATGGTTTAAAAAAAAGTAATATGGTTACCACTGCCATTTCCAAAATATTTGGACAAAGTTTTGGAGTATCTAGGCTTCTAAGAAATACTCTAAAGAGAGTTAATATATAACAAAATGTGACTTTCTGAATTGATCTGAGTTACACCAGTACCGTGATCGCATTGCTGCATAGGTCTGTATCCATCTATGCTTAGGGGCAAATGAAGTGATTAGAGAGCCAGGCAGGATGATGGTCAAATCATCGGTTGGCTACCTGTTAACTGTGGAATCATGAGCCAATATTTCAACCTCTTTAAAGCAGAGTTGCCTAATTAGTAAAAAAGCAATAACAGCACAAATAATTTGTAAAGCTGTGTGGAGATGACATGACATGATAAATATTAAGCATGTAATATGGTGTCTAGCACAGAGGAGAACACTAAATGGATACTAGTTTCTATTCTCTCTATTAACTAAGTTAACATATCACTTTAAAAAATCTGTAAAATCATACCTGTTTAAACACTGTTCAACAGCAGGAAGCACTATTAAACAAAAAGTAAAATGCATTTTAAATCAACAATAGGAACCTATAAAATATTAAAAACATAAAAGAGCACAGTGACTTGTTCCTATAATCTCAGCTACTCAAAAGGCTGAGGCAGAAATATCACTTGAGAAGCCCAGGCATTTCAGACCAGCTTGGGCAGCACAGAAACACGCTATCTTTATTTTTAAAAAGTTAAAAAAAAAAAAATCATGTAGGCAGGGCTCGGTGGGTCACACCTGTAATCCCAGCACTTTGTGAGGCTGAGGTGGGTGGATAACTTGAGGTCAGGAGTTCAAGACCAACCTGGCCAACATGGCAAAAGCCGGACTCTAGTAAAAACACAAAAATTACCAGGTTGGTGGTGCACATCTGTAAATTCAGCTACTCAGGAGACTGAGACAGGAGAATCACTTGAACCCAGAAGGTTAAAGTTGAAGTGAGCCAGGTTCACGCATATCTTTCATACAAGACATCAGAAGGATTTAAACAATTATACTACAAATATTCATCATGCTCTTTGACTTGCCGGACAATCCAGCAGGTACACAATGACAATTACACTTTAGATGAACGTGCACTTCAAAGCTCCTCAGTGGAAGTGTTCTGAATTGGTCAGCTTGGATATATGTTTGGTGAATCCTATTATATGCTATTCATTATTTTTCATACCCATGTGGTATAATAATGAGCCTACACTTTTGTATTTTCTGGTTTAACCTTCAGAAACTTTTGTCAGTCACCAATGGGAACAAGGTATTATATACAAACCTAATCAAAATGTATAAAAAATTATCAAATTTGATATACTTACACAAAATAAAGTTGCTACAAGCATTAGATCTGAATAAGGTTTTCCATTTGGAAATCACTCCAATATTAATTAAAAATAAATATTTTAGGTGTCAATTAAAGAATTTAATATTATTTTTGGTTCTAAAATAGTCTGGTTTGAAGGATCATGTTATTCACTAAACTGTTTTCATTAAATTGCTATTTTGTCCAAAAGTTAGCTCTCTGAACAACAAAGCCAATGTATGCATATTTACATTTATCTCATTTGACTCACTGATAACAACAAAACATATATCTCTGATGCCCAATAATAACAAAGAGGGGAAACAGGTGACTGTGGTTCATCACAATTCTAGCACTCTATCCTGCTTCCAGTAGTTCCTGGAGCAGCCAAAATCAAATTTTCCTTTATGCAAACATTCTAAACACATCTGAAGTGAGTTCCCTCAGGTTTCCTCAGCAGAAACCCTAAAATTAAACAAATAACTTCTTTTCCCTTCTTCCTGACTCACAATCCCTCTTCCCTGAGGAAAATAATTACTACATCAGTGGTCTTGTTACTTCTCATTCTATAGTGTTTATGGCTTATTACGATCATTTCTTCCCTCTGGTTTTAGCAATGTGATCAGGCGCCTATAATTTCTAGTACTTCATCTTGTTCTCCTTCCCCTCTTCATGGAGACATGCTGTAGAATTAAAGCAAAATTATGCTGTCCCCTCAGACTCTTGTATCTTGAACTGCTCTCCAATTGTTCTTCTTCCCAATTTCAATGTAGGGAAGTCTAAAATCTTACTACTCAGATCATGGCCAAAAATCAGCAGAATCACCATCACTCCAGAACTTATTACAAATGCAGAATCTCAGGCCCGCTGAATCAGAATGCGCAGCTTCAATGAGCCCCCTGCTGATTTATTTGGGGAAGGGAAGTTCTCTATCTTGACTGTACATGGCATTAAATGTGTATTGCAAAATTACCTGTCCCAGATTTTTGTTCATCTTTTATTTCTGTGGCTGTGTTCGAAACAGAATCATCCTTGTCACTTGTATCCTGAGTGGGATTTCAAACAAAATAATCAATACCTACAGTATATTCCATAGACTATACAGTTAATTATTCAAAATATGAATGAGAGTATAATACCTTCAAGGCCGGTTGTTTCTGAGAAGACACTGAAAACCAAAAGGGATACATAATCACTCATATGTAAATATGATAAAGTTATCCATACTTTCATGCAGTGTTACCATCAAGCTGTATCCTCCTGCCTGAATTAGCATAGGCTTTGATGTTTTCTACTTTGTGTATTGGGACAGGAACATGACAGAATTACACTGTAGAAAACAGAAGTATAGTCTTCACGCAACAAACACTTCCAATTTCATATGTGATATTATTCTTCACATGTCTATTACTACAATAAAACAGTGTCTATATCAATGTGGATATGCCGAGTGATGAGGACAAATGTGATCTAAAATCAGAGCAGTGACTCATACACTTGGGAATCAATGTCGAAGCAGGTGATTAATGCTCCTGCATGTTTTTCATGTAACACATCAGAGGGATTTATACCATTATACTACAAATATTTATCATGCTCTTAAACTTGCCTGACAATTGAGCAGGTACACAAGGACAATGGCACTTTAGTTGAATGTACACTTCCCAAGTGCTCTGTGGAAGTGTTCCGAATTGATCAGCTTAAATATATGTTTGGTGAATCCTAGCATATAATATTCCTTATTTCTCACACCCCTGTGGTGTCATAATGTGCCTACATTTCTTGGATCCTCTAGTTTAGCCTTCAGAAAGTTTCTTCACCCACTCATGGCAAGAAAGTATAATATACAAACCTCATCAAAAAGTATAATAAACCATCAAATTTGGCATACTTATACAAAATAAAGTTACTGAAATCATTAGATATGAATAAGCTTTTCCATTTGGAAATTGCTCTGATATTCATTGAAAATAACCACTTTAGGAGTCAATTAATGAATTCAACATTATTTTTGTTTCTAAAATAGTCTGGTTTGAAGGATCATGTTATTCTCTAAACTATTTTCATTAAATTGCTATTTTATCCAAAAGTTAGTTCCTTTAAAAACAAAGCAAATATATGCATATTCATGATTAGCCTATTTGAATAGCTAATACCAACAAAACATATATCTCTGATGCCCAATAGTAACAAAGAGGGGTAATGAGTCACTGTGGGTTATCACAATTCTAGCAATCTATCCTGCTTCCAGTAGTTCCTGGAGCAGCCAAAATCTAATCTTCTTCTATGCAAATATTCCAAATGCATCTGAAGTGAGTCCCATCAGGTTTCTGCAGCAGAAACCCCAAAATTACATAAATAACATCTTCTTTTCCCTCCTTCTTGCCTCAATCCCTCTTCCTTGAGTAAAATAATTACCACATCAGAGGTCTCCTTAGTTCTCTTTCTACATTGTTTATGGTTTATTCCAATCACTTCTTCCATGTGGTTTTAACAATCTGATCTGACACCTATAATTTTTATTACTTAATCTCTTTCTCCTTCCCTTTATGATGGAACTATGCTGTAGAATTAAAGTAAGAATATGCTGTCCCTTTGCCTGTTATATCTTGCACTGCTCTCCAATCATTCTTGCCAATTTCACTGTGGGGAAGAACATAATCTTAATACTGAGATCATGGCCAAGGACCAGTAGCATCGGCGTCACCCGAGAACTTATCACAAAAGCAGAATCTCAGGCCTGCTGAATCAGAATGTGCAGATTCAATGAGCTCCCTGCGATTTATTCAGTGAACAGAAGTTCTCTTCTATCCTGAGTGAACATGACATTAAATGTGTATTCCAAAATACCTGTCCCAGATTTTTGTCCATCCTTTATTTCTGTGGCTATATTTGAAATAGAATCTTCCTTGCCACTTGTAGCCTGAGTGGGATTTGAAACAAAATAATCAATACATAAAGTATATTTCACAGACTATATAGTTAATAGTTCAAAACAGAAATGAATGTGTAATTACCTTCAAGGCTGGTTGTTTCTGAGAAGACACTGAAAAGCAAAAGGGATACATAATCAATCATATGTAAATATGATAAAATTATCCATACATTCATGCACTGTTACCATCAAGCTGTATCCTCCTGCCCCTATTAGTTTAGGTTTTTATGTTTTATACTTTGTGTCTTGGGACTGGAACATGACAGAAATACACTGAAGAAAACACCAACACAGGCTTCATGAAAAATACACTTACAATTTCAAATGTGATATGATTTTTCATATGTCTAAAACTAAAATGAAACAGTGTCAGTATCATTGTGGATATATGGAGGGATAAAAACAAATGTGGTCTAAAAACAGAGAAGCAACTCATGCACCTGGGAATCAATGTCAAAGCAGGTGGTACATGCTGTCACATGTCTTTAGTGCAAGAGATGAGAAGGAAATACACCATTATACTACAACCATTCATCATGCTCTTTAACTTGCCCGATAACTGAGAAGGTACACAATTACGATGACACTTCAGCTGAATGTACACTTCACATCTCCTCAGTGGAAGTGTCCTAAATTGATCAGCTTGGATATATGTTTGGTGAATCCTAGTAGACAGTATTCATTATTTCTCAGAACCATGTGGTGTAATAATTGCCCAAGTTTCTTGTGTTCTCTAGTTCAGCCTTCTGAAAGTTTTTTCATCCACTCACGGCAATAAGGTATAATATATAAACCTCAATAAAAAGTATCATCATTTGTCAATATTGACATACTTCTACAAAATAAAACTGCTACAAGCATTAGATATTAATAAGCTTGCACATTTGGAAATGACTCCAATATTCATTGAAAATAACCATTTTATTAATCAATTAATGAATTCAACATTATTTTTGTTTCTAAAATAGTCTGGTTTGAAGTATCATGTTATTCTCTGAAGAATTTTCATTAAATTGCTATTGCATCCAAAAGTTAGCTCCTTGAAAAACAAAGCCAATGTATGCACATTCATGTTTATTTCATTTGAATAACTAATATCAACAAAATCTATGTCTCTGATTCCCAATAGTAACAAAGAGAAGTAACGAGTCACTGTGGTTTATCTGAATTCTAGTACTCTTTCCTTCTGCCAGTAGTTTCTGGAGCAGCCAAAATCAAATCATCTTTTATGCAAATATTCTAAATGCATCTGAAGTGAGTTCAGTTATACTTAGAGTCATAATTTAAAAAATCATTTTCTTTGTACTCATGAAGGCTCCTAATATTCCTACATTTCCCGGATTCAGCAGTTCAGCTCTTTTGCCATCTCTTTTTCCACTTTTGCAAAAACATACATGTCAAAGAAATCATGCATAATCAGATTCCCATGTAAATAAGGTAAACAAAATCTCTAAATCACAAGAGACTTCTTTTCTTATTAATAACCAACCAAATATATATATATGTAAATATATATATATATGTCATGATTGCCAAGAATATTGGTAGTTTTTTTTAGTACTCAAGATATACATTATTTTATTACTTTGTTTCTAAAGCTAGTTTGATATAATATACCATAGGGGTCTCTCAGGTCCTTTTATGAAATAACTACCTCAGCCAACACAGCTTTCCTAAAGAAAAAAAAAACACTTTTTCTAGATTAAGCTGCATCCCAATATGCTAACTGATGTGAACGAAGAACATATCATTGATGTGCAAAACTTCTAGGGAGGAGAAATGAAGCCCTGTGGGTCACCCTCATCCTTCTAACTTCCACTTTCCATTAAGTGACTCCCCACAAGTCTCCTCATCAGAAACCTGCAAATTACCTAACTAGCTGCTTTCTTTGTTTGCCTAATTTGACATACACTCTTTTTCATTCATAAATCTAATAACCATATTGGTGGACTTCATTCTTTGCCCTCCACATTCATTTCTTCATTATTCTCACCACTACTGTATGTGACATTCGTACAATCCCATTCTGACACATGTGAAGATAAGGTTTTGCTTTATTAAAATGTTAAATGTATCAGACACTTGACTAACGTGTACAAATTCCTTCTTCACAAAAGCAGCCCCATGGCTTCCTCTCTCCCATAGACACTCTTTCACAGCTGTTCTTCACTCACATTGGTTTGAGTATCTATCGTCTCTTATTTTGTCTCTATGCTTTCCCATCATATTATGAGTTATTATCATAGGCTCAGCAGCCTATCTTACCTATTTTCCTCTCCAGCAGACAGCACTGAGTAGTAAATTAGAATCTTCCAGGATATGAACACTTTCACATACGTAAGACTTTGTGGAGCTATTTTATGTTTAACTACACATAAAACCACTATGTCTATGCCTTCCAGAGAAATGGGTTCTGAAATGTTATTGAACATAACCTATTTAAAAACTTCTTTAACTCCAATGACACTGCCTCTCCTCAATGCACCAACATCTTCAGAAATAACTTGTGAAGACTTGAAAACATGTCAGTAATTGACATGAAAAATGAAGAATGGTGTAATTTTTTGCAGGTACAAATAAGACACGCTGAGATCCTTACTAGATCCAAGAAGAGCAGAGTGCCATGAGACAGGAAATAAATATGGAACAGAAATATTTTCATTTGTAATGAAAATTATTCTATTTACAGTTTTCAGAAGAGAAAAAAATACACACACACACAAACACACACACACATTCACACACAAAAACCAGAGCAATACAGCTTTACAGGGTGTTTTTTCTTCAAGGGCCTATTTGTCATTTGACATCCAGGAACACTCTATAGGGATCAACAAAGGGGTTCTAAATTGTGACCTGAGTAGATTAGAGTTTAACATTCATGAGGGGGAGCCAAGAGGACAAGTAACACTTTGACCATCGGCCATTTCCTCTCCTTACTGTCATTCTCTGAAAAGCACACACTGGATTTTCTCAGGGTCATGACATGTCAAAAATACATGCTTTAAGGGGGAAACAGTTGCAATCAACACAGCCATGGGAGAGATACAGCTATGCTTGCTAGGATTTCCCATACTTCTGTTTCATTTCTAATATAGTACAAATCAATAAAAGCAACCACATAAGCATATCCATGCTGGTATGTCACCATATTTATGTCCATATGGTATCAACACGAAGAGAGCATAATTAAATATGCTGCAGTCATCACATGGCATATCATTAGATCATACAATAAATCAAATACCTCACTGGGTCAACATGGATAGATCTGAAATATATATCACTGATTTTACAAAGACCAAGTTGCAGTCATTTTGTGCACTGTCTGAACTTTTCTACAAGGTTTTAATACACAAAATCAAGTTCTACATGTTATCTAGGAATATGCACATATGTTGTAAGAGGTTTTTAATGTGCATTTGGGTGATTTCTTTTTCTTTTTTTAAAAAAAAATTTAATTCAAGTTCTTGGTTACATGTCATCAATAAGTTTTAGTAGTATAGGGAACCCTAAGACCATAACAGCTCAGAATGACTGTCTTAAAGGCTATGTCTACCAAAGAGTCAGGAAAGCATGACTACTTACTTTCTTCATTTTTGAAACTCAGAGGTACCCCACACACACTCCCAAATAAAACTGCACACAAGTTCTTTAGTTTAGTTAGATCCCATTTGTCAATTTTGGCTTTTGTTGACATTGCTTTTGGTGTTTTAGTCATGAAGTATTTGCCCATGCCTATGTCCTGAATGGTACTGCCTAGGTTTTCATCCAGGGTTTTTATACATTGAGAACTTACTTTTAAGTCTTTAATGAATCGAGTTAATTTTTGTATAAAGTGTAAGGAAGGGGTCCAGTTTCAGTTTCCTGCATAAGGCTAGCCAGTTTTCCCAACACCATTTATTAAATAGGGAATCCTTTCCCCATTCCTTTTGTCAGGTTTGTCAAAGATCAGATGGTGTAGATGTATGGCATTATTTCTGAGGCCTCTGTTCTGTTTCATTGGTCTATATATCTCTTTTGGTACCAGTACCATGCTGTTTTCATTACTGTAGCCTTGTAGTATATTTTGAAGTCAGGTAGCATGATGCCTCAAAATTTGTTCTTTTTGCTTAGGATTGTCTTGGCTATATGGGCTCTTTTTTTGGTTCCATATGAAATTTAAAGTAGTTTTTTCTAATTCTGTGAAGAAAGTCAATGATAGTTTGATGGGTATAGCACTGAACCTACAAATTACTTTGGGCAGTATGGCCATTTTCAAGATATTGATTCTTCCTAACTATGAGCATGGAATGTTTTTCCATTTGTTTGTGTCTCTTATTTCCTTGAGTGGTGGTTTGTAGTTCTCCTTAAAGAGGTCCTTCAAATCCCTTGTGAGTTGTATTCCTTGCTATTTTATTCTCTTTGTAGCAATTGTGTATGGGAGTTCACTCATGATTTAGTGCTCTATTACTGGTGTATAGGAATGCTTGTGAATTTTGCACATTGACTTTGTATCCTGAGACCATGAGGAAGTTGCTTATCAGCTGAAGGAGATTTGGGGCTGAGACAATTTGTTTTTCTAAATATACAATCATGTCATCTGCAAACAGAGACAATTTGACTTCCTTTCTTCCTATTTGAATACCGTTTATTTCTTTCTCTTGCCTGATTACCCTGGCCAGAACTTCCAATACTATGATCAGAGTGAACAGGCAACCTACAGAATGGGAGGGAATGTTTGCAATCTGTCCATCTGAAAAAGGCCTAATATCTAGAATCTACAAGGAACTTAAATAAATTTACAAGAAAACAAACGATCTCATCAAAAAGTGGACAAAGGATATGAACAGACACTTCTCAAAAGAATACATTTATGCAGCCAACAAACATCTGAAAAAAAGCTCATCATCACTGATCATTAGAGAAATGCAAATCAAAACCACAATGAGATACCATCTCGCGCCATTTAGAATGGCAATCGTTAAAAGGTCAGGAAACAACAGATGCTGGAGCAGATGTGGAGAAATAGGAATGCTTTTACACTGTTGGTGGAAGTGTCAATTAGTTCAACCATTGTGGAAGACAGTGTGGTGATTCCTCAAGGATCTAGAACCGGAAATACCATTTGAGCCAGTAATCCCATTACTGGGCATATACTCGGTGTGTGTGTGTGTGTATATATATATATGTACAGTGGCTTGTTCCTGTAATCTCAGCTACTCAGAAGGCTGAGGCAGAAGTATCACTTGAGAAGCCCAGGAGTTTGAGAACAGACTGGGCAACATAGCAAGACTCTTTATTAAAAAAAAAATCATGCAGGCTGGGCACAGTGGCTCATGTCTGTGATCTCAGCATTTTGGGAGGCCAAGGTGGGTGGATCACATGAGGCCAAAAGTTTGAGACCAGCCTGGCCAAACATGGTGAAATCCCATCTCAACAAAAATACAAAAAAAAAGTAGCTGAGTGTGGTGGCACACGTATGTAATCCCAGCTACTCGGGAGGCTGAGACAGGAGAATCGCTTGAACCCAGGAGGCAGAGGTTGCAGTGAGCCAAGATTGTGCCATTCCACTCCAGCCTGGGTGACAAAGTGAGACTTCATCTCAAAAGAAAAAAAAAATTATGAACTTTTGTACATGCCTTAGACCTTGTAGGAAAAAAAGTATAAGACTTTGATGCTTTATTACAGAGACTCTCATGATTTGTTACAAAGCAGTTCTTTAGAAACATACTTGGAGGCTACACTAAAATTATTATTTATACTATTTGTAGGCAACTAATGAATTAAGAACCCTTTTTCCTTTCTTATGTGCTTAGCATATACTTATCAAATGCAAAGAAGATTATCAAAATTTGTTACCTTACATGTGAATTGCAGTATAAAATAGTCATAATTCTAACAGAATCCTATCACACTGACAGAAAATGGCATCATTAGTAGAATCAATATAATGAGCAGGCATTGTCAAAGAACATGATTTCTGGACAAATGAACCAGGTGCAGCTAGAACAGCAGTCCCCCTTATCTGCTGTATGTGTAGAAAACACATATTCAACATGATGTTCCTCTTCTCTCACACCGCAACAACAATCATCAGCACAGAAGATTTCTGTGACCAAATATGTATTTTTCCCCAGCAACAAGCAAACAATCAATTCCTATGGGTGCCCTGTAATTCTGGCACTACCTACTTGGGGATTGTGTCAGATCCCACATTTTGAGGGCTCAGTACCACAAGGCTATTCCCCCACAGCAGTTACAAGTCTGGGCCTCCAGAACTTCTAATCAACTTCCAGTTGGACTTCAAGTTGGGTTTCCCAGGACCCCCTCTTTGGTTTGATTAATTTACTAGAGTGGCTCAGAGAACTCATGGAAACACATTTACCAGTTTCTTATAAAGAATATTAAAGGATACAGATAAAGAGATGCATAGTGCAAGATACGGGGGGAAAGTAACATGCTTCCATGTCCTCCCAGGGCACTCACCCTCTGGGAACATCCATGTATTCTCCATATGCCTTCATGTATTGGAGAGCATCCAGGTAGCTGAATACAGCTACCTGGATGCTCTCCAAATCCAATCCTTTTGGGATTTTATGAAAGCTTCATTACATAGGCATGACTGATTAATTGAACATTCAGCCCCTCTCACATCCCAGGAGGTGAGGGGTGGGGCTGGAAGTCCCAACCCTCTAATCACACCCTGATCACTATGATGATGAGCCCCACCCTGAAGCCATCTGGAGGCTGCCTGCCATAAGTCAATCATTAGCATACAGATGATATCATCTTGGAAATTCTGAGGATTTTAGGAGTTGTATGACAGAAAATGGGGTTGAAGACCAAATATATATTTCATAATATGACATTGGTGGTTTTACTGACTGCAGATTCAGTTACCCATGGTCAACCATGGTCCATAAATAAAATTCCAGATGTATACACATCATAAGGTTTAAATTGCCTAAGATTCTGAGTAGTATGACAAAATTTGAGCCATTACATCCCAGTCTGCCCAAGATGTGAATCGTCCCTTTGTCAAGTGCATACACATTATATATGATATCTACTCACTAGTCATTGACATAATCTGTACCTAACATCCAACCAACAATATCATCATGGTTCACGGATCCAGGATCACGTGAAGCAGATGATCTTCTTTCTGACATATAGTCAAATAGAAGGTCAATAGTAGCCTAAGACTACATGGCAATGCCTACTGCATTTGCCTCACTTATCACATAGCCATTTTATCATCTCACATCAGTGCAGAAAGTAGGGTGACTATAGTACATGATATTTTGTGAGCTCACATTCACATAACTTTTACTACAGTATATTGTTACAATTGATCTACTTTACCATTAGATATTATTAATCTCTTATTGTGCCTAATTTATGCATTAAATTTTATTATAGATATATATGTATTTTTAAAAATTATTGTACACATAGAGTTCAGCACTATTCATGTTTTCAGGCATTCACTAAGGGTCTTGAAATGTATCCCCCATGTGTAAGAGGAAATTACTGTACTTATTTTGTTGAAACACAACAGTTTCTCCACCTCTTCAGTTTAAACTATTTAGGATAAAGCACTCTAATTCAAAAAATCTAGATCTATGAAAACTGTACTCTATTCTATGGCAAAACACAGGATACAGAGCAGGGTCAAGGATCCCTGCAAAGACTTTTCAGCTGCCAGTGCAGAAGAGCCTAAGAGAGATCAGTGTCCTTACTCTCACTAATCCTCTCCTAGGGAAGATGCGGTAAGCTTGCTTAGTTCTAGCTATTCATTCACCCTATGTAGGGCACAAACAATCCTTAAATTCAGCTTTCTTTTTTAGCTCCTTCAAAAAAACACACACAGAGAAAATATCACTCCCTTAAAAGTTTATCCAATCTGAGTCTTGTTTCCTTGTCAGAGAGAAGCTTACAAAGAAATACTGGGAATGGTATGGCAAGTTGCCAGGGAGTACTTTCTAATATATAAAATATATATAAAGGAACCATAAACTCACTGGAGCTACCAAGATGTGCCAACAGTTGTCTCACTACCTAGTGGGAAAAACAACAACAACAACAACAAATCTTTGTCACTTTATGTAAACAAAAATAGTATGACTCTCTTGGCATTTTTCATGATGGAGAACCTAGTTATAAGTGAGTCATGTTATAATAATATAGACTGTCTTCAAAGTGATCCCTCAAAGAAAGAAGGTGAATAAGAAACATATTTGTATGCCTACAGTATTTACTAGCTGGTCTTATTTCCAACTGCAAGGTAAATAGGAAAGACTTTCTGACTCGTTTTATAAAGTACAACGTCTTGAGATTGTCCCTTTCCACTGCTAGTCTATCTGGACCCATCTCACAGAGAAGGATGATCCAGTTAGTGCTGTGTAGTACACAGCATGAAGTCATTTTCCTCAACCCTCCCCATTATGTGGCAAATGTCTATATAAATTATGCTTTTTCAACATGTAAAGCATATGCCATTAAATCCTACATTAATAAACTAAAAGCAAAAAAGCACAATGGATAGCTTAATTGAATACATTCAACTATCTTGGAAATTATGTTCTGTAATATTGAAAAAGATATCCACTATGTTATCCTTAATATATGACTATGCTGGACATATCAAAACTATGGGGACAGCAAAAATATTAGTAGTTGACAGGGGTTAGTTGTGAGGGAGGAATAAAAAAAGAGACAAATTTCAGGGCAGCAAAAGTATTCTAATGGCGGGTACATTTATTATACATTTGTCCAGCTTTATAGAAGGTACAATACCAAGAGGGAACTTAAATATAAACTATGGACTTTGGGTGATTATTATGATGCAACAATGTAAGCTTCTCAGTTGTAACAAATGTACCACTCAGGTGGGAGATATTGAAAATGGGGGGAGCTATGCACGTGAGGGGGGATGGCGTATATGAAAAATCTCTTTAGGTTCTTTTCAATATTGCTGAGAATATAAAACTGCTCTTAAAATAAAGTTATTAATTTTTTAAAAAGATTTTCACTGAATCTTCTATTACTAATATATTGCTATATTAACATATATTATGGCAATATGTACTCAATTTGAAACACAATATGAATATTCTCTCCAGAATTATAGTATATAAAAGTACATAAAGCAAATAACTTAACTGTATTTACAGGCAAGAAAATAATTGATAAATGATTGATTTTTTAAATTTCATAATTATAAACAGAAATTTAACAAAATATAAAACAAAACTGAACCATCTATATAATTAAAATGAAACAAATTTTTTATTTTAATTTTAAATGAGAAATCATTACTTATTTTATCTAACCATTTTACTGAAAGGTTAATCGAATAAGAACAGATTATAATTATCTAATATTGCCATAGTAACTTCTGTATAGAGACCTGTTAAATATTCACCAAAATTCCAAAATCTAACAGCACAGAAACTTAGTATTTCATATTAAGTTGCAACTGACGCAAATGAAATAAGCACCATGCTATGTTATATTACCATGTTATTCACTATCAAATAGAATTTTTAAGACACCTAAAATTAAGTTGGGGCTGTAACTGCTGTGAAGAAAATAATGCATATAACAGTCATAAGACTGTCATTCTTAGAAAGGCCTACATGCAAAACTGGCCCTTCGCTGGTGTTTGGAAATTTGTATTTTAAAGGTTTGTCACCATTTCCTGAGAAAAGTAGCTCACTGTACCTAAACTGTTTGCATAAACAATGTGGTTGACTCTGAACAGCTGCTTTTCTTCTGGAAGTGTGGAATTTTTGTATATGTGTGAGACAGAATGCCTATGTAACTAGCTTCCATAAGAACCTTGGATACTGTGTAAGTCTCTAGTCAGACTCATACTGGTAGACAATATTGCCCATGTGCTGTCAAAATTCGAAGCTACAGGAATTCAGCACATCCTGGTAACTCCACAGGAGAGGGCTCCCGGAAGCTTGTGCCTGGCTTCCCCAAGACTTGCCACATGCCCCTTTGCCCTGAGTCAATTTTACTATGTATTCTTTCACTGTAACAAATCAAAGCCCAGAGTAGCACTGTTTGCTGAGTCCTTCCAAGTGAATCGCCAAACACAGAGGTGGTCTTGGGAAACTCTGACATAATGGCATTATATGAAATTAGTTTTCTTTAAGGTGATGTGACCTGTGACTACGATCAGAAGGCTGTTTATAAAACACCTTTCCCTAATCTGTTCTCCTTAACGGTTGCCTTTGAGATTCCTGTATTTCCGCATGAATAAATCCATAAAGGAATAGAAATAATTATGCCAAAAAATAATGAAAAACAAGCAGCAATCCTATTTTAACCAGAATAAAAATTTGAGAATATGGATGATTAAAAATATATCCCATAGTATGAAAGCTTCTAGAAGAGAAACAAAAAGATCACAGCCAATTGTCTTCAACTCACCAAGGTTTCTTTTATAATAATTGGGGATCAGGCCAGGTGCAATGACACACACCTGTAGTCCCAACTACTCCAACGGCTGAGGCAGGAAGATTGCTTGAGATCAAAAGTTTGAGGCTGCAGTGGAGATTGTGCCTGTGAACAACCATTGCACTCCAGCCTGGGAAACAGAGTGAGACCCTGTCTCTAAAATGTATTAGTAGGCTGGGGGCGGTGGCTCACACCTGTAATCCAAACACTTTGGGAGGCTGGGGCGGGCAGATCACAAGGTCAGGAGATGCAGACCATCCTGGCTAACACGGTGAAACCCCGACTCTACTAAAAATATAAAAATTAGCTGGGCGTGGTGGTGCAGGCCTGTAGTCCCAGCTACTTGGGAGGCTGAAGCAGGAGAAGCGCTTGAACCCAGGAGGCAGAGTTTGCAGTGAGCCGAGATCGTGCCACTGCACTCCAGCCTGGGCAACAGAGCGAGACTCAGCCTCAAAAAAAAAAATCTATTAATAAAAACATACATAAAATAATTTGCATCATTCAGGTCATTGTGATAATTATAGAAATATATGTAGCCATTGGCTATAACACTGTACTATCGATCATAGAGCTCATTTAATTTGTTTCTAATCTTTTTTCTTAAGTTCTTATAAAACTAAAAATATCTATTAAAACTAAAAATCATCTGTTAAGGGCAGTTCTTCATAGAACAGGTCAAAAAGTCAAAAACTGCATTTAAAATGTAGGATGAGTTATCCACTTCGGCTCCCAAACAGTGGGTTTTTCTTATTAAGGGCCAATAGGACTTTAAACTCATTTTGGGGAATAAAGGAAGTTATAGACCAGCACGATGGCTCGTGACTATAATTCCAGCACTTTGGGAGGCTGAGGCAGGAGGATCACTTGAAGCCAAAAGTTTGAGACTGGCCTGGGTAAGAGAGAGAGACCCTTGTCTCTAAAAAATAAAAAATAAAAAAGTTAGCTTGGTGTGGTGGCATATGCTTGTAGCAGTCTCACCGACTTAGGAGGCTGAGGTAGGAGGACCACCTGAACCCAGAAGTTTGAGGCTGCAGTGAGCTATGATCACACTATTGTACTCCAGCCTGGGAAACAGCAAAAGACTCAATCTCAAAAAAAAAAAAATCAAGAAACTTATATATAAATGGTTAAAGGTGTGGTAATCCAACTGACCAAATATTCCAGCTAAGTAACAGATTACCAATATTTGAAGAAATATAATACCAGAAAAGTGTTTTACATTAAAACTATGTCAAGTTTGAAAATTTTAAATACACCTTAAGTGTCTTAACTTAATTTGAAAATTTAAAAGACATATAAAGTTTGAAAATTTAAAAGAAACTTAAAATCTTAAAGGAGCAGCATCACTTACACTGTCACTGTGCTAAAGATATAAAGAAGTTTAGCATTAAAGATTAATAGAATACCAGATATACTTTAGAACAGGTAGCTAATTCTCTTAAAAGAAAATCATATATAGTTGTCAAAAATACCTGTGTTAGAAATGTGTTCTAATAATATTTTCTTTAGGGGTGAAATTAAAAAAGAAAACAGTAAAAGCAGAGATATTACAAGAGGTCATGAAAAGGGAATTGCACTAAAACAAAGTGTCCCAGAACACAGAGACTTGGTATACTTAGCATATCACCTTATATTTTTCTCCATGACATTATTATAAAAGACATCAGCTTCTCCAAACTGCTCGTATGTAGGCTACTTCTTTTTTTTTTTCATACTTTTAGGGTACATGTGCACAACGTGCAGGTTTGTTACATATGTATACATGTGCCATGTTGGTGTGCTGCACCCATTAACTCATCATTTAGCATTAGGTAGATCTCCTAATGTTATCCCTCCCCCCTCCCCCCACCCCACAACAGTCCCCGGTGTGTGATGTTCCCCTTCCTGTGTCCATGTGTTCTCATTGTTCAATTCCCACCTATGAGTGAGAACATGCAGTGTTTGGTTTTTTGTCCTTGCCATAGTTTGCTGAGAGTGATGTTTTCCAGCTTCATCCATGTCCCTACAAAGGACAGGAACTCATCATTTCTTATGGCTGCATAGTATCCCATGGTGTATATGTGCCACATTTTCTTAATCCAGTCTATCAGTGTTGGACATTTGGGTTGGTTCCATGTCTTTGCTATTGTGAATAGCTACAAACCACTGCTCAATGAAATAAAAGAGGATACAAACAAATGGAAGAACATTCCAGGCTCATAGGTAGGAAGTATCAATACTGTCAAAATGGCTGTACTGCCCAAGGTAATTTATAGATCCAATGCCATCCCCATCAAGCTAACAATGACTTTCTTCACAGAACTGGAAAAAACTATTTTAAAGTTCATATGGAACGAAAAAAGAGCCCGCATTGCCAAGTCAATCCTAAGCCAAAAGAATAAAGCTGGAGGCATCACGCTACCTGACTTCAAACTATACTACAAGGCTACAGTAACCAAAACAGCATGGTACTGGTACCAAAACAGAGATACAGACCAATGGAACAGAACAGAGCCCTCAAAAATAATGCCGCATGTCTACAACTATTGATCTTTGACAAACCTGACAAAAAGAAGAAATGGGGAAAGGATTCCCTATTTAATAAATGGTGCTGGGAAAACTGGCTAGCCATATGTAGAAAGCTGAAACTGGATCCCTTCCTTACACCTTATACAAAAATTAATTCAAGATGGATTAAAGACTTAAACGTTAGACCTAAAACCATAAAAACCCTACAAGAAAACCTAGGCAATACCATTCAGGACATAGGCATGGGCAAGGACTTCACGTCTAAAACACCAAAAGCAATGGCAACAGAAGCCAAAATTGACAAATGGGATCTAATTAAACTAAAGAGCTTCTGCACAGCAAAAGAAATTACCATCAGAGTGAACAGACAACCTACAGAATGGGAGAAAATTTTTGCAACCTACTCATCTGACAAAGGGCTAATATCCAGAATCTACAAAGAACTCAAACAAATTTACAAGAAAAAAACAAACAACCCCATCAAAAAGTGGGCGAAGGATATGAACAGACACTTCTCTAAAGAAGACATTTATTCAGCCAAAAAACATGAAAAAATGCTCATCACCACTGGCCATCAGAGGAATGCAAATCAAAACCACAATGAGATACCATCTCACACCAGAGTTAGAATGGCGATCATTAAAAAGTCAGGAAACAACAGGTGCTGGAGAGGATGTGGAGAAATAGGAACACTTTTACACTGTTGGTGGGACTGTAAACTAGTTCAACCATTGTGGAAGTCAGTGTGGTGATTCCTCAGGGATCTAGAACTAGAAATACCATTTGACCCAGCCATCCCATTACTGGGTATATACCCAAAGGATTATAAATCATGCTGCTATAAAGACACATGCACATGTCTGTAGACTACTTCTGATTGAAACTTGAAACTCTCGAAATGCGGCTGTGTTATGATTCCATGTTGGAGGGAGTTGGGATGTATGTGCTTTGGACAAGCTGGTTCCAGTTACTACTGCCAGACTTTTGTTTCAGAATGCATCCAGAAGAACTTATCAGGGATTTCAGTACAAACTAAGTATTTCCACAAGGAGCAGATAAGAAGACCACAGTTTTTCTCACACATTACCCTTAGGTTTTGACAATTCTGTAAAAGTGTGGGCACATGTACTCAGAAGTCAAGACCATTTTCCCTGACCCTGTGCACGTAGCTTCTGCAGTTACAAAAGGGTTACACAGGATCTTGGTAGATTTGTTCCCCATATTTGGACAACAGACATACCAATCACATCAATAGCCCACATTACACCTCAAAAATGGTTCTTTTGAAAAGGGTACCGCCAAAGAGCTTTTAAAAGTTAAATCTAATTGGCTTTTGAGTAATCTTACTTGTTAGAATTCATACTCCCTCCTTAAAATTCTCACTTTTTTTATTTTTGCAACATCACTTCCTCTGACTCCTCTCCTAGTTTTCTCTAGCCACTGCTCATTCTCCTTTACCAACTCTTTTTTTCCTGGGGGTTGGGAGGGAATGTTGACATTCCCAGGGTTTTGTCACAGGATAGCTTCTCATTCTACATCTGCATCATGGACAGCTCATTGAGATCGATGACTTTGCCTAATAATTATAATAACATCATTCTACGTCTGCATCTCCAACCTCAGATTTGTAGGAAAGGGAAGTTATTCTTCCCTGTTGACCAGCTGTACTTCTCCATTCAGTGAACACGTCCTACTCCTTTCTTGTGTGCAGTATAAAGGCCAGTACACAACCCGGAAACCTATGAATGATCCAAGATTTCTCTCTCCTCACTAATGTTTTACATTCAATGTTCACTAAATCATATTAACTAACTGTACCTATTTTCTGCTTCTGCTTTATATTTCTACTGCCACCAAATAAATACTTTTATATTTCCTAGATCAACATGGCCTCTTCACTGATGGTTTTCACAGGAAAAAAAAGTCCCTATCAACTATTATTGTTTTTTTACAAATAAAAAATTAAGTAAAACAAATGAAGAAGGCATGCGGGCAAGAAAAAGACCAACATTTTAAAATGAGTAAATGGAGTAAATTTACTTTATTTTACCATGGGTGGGTGAACACCTTACACTAGATTGAGAGTAGTTCAAGCATCGAACTACAAGGAAACTACAGCTGTAACTACTGCAAAAGCTTTCTTTCTCTAGCTTACTTTCTTGTACTCAGAATACAATATATAATATATACAACATACCAAATACGTATTTTCAACAGCATGGGGATTGGCAGCACTAAATCCCATGTTGTTCAAGGGCCAACTGTAATTATTGATTCATTTAGTAATTGCAAAGAATTTATTTTACAAATTAAATAGAAGTTCTAATTATATAAAAAGTCTAATTCATTATTATGTGACTATAAAAAAACATACAACATAATAACTTAAAAATTTGTTTTCTTATTTACACAAAAAGGTCATCTAGAATATTAGGAACCATAATTAAATAATAATTTTTTTCAAACAATACTGACATTATAAATTACCTACAATTAACTTTTTAAATAATTATAAAATCTAGACTACTAAGTATTTTTTAAATGTGTGCAATTTAAACAGTGATTTTTTTAAACTGCTTTTTTGTAATCAAAACATCTTTATTCTTTTTTATCTATGGTAGTACCATCAAGAGTAATTCACTATCAGAAATCTTACCTGGATTGCTATTTATAGGAAGATCTTCATATCTCTTTCTTTCGTATTCATAAATTAGATCAAAAATGCTATGCATAAAAATAAATGAAATTAATATTTTAATACTATTATCAAAAACATTTACCAAATATACTAAATTATTAGAGTATCTTGAACAATATCAGGATGTTAATTATCCTATACACTTCTCTTTTGTAAGCTCTACAAACTTCTTAGTACCTTTCTAATTAAATAATAAAAACAGGTGAAGTACTCATGAAGTGAAGGCAGTATAGCTCAGCAAACTATCTCACATCAGCTTGACATAATGGAAAGTCACCTTCCTGGCTCTTACTGGAAGGTCCTGGCTCTATAGCCAACAGGTATTTGCTCTTAAACAAGTTGCTTCTCTTAGGCACAATGTCTTCTTCTAGATTTTACTATCTTCTTTCACTAGGTTGTTATATAGGTTTAATGAAGCAGCATTTTTAACATTCACAGAGAAATAGTAAAGCAGTGGAGTTTGTTCTTGAAATTTATTGCTGAAACTATTTTGAAATCCCAAATCAAACCCAATGTGTATTTTTTCATAGGTTCTAATATTCAAATGCTTCAGTTTAAGAAAAATGTTAAGTCCTAATTTTGCTTATTGTTCTATTATTTGTGGCTTATAATTCAGGTTATCTCAACTATTTCATAATTCATAAATAACTTATGAATACATTATTTCATTAAAATAGGTAACACGATTGTTAACTATTATTGAGCTCATCAATTCCAAGGGCAGAAAACTAACAGATGTCAAGATCTGGCTTGGGCTACCACTATTACTTCTCTACAGACTCTAACTGAATGAGCAGATGTTTGCTAGAATGATGGTTCATCTCCATCAGTGATGTTATCTCCAACTGACATGGAAGACAAAACCCTACTTTCATTTTTTTTAAGTTCCATGAAGTAGATGCAAGTTGACATTTTCTCATTTCCAAGATACATACTAACAAAATATTTACACAACACCCCATGTGTTACTTATCTCCATTCTCAGTTTATAGATCACCTTACACAAATGTTTTTGTAGTGAAAAATCACAATTCTAATATAAGGGGCCACCCATTTTGTTTTGATTCAAACTATGACTTAGCTAGCCAGCAAACAGTCAAATGACCTTCCCGTGACTGCAAAATATGAAATGCTTCACCATGCTAATTTTCTCCGTATTGTTCCAATTTTAGTATTTGTGCTGCCAAAGCAAGCACAAAGCCTTACTTTTACATATAACTGCTGATAAGTCATAGATGAGGGTTAGCTCTGTTAAATCTAACTAACAAACTTGAGACTCAGATAATTCCGATGAATGGCTTCCTGTGAAATAGAATCCGAAAATATTTTATAAACTTGAGATACTGATGCAAGCAGCTTGAGAGATCTTCATTATTATAGATAACAGATCACTTGAGGGGCCAACCACAAGTTGATACCTACTACTCTAAGGAAGGATGGCATAGAAGCTTCCACTACCTGAGAAAAGCTCTTACGCTGTTTATATAAAAAGTCTCAGGGTACAGATCTGGTAGCAATAAAGAAGAACACTGTGATCTCTTTCTACAACATTATTTGAATATCTCTGACAGTTTAGAACTATCCCAACTAATATTTGCTTTAAAGAGAAAAAAAAGGGACTCAAAAAATAACTCACCATGAAGGTCTAGAAGCCCAGGTTAAAATGTGGGCTTTACATAAGGTTTTGAGTGTGGGTGAAAGTGTCAATTTGCTCCGTATGTGTGTTGATAAAGTTAGAATATCCAGCTAACAGAGCAAGGTTCTGCTGTTTTGGAAACAATGGCTGAGCATATAAGTATGTGCAACTGAACTAAAAAAAACCAGTTGTAACTTTGAAGCCTTTTTATGGATCAACATGAAGATTGAGGGATGTCAAACAGAAAGGGCATGCTGGTAGCAAAGGTTAATCACTACCAGACTGCAAGAGTACTTTCAATGGTAAGAAAGCAGCAACAGAATCAATGAAAACAAAGCAATGATTAGAATGTCCTTTCCCCTTCTCCTTCTGACTTGTAGACACTGATTGTCTTCCTTGGACTTAGGGAACCCCTTAGGTTCTTGAAAAATTCCATGATCAGGCTATAGTAGATGGTCCCCAGTACACAGCTCAAGGTTTTTTGATAAACTGGACATTTTGAGACCCAAATAACTAATTAGAAAAATCAAAGATGTGAAACTACTTTACCCTATGCATAGGGGTTATACTAGAAATAAAATGGACAACATTGGAATCCCTAAGGAGAAAAGTCCTGAAAGTTTCAATATCAAGAATCTTGCACCTACTGCTACTTATCTAGCCTTTTTCTTGATTTCTTTTGCTTGATTTCTGGCTGATGAAGTTGCACAACTCTCGAAAACTTAAAAACTTGAAAATTTGTCACTTGAAAACTACTTGAACCAAACTATGAAATCTCACCTGATATATAAGATGCAATTGTTACAATTATTTTAAACTTCAATTTAGTGTTCACTAGCCTTTTTATGTAAAGACTTACACTCTATTCTTAGCCTCAATGGCATAATCTCCTGCAATCTTTCGAAACGCATCTCGAGAAAGCACATCAATATTGTGCTGCAGAAGAAGAATGACTATATCTTTTTCTCCAAGAGTAACAGCATGTATGAGGGCTGATCTAAAATAACAGAGAGGTAATTAAAAACTTTAATGACATTTTAAAAGCTAAGTTTATATACTTTATCAACTTAATATGTTGCCTGTCCATGTAGAATTAACCCAATTACATGTACTAAGAAACAAGCATCTTGGGTGCTCAAGGGTTTATCTTTGCAAGTTACCACAAAGGTTAAAAGCAAGGAACAAAAAGGAAGCCTCTTGTCCTACTGTGGGTGGTATGACATAAAGTTGCTAACTTAAAGTCCTTTGATGGGCAAGAAACTATGCTCAGGCCACCTATCTACAGTAGGCAAATTTAAGTGAAAAATTATTCATTTCTTCCCTAGTATGATACTATACATTATAATGCAAAATCAGCTGAAGGGTCAGATAAGAGCTATCTGCAGGCTTAAAACAATAATATTAATAGGAATGCTAATAGTAGTAGTCATAGCTTCAGTTAATGATGCTGATAAGCGTGTGATAGGCATTTAATTAAACACTATATATATATATATATAAATATGGAGGATAATAATATATCCTTCAAGGATGGTTGTGTATAAGTAATATCACATATATATAAAATTAGTATATATAATCTATAAAATATATAATATACATTGTATATTATATATTATCTATAAAATATATAATATATAGTGTATTATATATTATCTATAAAGTATATATTGTATATATTATATATTATATATGATGTTACTTACATTATATTCTTACATACATATGTGTGTATATATAATATATGCACATACTTATATGCTCAGCCATTGTTTCCAAAACATCAGCACCTTGCTCTGTTAGCTGGACATTCTAACATTATATATATATATATATATATATAATGTTACTTACACACAACCACCCTTGAAGGATATATTATTACCCTCCTTTTCACAGAAGAAAACATACTTGGCAATAAGTAATGTTACCAAGGTCACACATCTAGCAAGTGGGAAAGCTAGGGATTAAACCCAGTCCTGTGTGAACCTAAAGCTTGTCTTCATTAAAGTTTTATCCATTTAAAGCTATCTTTTCTCCCCCTCCCCATATCAATTAAAAACAACATCAAAACACAGTAGAAATGAAAAACTAACATGAAACCCCTTTAGCTAATGTAAGATCATACAATCAAAAGCATCACATTATTACATTGTAAATAACACCACATCATATTACAAATAACAAACATCTATCAATATACAGAGCTTTCTATATATAGAAGCCTTTTATGTGTATAATGTCTATAGAGAGAGACGAATCCTGCTATACACTGTTCTTTATGTTACTCAGTCCAAATAATTGTTTTCCTACCTAAGTGATGATCTGTGTTATTTCTCACTATATCCCAATAATTACAAGTTAGTCTTCTTATTAATGTAATATTTGTGACTTGAGGGACTGCTACCACACTAAAATGACACTCAGGTTTAAAAACGACACAATAAGAACTAAGGTCTGTACCTGCCAAGATAATCAATGGCATTTACATTTGCTTTTTTCTTTAATAAAAATTCCACCATTTTCACTTTTCTTCGACTCACAGCAAATAACAGTGGCTGATATTCACACTGTAAAATAACAGCAACAATTTATAATCACAAAATTACATATTTATCAACTGAACTGAAAACCTTATGTAAGTAAGATCCTGTGAGCTTCAATATATACAATTGAAAGGTCATAAGAGGTAGTCCCTTTCTTTTCCCTCCTCGGTGCTTTTCTATGTTCTGCTCCTTCCCCTGGAAACAACCTCCTCTGCCTCACCACAAGAACTCTGGTCATCTCCAAAACTCACTTCAAACATTTCCCAGTTCCAAGAATCTTTGCTTCTGTCCCAGCATTTAGCATGGCATGTTTCAAGGATTTAATTGTTTCCCACCTGAACCAAGAGCTTCTTGAGGGCAGCAGCTGTATTTTTTTCTCTATGTCCTCAAACTCTAAGACACAGTAATAAATGTTTCAGGTATTTTTATTAATGATCTAAATTATTATCTATAGAGCGGTGTTTCTTAAACTATTAATATATTCCAAAGGATATTTACTTTACCAGAATTTGAACATTATACCCCAAAAGAGAGACTCCATGATCACCCATGTTTGAAAAATGTTACAAAACTGCATTATGTGTCTAGTATTTGAGAAATCTTTTGAACTTCACCTAATCCCTATTTGTAAATACTTATTTTGGAGAATGTTAACATTTGAGAAATGAGAGTTTCAGGGATACAGTTGTGAGAGCTTACCAGTAAAGGTAGAGGTTTCCTCTGGGTGATACACACTTGCCTCATTCTCTTCTATCGATGGTGTAAGAATCTCAGGTGACAATGTCAGGAGCTCCTGAGCACCTGAGCACCTGACATTGTCATCTGAGATTCTGACACGATTGACAGTTCATTTGAAGCCTATCTCTTTTTAATTCGGAGAGCCGGGCTCTGAATTAATAGAGATAGGCTTCGAGTGAACTTTCACTGCTTATTATTAAATAGTCCATGGGTTTTCTCTAGTAATATTTTTATCTTAGCTGTCAGAAAGCTCTGTATGAAATGTTATTCTCAATTACAATCTTAGGACCCTGATGCAAATATTTATGTAATTATAATCTTAGGACCCTGGTACATAACTCCTTTAAAAATCTATTTGTATTCTAGTTTCCAATTAATTCTTACTTTTTTTATTTTAGGTAAAATATCAATCAGAAATAAAAATACAATGGCTTATCAATTAAAGCTCTAATAATGACCTATATGAATTATTTATAGCATAATGAAAGCCACTAAATTATTTGCATCTTTTATTTATTTATTTATTTGGGATGGAGTCTCGCTCTGTCGCCCAGGCTGGAGTGCAGTGGTGCCATCTTGGCTCACTGCAACCTCCGCCTCCCGGATTCAAGCACGAGAAATTCTCCTGCCTCAGCCTCCCGAGTAGCTGGGACTACAGGAGTGTGCCACCACACCCAGCTAATTTTTTGTATTTGTAGTAGAGAGGGGGTTTCACCGTGTTAGCCAGGATGGTCTCAATCTTCTGACCTCGTGATCTACCTGCCTCTGCCTCCCAAAGTGCTAGGATTACAGGCGTGAGCCACTGCGCTCGGCCAATTACTTGCATTTTTAGGAGGCAATGCTGAAGAGAAAAATATAATGTTGTCTGCAATATGCATAACCTATGCAACCATACCATGATTCACCTTAAAAAGCTTACATGCATTCTAATGGGAAGATGATTATTTATGGTATGTATAAAGAAAAATAGTTTATAAAACACCACCATCTAAATTCAAAAGTTCAACCCGATTACCAAAGGATTTATATAAAATATAGACTCTACATTTAAATAAATATAAAATGTCTTAAAAACCTTGAAATATTTACTAAAATATATTATAAAACAGGGCTTGTAAAGTCATCCCTACAGAGGCAAGGGAGATGACCTGAGGAAGTGAAGTACCTAGGTAGGCACAGTAGCAAAATGGAGACCACATGCCTCATAGAAAGGGGCAACCTCTGCACAGCATCCAAAACCTGAGATAGGCTCAAGGGACACCAGATTGGATTCTTGAAGAGAAGCCTGGAATCCAGATCTGTGCACGAGTCTCCTAAACCTTCCATGTTGAGACAATTTGTAGACACAAACTAAACACATGTATGGGACACATTTGGACTATATACCTTGTATTTTTATATTTGCTATGGATATGTCTCCAAGCAATTGTATGTAACACAAGTATTTTCATGTAAAATACTTCCTTTCTTTAGTTTCAGATTTTTTTTTCCAAAATAGGCCCAAGAATACAATAAAAATTGTTACTAAGAGTCATAATACCCACTTTGAGCACTTTTACAACATTCATTCATTTATAATTTATGTTTAATTTTCCCAGATTGTTCACCAAATGGATAATTAGTTCATAAGACTGCTGCAACTAAATTATTAAAATAATATTAAATTATAATTCTAGTTTCTATATTGTAACCTAATTTTTTTATTTTAGGGAAAATATAAATCAGAAATAAAAATACAATGGCTTATCAATTAAAGCTCTAATAATGACCTATATGTATTCTTTGTATTCTTACTAACTTCATGGTTTTCAGTGTTTAAAACTGCTATCCTGATTATGCCACAGTTCTATGTACTTAACTGACATACTGAGGCAGTCCATAATAGAGCTTCAGCTTTAAAAAAAGGTTTAGAATTTTTTGCTATTGTAATTGAGAGAACCCCGCTTTTAATAATGATGTATTGACCTAATCACCAGAATGATAACAAAGAGACTCAGAGTCCTGAAAGAGTCAGTCTCTACTTATTAAAAGAGTCCACAATAGCAAATTTCTAATGACCCTATGAATGGCAGTGAATAAGTGATGGTGGCAAAGAAAAGGTGTTATTCTTATGCTGATAGATACTGCAAATAATAGTCCTTTCCACTTCCCAACCACAGAGGTAGAGACAGGTAAAAGTCAGGCCAATATTATTGGAAAGGAGAAATTTAAAGGAAGCAGCACCTATCTCCAGCTCTTCTAGAGATTTTTTGTGTGTTTGAGATATGGGAATTTATATTACACTTATCTATTCAGTGGTTCTTAACCAGCAGCGTATCAGTGTCCCAAGAAATGTTTTATTGTTGTTGTTGTTGTTGTGTTGTTGCTGTTAGAGGCAGTGTCTTAATCTGTTGCTCTGGCTAGAGGCACCACCATGCCCAGCTTCAAGGAAATATTTTAAAACATACATGCCCAGTAATATTTAATAGTAAATATTAGATTTACCATATTAAAATCTTCAGGGGATATCCTAGACTTAGAGATTTGCTTTTAATTTCCCCAGGTTACTGCCATGCACAATTCTAACTGCGAACCAGCACAGTTGATAATCACTTCAGTCTCATTTCTCACCCACGTGGCAAATTCCCTTTATCGTTTGGGATTTGGCCGAAAAGAGGAAAGAGCAAAAGATAGAGCCATTCACTGAAGACTTCATTTACTTTTCCTGGGTAGGGGTAGGGAAGAGACTAGTAAGCTCAAAATCCAACTTGATTTTACTATTTATAAGCTCCGTATCTCCCACCTGCCCATCAAGACATTCTGGACTTGAGAGTAGAGTTTAGATGCTTATCTGAGTGGCTGTTTCTGCCAGAATTGAATAATGTCCATTAATTATGTGTTCTTCTCTCTGCTGAACTGTGTGCCGCTTCATCACCACTATTCACTGCCAACCTGGTTTCCTCAGAGTCTTACCAAAATTGATCCCTGGGCAATTTCACAACTCACAAACTCTTTCCCAAAGTAAGAATAATCATCCCCAAAACTGAAGCGATCTTTGTCTAAACATATAAATTGAAAACAAACAACAAAACACACAAAAACCCTCTCCACAGTATTTTCCCTCATTACCTAATTTCCAAATTAGCTTGTGCATTTCTGATTGCTCTCCTTTTCTTCATTTTTCCCTCTTAAGCCTTTCCACAGAGGAATCACTTTCAAATGAAATCACCTTCACATACAACACTTTCAACAGCAACAACATGTACATTTATTGTGAAATTCTTTAATTTTCTTTGACATTTAAAATAAAGCCTATTTATAAGGGACAATTTTACTTTCCTGTGTCACTTCACACTGATTAGAAAAAAAGTAATTTAGTGGAAAAACACTTAACTATTACCTTTCCCAAATTCAGTTGTCATGAATTATAAATTTATTGTAATTCATTTGTTTTTATAGTTATTTACCATAAGTGCATGAAAAAAGGCTGTTCCCTATAATGCTTCTTTAAAAGTTCCAATATTTAAAGTAAAATCTTAGACAGTTAAGGCATTTCAAAATATTTTCATTCAAGGAATGTTTGAGCTTCCAAATATGAAAAATTGACCCTTACATGTGTCAATGTTAAAATAAATGCATTTCAGATAGTTTGAAAATAACATTGGTTGACCTATACCTTGCTGCATTCTTCAATATTTGTACCATGTGAAAGAAGTTTTTCTATCATGGATGTATCTTCATTATACACAGCGTAGTGCAGAGCAGTCCTTCCAAAGAAATCCGTAATATTTGGATTGGCGCCATTTTGCAGCAGAAGAGTTGCACAAGCCTCCTGCCTCAGTTGTACAGCCTGTCAGTATTAGACCGAGAAACATGCAAATACTGAAAAATCAAAATAAACACTCCGTAGGATTTCCTACTAGTTATATGGTGGTATTCCAATGAGATAAATTCATTTTATCCTATGTACTTCAACCAAATCCATCTCATGCTCAAAGAGTCAGCTACTATATACCTTGATCAGAGGTGTCCTGTCTTCACGGTCGCAGAGGTTAAGCTCACATCTTCTGGACACCAGGAGATGTACCATTTCCGGTTGGCCAGTGGCACAGGCCAAATGTAGGGCGGTCCTGTGAGAGTGACAGGACTTTTTAAAACATGTAACTGTAAGCATTAATTAGCATGTCATTTCTCTGTCTTCAAAACAAATATGTAATTTTCTTGTGAAGAAAGTACAACATTTGTTAGCGCTTATTACTCACCACATTAATGAAAGAGCAGGCTATTTAATAGAAAAGCCTTGGCTTTTGGATTCAGTTTAATTGGGGCTTAAAATTTACTGTAAGCTCTGTCACTTAGCTGTTATTTAGCCTTTCTTTGCTTCAATTTCCTTATCAATAAAATATATAAGAGAATAGTAGCTAGCCCACAGAACACTGCTGTGATGCTTACATAAGAATCTATGCACAGCATTTAGAACACTTTCTAACACAAATAACAGCTCAATAATTTTTAGATATTACTACCTACAAAGACATTTTAATTAAGTAAAATGATACAATCATATCTACATTGAGGTATCTATTAAAGATTAGATGTATCATTGTATTTCAGTCATTCTCAGATGCTCATTTTCTCACCATTCTCTTATATAAGCTACTATTCTCTTATATATTAACATCTCCTGACATTGGAATACTGTTTACAATTAATTGTTTATTACATTTATAACTGGCAACATTTTAAACATTATCTTATTGATATATAAAGTAATGTGGCATCACCCAATCCGTGATGCCTTACATTAAGTGGGATACAGTACATAGAACAGGCAGTTCTACTCATATAATTGGCACCTAAATAAAGTACTGTGGAAAAAGAAGGCAAAAATAAAAAAACAAATTTTTAAAACAAAGTAATTCTCACTTCAATTTAAAAAAAAAAATAATCCAAAGAAAACTCAGGATTCAAATGAATAGGTATGGCCCATTTTTTTCAATACTTACAGAATGTTATGTAAATTAGGTATTTGCAACGATTAATAGTAGTATTTGAGAGTGTCATAAGTTTCTGAAATGGCAGTTAAAGGTTATCTTTCACTATTTTCTAACTTCAGAATTGCTTTTGTTTAAAAAAAAAAAAAAAAGGAATAAAAGATCCAACTGGGATTAAGTCCTAACGCTTCCATTTTAAATCTCAGCTTGCTCAGGCTGGGCAGGTAAACATGAAGTTGTTAAGGGTGGAAGAGTCCTGAGAGATGGTGGAATCTGTCTGCTACATAATAGGTATTCAGGTTATGCTTGATGAATAACTGGATTGAAAGAATGCATACATACAGTTGGGAAGTTTATTATGAAAAAAACTATAAATTAAAGCAGTGCTTTTGGAATAGTGATAATCACTTATATTTGCTCATTTTCATTTTCATGAGGACACTGATAAACTAAAATAATTAATTTAAAATTGTTTCCTTATATGTAATAAAACTATAATAAAAACCTATTTATGTACTAAAATCTATGCATAATAAAATAATCAAGCACAAATAAAAATATTCCCTCTGCCTCTGAAGAGGCTAAAAGTTCACAGAAGATACCAATAAACAAAAAAATAAAAATAAGGCCAGGCACAGTGGCTCACACCTGTAATCCCAGAACTTTGGGAGGCCGAGGCACGGGGATCACCTGAGGTCAGGAGTCTGAGACCAGCCTGGCCAACATGGTGAACCCCGTCTTTACTAAAATATACAAAAATTAGCTGGGCATGGAGGCGCACACCTGTAATCCCAGCTACTCAGGAGGCTGAGGTGGGAGAATCACTTGAACCTGAGAGGCAGATTGCAGTGAGCCGAGATCATGCCACTGCACTCCAGGCTGGGCAACAGGGTGAGACTCCATCTCAAAAATAAACAAACAAACAAAGACATAAATAATAAAATAAAATAGAAACTGAGAATTATTTTTTCTTTGCAAGATTTATATTTCTTCTTTTTCCAAGGATAATTTCATTAATAAAAAACATTTACTAGAAGTTTTAAACATACTGATCATTTATACATCACAGATAAGAGAAAATATCACAATACACCTGCCAGAAAAGAAGAAATGTTACATTTTGTACACATATTTGGCTTACAAACACCATAGATTGTTTGTGTGTATGTATAATCAAACCAACTTTTTTTCAGAGTACATCTTCACACCTCAACATACATCTGTATCTACTGACATCTGCAAAGGTCCCATATTGTCCCATCCTATGGATGCACTGAAATTTATTGATAAATTTATAAAATTTATAAAATCCATTATAAGGGGTTTTCCAAATACATTGCTATTTTAAGCAGTGCTGAGAAAAACAAATTGCATGTATCTCTATTTCCTAGAGATATTTTAGTATAATGGAATTGATGGGTGAAGGGCACATACATTTTTACAGTGTGATACTTACCAAAAAATTGTCTATTTGAAAAGTCATCAGAAATGTAAACTTTCAACAGCAGTATATGTACTGCTACCCTTTACCCTCACAAACTTGTGATAGAAAATAGTATTTCATTCCTTTTTTAACTTAAATACCTTCTCCTCCCAGGAACACTAAATATTTTTTCCCATGTGCATAGGTTGCTTGAACATCTGAAAAATAAATGCTTTGCTCTATTTTAAATGAGAGTTCTTGTTTATTTGAAGAATTCTCTGTAAAATGAAAATCACTTTTTTATCTAATATGTATATACACATATTGTCTTTTGTTAATTTTTTCTTATAAACTGGATTTTTTTTATTTTGCTAAATCGACCTTCAGAATGTGTGCTTGTGATATTTGTAGGAATATAAACATGCATCAATATAAGTAGGCATTTGTGTTTTTTTCTGTTATCTTTCTTATTTTGTGCATTTAAAATTTTTAATCTACATTCCATAACGAATTTATTTCTGTGACATAAAAATCTAGCCAGATTTCTCCAAATAGTTAGCAGGCACTTCATTTATGAGTAATTCATCTTTTCCTACTAATATGAAATGTCACCATTATCCAATTCTATTAGATTGGTGCAAAGGCAATTGCGGCTTTCGCCATTACTTGTAATTGCGGCAAAAACCGCAATTGCTTTTGCACCAACCTAATAAATTCTTACACATATTGGTGTGTTCCTGGATTTTCTAACCTGTTCCATTCACTGATTTGTTGTTTCAGCTGTTAGTAAATAACTTGTGGAAATTAACAGCACATTTTCATATCTAGAAAGGCAAGTCTTTTTTGACTCCATTTCAAAAGTTTTCTTGATGTCGTCACAATAGTAAAAGACAGCATGAGTAATTCAAAAATGTTAACACTTTGATAACTTTATTTGGATTATGTAAAATTTATAAACACAGAAAGAGCTCAGAACTTTAGAAAAATGTGTCTTTCTATTCAAGAACACAGACCATCTTCCCACTTCAAAGTTTCCCTCTAAGGTCCCTCAGTGAAAACCAAATTGACATAGGTGTCCATTGATATCAAATAAATATTGGATTTTTATCCAAAGAATTTTTAGCCAGGAAGTTGATATATTATGGAAATGATTTCTCTCATTATGCACCTTTCCATAATGTATGTAACATTATGCTTTAAAATGTGCACGTTAAAAATAAAACGCTGTACATGCTGAATTTTATTAGTGAAATCACTTTAAAATGATTTATAAAGAAGCAGCATGGTGAGTGATTGGAAACCAGCTGAAGTTTTGTTTTTGTTTTGCTGCTTGTGAAAATGACCTGGGTGCTCGCCCCCGCCAAGGTTTCCACATCCCAGGTGCGGCTGAGCCTGCCAGGAAAGAAAGTCCAGCCCCTTTGGTGACAGGACTCGCCCCCCTCACCTCTGCACCCCTTTCCCCCACCCCATTCACCCCCACCCCTCACCCCCACCTCCAGTCCTCTATCCCATTGAACCCTCACCCCATCTCCCCACCCCACACCGTCCACGCCCCTACCCCCCAAGCCTTCATTCCGTCCACCTCAGCCCATTCACGCCCCCACCCCATGCACCCCCTACTCCCCACTCCCATCCCCCAACTCACTCCACACCCCGCCACCCCATATACCGCCACTCCCCAGGCCCCGCTCCACTCACTCCCACCCCAGCCGGGCACCCCCTAGCCCCCGTCCAAACCCCGAGCCCCGGACCATCCGCCCCGCAGCCCTCAGCCTGGAAAGGGGTACTTCTCCACATCCACAGGCCTCCTCCCGCAGCCCCGGCTCCCGGCCCCCATTACCTTTCCTTCCTGTCTCTCTTATTGGCGTCATAATACGTGAGCAGAAGGTACTTCAGTTTCTCTAGATTACCATGTAAGACAGCTCTGTGGATCCTCTTCAGATGATACGGTTTAATGGGGTATTGGGGAAATGCGAAGCCATCCGAGCACAAGCGCTCCATGAGGGTGGGCCACCTCTCCCGCTTGCCGTCTTCCATAATCGTCGGCTGCAAATTGTAGCCTGCAGCCGTATTTCAGCTCGCCTTCGGGGATCGCCGCCTCCGAAGAGCAACAACGAGCAAAGCAGTCTGTCCACGGACCTCCGCACAGACTCTCAGCGCCTCCCGCCTCTCAGCAGAAACGCCCAACAGAAGGGTTAGAACCAGCGAGCACGCGCACCTTAGCCGGCCCTGCCCAACAGGCCCGAGGCAGAGAAACCGCCCTAGCAGCTCTCGCGCGCCCAGTGCAGGCGGCGGTTGCTGCGGAGGTGCCGCGGGAGGGCGGGGCTCCCTGGAGCGCGAGGCGCGCCCTGCCCCAGGGCCTGTTTAACTGTCGCCCGCGCGCTCTTCTCTTCCACAGGCTCCCGACGCTCGGAGTCCCCCGCGCTGGGCCCTCTGCAGCCCAGGGATGGGGTTGAGTGGTGCTTCTCCGCCTGGTGCCACCGCTGGGCCCACAGCCCCACTTCGCCACTGCGTCGCCCCCGGGGTCCGCGCTGATGGGTGCGAGGCGGGAGGACGGGATCCGGGGTTGCCACAGCTGCAGCCAGCGCACCACTTGTAGGCGGCACTGCAGCTCGGGCTCCGGCGGGGGCTGGCGGGGCTCCCGTGGGATGGCCTCCTGGGCCCTGAGTGCGCCCCCATCCGGCCGGAGGGTGCGCGCCTCCTGCACCCCCGGCGGAAGCCCATGCCCGGCGCTCCTGCCGCAGACTGCCTGACTTGCCGCGGCCAGGCTGGCCCCGGGGTCCGCGCGGCTGGAGGCGCAGGCCTGGTCGGGGATTCCCAATCCTCGGGGACCCCTGCTCCATGTGCTGGTGGCGGCTGCAGCTGCAGCGCCCGTGGGCTGACGTGGCTTCCCGGAGCTGCGGCCGGCCGCGCCCAAGGGCCCCACAGGCTGCGCTGCCCTTGCCAGCTGCTCCTGACCCGCGCCCAGAGCGCAGGACCTGACGCTTGGCACTCTGCAGCCACGGGGATGAGGCTGAGCGCCTGTTTTCGGCCTCGTGGCGCCGCTGGGGCCACAGCCTGACTTCACCACCCTGTCGCCCGAGTCCTGTGATGGGCAGGTGTGAGGAGGGGCAATCGGGGTTCCCAAGGCTGCTGCCTGCATGCCACTCCGTGAGGAAGTTGAAATACGTGATCTCTAAGATTCCTCCCAGTTCTTCACCTCATGAGACAAATATAAATCAAGTAACATTCGCTATTGTGATTAGAAAAGCTGCATTTACACACGTTAGCCACTAGATGGGGACGTGCGATTGTTACAATGCTGAAGGTTTCCCGTATTTCTTTATTTTTTATTTGGCCGCTAGAGGGCACGCCTGCACTGCACTTAAAGCTGACTATTAAGGAAAGACAAAGGAATTCTTGGATTTTTCCATTTTCCTCATCACCTGTGCTTATCAGAGAATTCCAGGGGCAAGCTACCCTTTCCAATTCATCACTAATTTATAAACAAAATTCTAAGGAGTAAGGAATGCTTCTTACTTACTTCCTATAACATATTTAAGAATGAACGCTCAAAATAAAAGTAATTTATTTAAAACGTGTTGAGTAATTATAACTGCAAAATTTTTGCTCATGTTTTTCATATGCTGTTCATTTGCAAATTATTAGAAATCTACATATTCTGTTCATCTCAGCATTATTTATAACAGGGAAAAATTAGACACTAGCCAAAAATCTAAAAACAGGGAACAGTAAGGAAAAAACAAATGGTTCTTTTAATCATCATCACTAAAAGTGCTTGTGACTTAAAATAATGACATAAAAGATGCTTCTACGTTGTTGAGTAAAACATCAAGATAAATTTAAAATTCTATTTCAAGCTTAACTATATTCATTTAAAAAGAGAAAAATTTTAGAGGGTTTATCTTGTTGGATTATCAGATGTTATTTTTCTCTTTTTAATGCCATATACTTTTCAAATTTTCAGTGGGCTGGTATTACTTTTGTATTTAAAAAAGAAAAATATAAGGAAAAAGAAACCTGTCACACACTTTTTAGTGGATTTTACTGATCAGTCATCTCTGTATTTCTGGCATCAGCAAACTGAGCCAGAAACTCAGTGCCTCCCATTTCTTTCTTTTTTTTTTTTTTTTTAGACGGAGTCTTGCTCTGTCGCCCAGGCTAGAGTTCAGTGGCTCAAACTTGGCTCGCTGCAACCTCTGCCTCCCAGGTTCAAGTGATTCTTCTGCCTCAGCCTCCCAATTAGCTGGGATGACAGGTGCCCACCACCGCACCCGGCTAATTTTTCTATTTTAGTAGAAACAGGGTTTCACCATCTTGACCAGGCTGGTCTCGACTCCTGACCTTGTGATCCACTGGCCTCGGCCTCCCAAAGTGCTGGGATTAACAGACCTGAGCCACCGCGCCAGGCCAAGTGCCTCCCATTTCTTGTATTTACCTTTAAAACTCCTGCAATGAAGGACTCCCTCCTCCCTCATCTAACCTATTATGTGTGTGGTGAGTTCTGACTATGATATCATTCCTGATGTGAAACCGAAGTCTCTCTCTTCTAAGTCCATCCATTGGTTCAGTTCTGTCTTCTGACAGAGTCCACGCCAGACTTCACATTTCTCCCAATCGTCTTTGTCCTACAAGGGCTTTCTATTCTTCAAGCTAAAGAGATACCAGTGATTCCATTCGTTCATTCAGTTAACGTTTAGGGGCCACATCTTGTGCTATGTCCTGAGATTTGCCAATGAGCAGAGCTCAGAGTATTGAAAAGACAAACACATACACCAGGCATTTTACTATGCTGTGTTGTGTGCATGACAGGAGCACACAGGGCATCCAGGCACCAGTGAGAAGGGCCATTCACCAGACTTGAGAGGTCAGCAAGGGTGCTCTGAGGAAACACCTTCTAAACTGAGAGCTGGAAAGAGTGAGACAGGAAAGCAGTAAGAGGTAGCGTTCTGAGGAGGAAATCTCCGAGGTGGGACAGGGATGCGTGTGGAGAGAATGCCCTTCCCATCCCCACTCTTCATGAAGTCTCTACTCTGTCAGGGTCTCTCTGCCCTGTGAGCTGCTTGAGGACAAAGACTGTTTTATAAAAATTTTTATTTCCTCCCTCTGTCTTCCTTAAACACCTAGCCCAGTGCCTGGAACATAAGAAGCCATAATGAATTTTTGTTAGATGAGTGAAGAGTGCTGAGTAGAGCAGAAATGTCACATGCCTCAGTTTAAATATGGGTCATCAGTTTTCTTTCTTTTTTAACATAGAAGTCAAGACTTGATGATCTCTTACAGCTTCGAGATGCTATTAAAGATATAATCATCCTCATGTATTTGAGCTTTGTTTTCACCCATTATGTTATGACTGCTGTCCATTGTTCCATGACACAATTCTCCATCTTTCCTCATTTTCTTCCATTTCAATTAACTCATTTATTTACATGTGGGAATGGAACATACAACGTAAAATCCACAAGTAAGACTTCCCAGATCCTCAGCTTCTTTCTCTGGCATTAGCCACTGTTTCTACTTTCATGAGCATCTGCTATGGTTTGAATGTATCCCCTCCAGAAATCAAATATTACAAATGTGATAGTATTAAGAGGTGGGGACTTTTGGAGGTGATTAGGCTATGAGGGCTCTGCCTTCATGAATAGGATTAAATATGCTTAGAAAAAGGAATGATGGAGGAAGTTAGACTCCTTTTGCCCTTCAGTCTCCTGCCATGTGAGGACACAGCACTCCTCCTCTCTGGAAGATGCAGCCTTCAAGGCGACATCTTGGAAACAGAGACCAGACACTCACCTGACAATGAATCTAATGGCCCCTGGATTTTGGACTTCCCAGCCTCCAGAACTGTGAAAAAACCAAATTTCTGTTGTTTATAAATTACTCAGTCTATGGTATTCTCTCATAGCAGCCCAAAACAGACAAGACTGTAGGAAATCAATTTGTATTCAGCACATCAACAAAATTCTTTACAAATGGGACTCCCCCCAATAGGTGGGTGTCACTAAAGAGAGGTGCCCATAAGCATGAGACAATGACCACGTGGCATGAGCAACGAACTACGATGAATGAGCACGTTACCACCACTAAAGACAAAACTTACATGACTAGATGACAACAAAATAATTTCTTATAATGAATTTCTCATTGTATTTTTTCTTAACCTTCCCTCCATTTAGTCAGGAATCTGGCTCTGACTCACACCTGAAGGACAGACAAGGACTTTTGTTTCCAAAAGCATAAACTGAAAGGAGAACTCGCAGAGTCTACAGAAAAGAGAAAAGACATTTGTCAACAGGGAGTGTTTATCTTTTTTAACTGGAGGGAGAGAGCAGGGATGAGGAGAGGAGATGCCTTCGGTATTGGAAAAAAACAATATTGTAGAGTTTTCCATCCCGGTACTAACAAAATTATAAAGGCCAATAAGAAATAACTGATAGCAATAAAACAAGGAAAGGGGCATAGCCTAATACAGTAAAGAAACTGGTGACTCAAAGAGAGAAAGGAAAAGAACATTCTGGAGCAAAATAGAGAGGGTCAGCATTTAGCTCCTAAGTTCCTCTTCCATCCTCCAGCCCCACCCTCCACATCCACCTCCAAATCCGGTGATTTTGAGCATAGTGAAGCACACTGACACTGAAGGGTGTCCTTATACGATCCTTCACTTGCTGGTGACTGGTGGAAACAGATGCTGGGGAGAAACAGGAGAAACAAGGTGGAGGGACATCAGGGTGCACTTCCTCTAAGAGAAGTCAAGGCTACACATGGAATGAGGAAAGCAAACCAATGCCCAGGGGAGTCCTCATGGTACTGAAACAGGAAGAGCCATCTGTTGCCCAAGCATTCTAACCAATGCTCAGAGCCCTCAGCCGCCCTTTCCCTCTACTGTCTCCTCATTCCCTTGGGCTACCAGGAAAAGTGGAGATGTTAATGGGCTCCAATCAAAGGCCACCATGAACACATCTGTAGTTGAAGAAGTGAGTTATTACTGGTTAAGTGAGGGAGAATACAAACTACAGGGAACAGTGGGGTGTCTCACTAAGAGGACATCAGAAAGGACTTAGAGGATTTGGGGTTGTGTTAGGCAATAATCTGGGAGAAGGGTTTAAGGAAATGGGGCTTTGTTCTGAATTGGGTGTTGTCAGGAAGTGGGGGTAATTCTAGCATAGCAGGGTATCTTAATAAATCTTATGTAGAAAGATGTAAACCTGTATTAAAGCCTTAATGGGTTAAGGCTATAATTGGTAAAGAACGTTAAAGCTGTAGTTGGTGAAGAAACAGTAGTTACTCTTCTTAGCTAGAATAGAGACATTGGTCATTTGTGTGATATGAACAATGCTCATGCTTTGCTCATGCTCAGACATGATTATGAAGAGGTCTTGTTTTTGTCTTAAGTATTGGCACAAAATGATATGGTATGAAGCAGATGTTCTATGGAATTGTTTATGCTCACAAGAGAACATCAACATCCATCTGTGGGTGCCAGGCAGCTCACAGCATCGCCAACTCCCGGCAGATAGGACCAGGTCAACTCCTGGCTGCCAGACACACCTCTTCTCTTTCTCAGAGGAACACAAAATACCCAATGCTCATTCTGTAGCTCAACAGGAAAACACATTCTCAGGTGAGCTGGAAAGAAAGTCGCTCATCTAATAATGACACAATTTTAAAAGACTGGTCAATTCAACTACATCAAAGACAAACAAAACAAAATTTTTTGCATGGCAAGAAAAGACTACCACCACAGTCAGAAAACAAATGAAAGAGTAGGAAAATAGGTTTGCAACTTATATCATAGACAAAGGGGTGCTATCTCTCATATACAAATAGTTCTTACAAATTTAGGGGAAATAGACCAACAATATATTGAAAAAATTAAAAAGATACGCATAGAGATTTCATAGGAAAATAATTGGAAGTTGATCTTAAACATGTGAAAAGTTACGCAACATGGCTCATAAGAAGATAAGTGTAAATTAAACATATTTCTATGCTCTGTTGTTAGGTGCATACACACATGCAGGATTGTCATGTCTTCTTGGAGAATTGACTCCTTTTTCTTAGGTAATGTCCTTCTGTATCTATGGTAACTTTTATTGCTCTTTAAGGCTGCTCTGCCTGAAATTAATAGAGATATGTTGGGGGTGTTTTTGATAAGTGTTAGTATGGTATATCTTTCTGCATCCCTTTAATTTATGCAGGTGCATCTTTATATTTAGAATGTGTTTCTTGTAGACTACATATAGTTGAGTCCGACTTTTTAATCTACACTGACAATCTCTTTTATTTTATTTCTGTCTTCCCACCTTTTATTTTAGGTTCAAAGGGTACGTACGTGCGAAGGTTTTTTTTTCTCATATGATTTTTTATTATACTTTAAGTTCTAGGGTACCTGTGCACAACGTGCAGGTTCGTTACATATGTATACATGTGCCATGATGGTGTGCTGCACCCATTAACTTGTCATTTACATTAGGTATATCTCCTAATGCTATCCCTCCCCCCTCCCCTCACCCCATTGACAGGTCCTGGTGTGTGATGTTCCCCATCCTGTGTCCAAGTGTTCTCACTGTTCAGTTCCCAACTATGAGTGAGAACATGCGGTGTTTGGTTTTCTGTCCTTGTGATAGTTTACTCAGAATGATGGTTTCCAGCTTCATCCATGTCCCTACAAAGGACATGAACTCATCCTTTTTTATGGCTGCATAGTATTCCACGGTGTATATTTGCCACTTTCTTTAATCCAGTCTATCATTAATGGACATTTGGGTTGGTTCCAAGTCTTTGCTATTGTGAATAGTGCCACAATAAACATAAATATAAAGCATGTGTCTTTATAGCAGCATGATTTCTAATCCTTTGGGTATATACCCAGTAATGGGATCACTGGGTCAAATGGTATTTCTAGTTCTAGATCCTTGAGGAATTGCCACACTGTCTTCCACAATGGGTGAACTAGTATACAGTCCCAGCAACAGTGTAAAAGTGTTGCTATTTCTCCATATCCTCTCCAGCACCTGTTGTTTCCTGACTTTTTTAATGATCGCCATTCTAACTGGCATGAGATGGTATCTCATTGTGGTTTTGATTTGCATTTCTCTGATGGCCAGTGATGATGAGCATTTTTTCATGTGTCTGTTGGCTGTGTAAATGTCTTCTTTTGAGAAGTGTCTGTTCATATCCTTCGCCCACTTTTTGGTGGGGTTGTTTGATTTTTTTCTTGTGAAATTGTTTAAATTCTTTGTAGATTCTGAATATTAGCCCTTTGTCAGATGGGTAGATTGTAAAAATTTTCTCCCATTCTATAGGTTGCCTGTTGACTCTGATGGTAGTTTCTTTTGCTGTGCAGAAGCTCTCTAGTTTAATTAGATCCCATTTGTCAATTTTGGCTTTTGTTGCCATTGCTTTTGGTGTTTTAGTCATGAAGTCCTTGCCCATGCCTATGTCCTGAATGGTATTGCCTAGGTTTTCTTCTAGGGTTTTTATGGTTTCAGGTCTGACATTTAAATCTTTAATCCATCTTGAATTAATTTTTGTATAAGGTATAAGGAAGGGATCCAGTTTCAGCTTTCTACATATGGCTAGCCAGTTTTCCCAGCACCATTTATTAAATAGGGAATCCTTTCCCCATTTCTTGTTTTTGTCAGGTTTGTCAAAGATCAGATGGTTTTAGATGTGTGATATTATTTCTGAGGGCTCTGTTCTGTTCCATTGGTCTATATCTCTGTTTTGATACCAGTACTATGGTGTTTTGGTTACTGTAGCCTTGTAGTATAGTTTGAAGTCAGGTAGTGTGACACTTCCAGCTTTGTTCTTTTGGCCTAGGATTGTCTTGGCAATGCGGGCTCTTTTTTGGTTCCATATGAACTTTAAAGTAGTTTTTTCCAATCCTGTGAAAAAAGTCATTGGTAGCTTGATGGGGATGGCATTGAATCTATAAATTACCTTGGGTAGTATGGCCATTTTCATGATATTAATTCTTCCTATCCATGAGCATGGAATGTTCTTCCATTTGTTTGTGTCCTTTTTTATTTTGTTGAGCAGTGGTTTGTAGTTCTCCTTGAAGAGGTCCTTCACATCCCTTGTAAGTTGGATTCCTAGGTATTTTATTCTCTTTGAAGCAATTGTGAATGGGAGGTCACTCATGATTTGGCTCTCTGTTTGTCTGTTATTGGTGTATAGGAATGCTTGTGGTTTTTGCTCATTGATTTTGTATCCTGAGACTTTGCTGAAGTTGCTTATCAGCTTAAGGAGATTTTGGGCTGAGACAATGGTGTTTTCTAAATATAAAATCATGTCATCTGCAAACAGGTTAATTCCTATAAACCAAGCTGACCTAATAGCCATCTATTTGGCTATTTAAGGTTAAATATTGTTTAACCTTAAATATGACATTTAAGGTTAATATTGTTATGTGTGAATTTGATCCTGTCATTGTTATAATGTTAGGTGGTTAATTTGCTCGTTAATGGATGCAGTTTCTTCCTAGCATTGATGGTCTTTACAATTTGGCATGGTTTTGCAGTGGCTGGTACTGGTTGTTCCTTTACATGTTTAGTGCTTCCTTCAGGAGCTCTTGTAAGGCAGGCCGGGTGATGACAAAATCTCTCAGCATTTTCTTGTCTGTAAGGGATTTTATTTCTCCTTCACTTATGAAGGTTAGTTTGGCTGGATATGAAATTCTGGGTTGAAAATTCTTTTCTTTAAGAATGTTGAATATTGGCCCCCACTCTCTTCTGGCTTGTAGAGTTTCTGCCGAGAGATCTGCTGTTAGTCTGATGGGCTTCCCTTTGTGGGTAACCCGACCTTTCTCTCTGGCTGCCCTTAACATTTTTTCCTTCATTTCAACTTTTGGTGAATCTCCAAGACAATTATGTGTCTTGGAGTTGCTCTTCTCAAGAGTATCTTTGCGGTGTTCTCTGTATTCCTGAATTTGAATGTTGGCCTGCCTTGCTAGGTTGGGGAAGTTCTCCTGGATAATATCCTGAAGAGTGTTTTCCAACTTGGTTCCATTCTCCCCGTCACTTTCAGGTATACCAATCACATGTAGATTTGGTCTTTTCACATAGTCCCACATTTCTTGGAGGCTTTGTTCATTTCTTTTCACTCTTTTTCTCTAAACTTCTCGCTTAATTTCATTCATTTGATCTTCAGTCACTGATACCCTTTCTTCCACTTGATCGAATAGGCTACTGAAGCTTGTGCATGCATCATGTAGTTCTCATGCCATGGTTTTCAGCTCCATAAGGTCATTTAAGGTCTTCTCTACACTGCTTATTCTAGTTAGCCATTTGTCTAATCTTTTTTCAAGGTTTTTAGCTTCTTTGCGATGGGTTCGAACATATTCCTTTAGCTCAGAGAAGTTTTTTGTTTTTTGTTTTTTTTTTTTTTTGAGAGGGAATCTCACTCTGTCACCCAGGCTGGAGTGCAGTGGCACAATCTCGACTCACTGCAAGTTCCACCTCCCGGGTTCTGGCCATTCTTCTGCCTCAGCCTCCTGAGTAGCTGGGACTACAGGTGCCTGCCACCATGCCCAGCTAATTTTTTGTAATTTTAATAGAGACAGGGTTTCACCATCTTAGCCAGGATTGTCTCGATCTCCTGACCTTGTGATCCACCCGCCTTGGCCTCCCAAAGTGCTGGTATTACAGGCATGAGCCACCACGCCCAGTGGAGAAGTGTGTTGTTATCGATCATCTGAAGCCTTCTTCTCTCAACTCCTCAAATTCATTCCCCATCCAGCTTTGTTCCATTGCTGGCGAGGAGCTGCATTCCTTTGGAGAAGAGGTGCTCTGATTTTTAGAATTTTCAGCTTTCTGCTCTGGTTTCTCCCCATCTTTGTGGTTTTATCTACCTTTGGTCTTTGATGATGGTGACGTACAGATGGGGTTTTGGTGTGGATGTCCTTTCTGTTTGTTAGTTTTCCTACTAACAGTCAGGACCCTCAGCTGCAGGTCTGTTGGAGTTTGCTGGAGGTCCACTCCAGACCCTGTTTGCCTGGGTATCACCAGCGGAGGCTGCAGAACAGCAAATATTGCAGATCGGCAAATGTTGCTGCCTGGTCCTTCCTCTGGAAGCTTCATCTCAGAGGGGCACCTGGCCGTATGAGGTGTCAGTTGGCCCCTACTGGGAGGTGCCTCCTGGTTAGGCTACTTGGGGTCAGGGACCCACGTGAGGAGGCAGTCTGTTCATTCTCAGATCTCAAACTCTGTGCTGGGAGAACCACTACTCTCTTCAAAGCTGTCAGACAGGAACGTTTTCACATGTGAAGGTTTATTATTACATCAGTAAACTGTATGTCATAGGAGTTTGGTGTACTGGCCATTTTGTTCCACAAGTAATAAGCAGAGTACTCAATAGGTAGTTTTTCAATCCTCACCCTCCTCCCAACCTCCACCCTTAAGTAGGCCCCGGATGTCTGATGTTCCCTTCTATGTGTCCATGTATACTCAGTGTTTAGCTCCCACTTATAAGTGAGAACATTCATTACTTGGTTTTCTGTTCCTGTGTTAATTCACTTAAGATGATGGCCTCCAGCTCTATCCATGTTGCTGCAAAGGACATTGATTGCATTCCTTTTTATGGCTCTGTGGTATTCCATAGTGTGTATATAGTCTATCATTGATGGGCATCTAGGTTGATTCCATGTCTTTGCTATTGTGAATAGTCCTGCGATGAACATATGCCTGTATGCGTCTTTATGGTAGAATGGTTTATATCCCTTTGGGTATACACTCAGAAATGGAATTGCTGGGTTGAATGGTAGTTTTGTTTTAAGTTCTTTGATAAATCTCCAGACTACTTTTCACAGTGGCTGAACTAATTTATGTTCTGACCAGCAGTGTATAAGCATTCTCTTTTCTCCACAACCTCTCCAGCATCTGTTATTTTTTTACCTTTTATAATAGCCATTCTGACTGTTGTGAAATGGTATCTCATTGTGGTTTTGATATTTAGTACTTTTTCATATGTTTGTTGGCTGTGCAGGTGTCTTTTGAGAAGTGTGTGTTCATGTCCTTTGCCCATTTTTAGTGGGGTTGTTTGTTTTTTCCTTGTTGATTTAAGTTCCTTATAGATTCTAGATATTAGACTTTTGTTAGATGCATAGGTTGTAAACATTTGCTTTCATTCTATAGGTTGTGTGTTTACCCTGTCGATAGTTTTTTTGCTTTGCAGAATCTCTGTCTTAGTTGGTGTATTTAGACCACTGCATTCAAAATGATTATTGACATAGTTAGAGTAATATCTACCTTATCTGTTACTGTTTTTCTATTTGTTGCCTTTTTATTTGTTCCTATATTTTTGTCTTCCACTCTTTTTTTGCCTTTTGTGACTTTAGTTCCACATTTTATATGACCAAAAAATAAATACATTGTCAACATATTTCTGCTATGGTCTCAATATGTTCCCTTGAAATTTAATCACCAATATAAGAAGTGAGGCCCTTAGGAGGTGATTAAGTCATAAGGGTGGAGCCCTCATTAGTGGATTAGTGCTGTAATAAAACAGGTGAGAGGGGGCTATTCACCTTTTCCACCACACAAGGACACAGCAAGAAGGTACCATCTTGGAAGCAGAGAGTGAGCCCTTATCAGACACCAAATCTGCTCTTGCCTTGATCTTGGACCTCCCAGCCTCCAGAACTATGAAAAATAAATTTCTCATAATTATAAATTATGCAGTCAAAATTATTTTGTTATAGCAGCCCAAGTGGAAGAAGGCAACTTCTTTAAAAAAAAAATACTTTTCTTCTTATTTTTTTCACTTCTTTTAGTGTTTTCCTTAGATTTGCAATATACATCTACAACTAATGCAAATCCATTTTCAAATATCATATACTACCTCATGGGTTGTACCAAGTACCTTATAATAACAAAATAATCCCAATTCCTGCCTCCTATCTCTTATATCACTACTGTCATTCATTTCACTTATACATAAATGTACTTAAGTATATATGTTTCTGTAGATATATATACACATATATGAATACATAATTGAATACATTCTTGCTATTATTATTTTGAACAAACTGTTATCTGTTAGATCAATTTGGAATAAAAAAATAAGTTACTATTTTATCTTCACTCATTCCTTCTTCAGTGCTCTCTTTCTTTATATAGATCCAAGTTTCTGACTTGTATGTTTTTCTTTCCCTTGGAAGAACTTCTTTCAGTATTTCTTACAAGGCACATGTACTAACAATAAATTCCCTCAATTTTTGTTTGTCTGAGAAAGTCTGTATTTATTCTTCAGTTTTGAGGAATAATTTTACAGTGTACAGAATTCAAGGTTGTGTATTTTTTTCACTCAAGATGTTAAATATTTCACTTCACACTCTTCTTGTTTGCATGGTTTCCGAGGAGAAGACAGATGTTATCCTTATCTTTGCTCCCTATAGGTAAGGTGGCTTTTTCCTCTGGCTTCTTTCAATAGTTTTTGTTTGTTTGTTTCTTTGTTTGTTTGGAAAAGAGTCTCACTTTGTCACCAGGCTGCAGTGCAGTGGTGCAATGTCAGCTCACTGCAACCTTGCAACCTTCACCTCCTGGGTTCAAGCGAATCTCCTGTCTCAGCCTCCCAAGTAGCTGGGATTACAGGCGCCCACCATTTATGTCCAGCTAATTTTTGTGTTTTTGGTAGTGATGAGGTTTTGCCATGTTGGCCAGGCTGGCTCAAACTCCTGACCTCAAGTGATACACCCACCTTGACCTCTGATCAACCTGCCTTGGCCTCCAGTAGTGTTTTATTTATCTTTGATTTCTACTTTGAATATGCTATACCTGGGTGGAGTTTTTTGGCATTTATTCTGGTTGGTGTTCACAGAGCTTCCTGGATCTATGGTTTGGTGCCTGATATTAATTTGGTGAAAATCTCTGTCATTATTCTTTTTTTGTTTATTTATTTAAAAGGTGGGGTCTCGCTGTGTTGGTCAGGCTGGAGTGCAGTGGCCTTTCACAGGTGTGGTCAGCAAGGAAATTTTGACCTGCTCCGTTTCTGACCTGGGCCAGTTCTCCCCTCCTTAGGCAACCTGGTTATCCGCCTTTCCCCAGAGGTCACCATACTAATGCCAAACTTAGTGCAGACACCCAATCGGCATAGTGCATTGCAGCCCAGAACTCCTGTACAGACTCAAGCGATCCTCCTGCCTCAGCCTCCCAAGTACCTGGGACTACAGGTGTGTGCCACCACATCTATTTATTTTTTGAGACAGGGTCTCACTCTGTCACCCAGGCTGGAGTGCAGTGGTGCAATCATGGCTCACTGCAGATTTGACCTCCCGGGCTTACATGATCCTTTCACCTCACCCCACCGAGTAGATGGGACCAGAGGTGTGCACCATGCACCCCTAATTTTTTAATTTTCTTGTAGAGATGGGGTCTCCCTATGTTGCTCAAGCTATTATTATTTTAAATATTTTTTCTGTTTCTTTCTCTTCTCTTTGTTTCTCTTCTCTTTCTTGCATCCCCATTATGTGTATGTTATTTTTTTTCATAGTTGTCGCACAGTTCTTGAATAGTCTGTTTCACTTTTTCAGTCTCTTTGTTCTTTGCTTTTCTGTCCTGGAAGTTTCTATTGATATATCCTCAAGCGTAGAGATTCTTTCTTCAGCCATGTCCATTACACTCATGGGCCTATCAAAGGCATTTCTCATCACTAGAACAGTGTTTCTCATCTCTAGCCTTTCTTTTTATTCTTTCTTAGGATTTCCATCTCTCTGCTTCACAGGTTCTTGCATGCTGTCTACTTTATTCATTAGAGCCCTTAGTATATTAGTTATAATTGTTTTAAATTCCCGGTCTGATAAGTCTAACACTCCTGCCATATCTGAGTCTGGGTCTGATGCTTGCTCTTTTTCTTCAAACTTTGTGTTTTGCCTTTTAGTATGACTTGTAATTTTCTTCTTGACATCAGACATGAGGTACTGGGTAAGAGGAACTGCAGTTAGTAGGCCCTACAGTAATATCGTAGTAAGATGGCAAAGGACAGAAGAGTGATCACAGTCCTATGATTAGGTCTCAGCCTTTTAGTGATCCTCTGTCTCTGAAATGTTAACTTCACAAGTGCTTCTTGGTTTTCCCCCTTTGGATGGAACAGGACAGTTAGAGCTCTGTATACACCTAAAAAACATAAACAAATATTGAACTTTAGCCAATGTATGCATGTTGAAATGTTTGAGGGGGACAGGGAAAGTGTACTGATGTCTATAACTTACTTTGAAAGTCATCAAAAGACAAGATGGATTGATAGATAGGTGGAAGGATAGATAGACATGTGATAAAGCAACTATAGTAAAACATAAATTGTAAGGTCTAGGTGGTGAGTATACAGGTTTTCATTGTACTTTTTTTTCCAACTTTTTTGTATGTTTGAAAATTTCATAATACAATGTTCAAAAAATAAGCCTAACAGCCTAGGGAGATAGGTCAGAGTCAGTAGGATGAAATTTAATGTCAGTGAAGGGCAAGTGGTCTCTTCAGGTGTAGATGCTCTTTTGCTTAGATGAAGAATGAGGAAGTCATTTTCTGCCAGCTGTTCATGTACATAAGGAATGGGTTGCACTCAAGGTAATTATGATGTGCTTCTGTAAGAGATGCTGAATTCATAAATGTTTCCATAATCTCTGGACAAGGAATTGGGCATGCTATCCTACTCCAGACCATTCACATCCTCTTAAGGTGAGATATCCCACTTTCTAAGAGACTTTGGCAAATGAGTCATATCAGTCAGGATGGGCTGAGTTTTGCTGCAATAACAAAAGACTCCCAAATCTCAGTGTCATCTCCCTCATATTCCACATCCAATGTGAGTTGGCTGTGGCTCCATCTATGGCGTTTTTACTCTGGAACACAAGCTGACAGAGTGGTTTTTATTTAGAGCATTCTATCTAGTAGCAGAGGGAAAAGAGACATGGCAAACACAGGCCGGCTTTTACAGAAGCCTTGTAAGGGGTCTATGATGCTCCTACCCACATAGCATCGGCCAAAACAAGTCTGATGGCCAGGCCTTAGTTCAGCTAGATGTGAACACCCCATGCTCCAGCAGGAGGAGGCACAGCTGATGATGACCAACGGTGATTGAATCTACCCCAAGGAGATTATCAGAATGATGTGAGGTCTAAGAAAGGTGAGGGAACTAGGGGAGAGGTGGCAGAGGAATGACATGCTGGTTTTATTCAAACATATTAGAAAATGCAAGACAAGATGTGTTCTGCACAGCTCCAGGGGCAAGCTGAAGACATTTCTACCAGCTAGGAGTCACAGGCTTCAGGTTATCATGGGAAGCACATTCTGACAGGAAGGACTACCCAGCATTAGGGAATACCGAGGGCACGTTGTTACCTGGGCTGCTCCATGCGCCCAGGACAGTGATGACACTTGAAGACAGTGTTGCCTTCCATTCTCCCCCTCCCCATAAAATACTGGGCCCAGCTGCCCACACAGCAGTGAGCTCCCTATCCCTGAAAAAATGTAAGCACAGCCTGGGTGCTCCTGGACAGAGGGCTGTGGATGGAGCCCCTGCATCGCAGGGTGAGGCCAGACCACAGCAAGCCAGAGGAGGGTGTGTCTAGCCCAGGGTACACGTAGGACAGATAACCTGGCAGGGATGCTGTGCTCCTTCTTGCTAACATGTGCCCCTCTCAAGCTTCCAGGAAAAAAAAATCACATAATGAGGTTGCTAAGATCTACAGAAAGAATGAATCTTCTATCCATGAAATTGTGAAGAAGGGAAAAGAAATTTGTGCCAGTTTTACTGTCACACCTCAAAGTGCAAAACTTATGGCTACAGTGTGTGAGAAGCGCTTAGGGTAGAAAAAGCATTAGATTTGTGAGTGGAAGATGTCAACAGAAACGTATTCTGATTGACAGCAACCGTGTAGCACCAGATTAACTTCATCTGGATTAAATTTGTTCACTGGCATCAATGTATAGGAAAAGATGTGGCAGATGTAGGGTTTGGTACTATCTGCAGTTTCAGGCATCCGCCAGGGGTCTTTGAAGATATCCCCCAAGGATACTCCATATAAATGAAATCATCCAATATGTACTCATTTTTAATCTACCCTTTTTCACTCCAAATAATTATCTTGATATATATCCATGTTGTATCAACAATTCATCCCTTTTTCTTGCTAAGTAGTATTCCCTAGTGTGGCTAAACACAGAGTGTTTACACATTCACCTGTTAATGGAAAATTGGGTGGTTTCCAGTTTGGGGATTTTACAAAAAGCCTGCTGTGAACACTTCTGAATACATCTTTGCATGAGCATATTTTTCTTATTTCTCATGTAATTACTATCAAACAAAAATATAAATCTGGATTCCATAAAAAGAGAATTTATTCAAAAGGATTGTTGTGGGGGTTGGGGGGGGGACTATTACAATAAGGAGACAGTCTGACGATGTGATCCTCAAGTGTCTCAGAGGTTAGGCAAAGGGCTGACCTTGTATAGGGAGGCGTAAACGTGGCTAGAAAGAACTGTTATGGGAAAGTGAGCTGAGCAAGAGTGTCATGATCGAGCAGGTCTTACCATGCAGATAGCCTGTTCTCAGGAGGGACCCTCAGGAGGGCGGTGGGTTGGCACAAGCTGCGGGTGGGCCAAAGCTCAGGGGCTTGGAGAAGGAGAGAATCTGAACCAAGGTTTGGTTACAGGCATTTTGTTCTTATTGATCTGTGGGAACAAGCAGTCCAGCTAATCATTTATGATGCCAAGAATGGGAATTTAGAGGGTCTGTGTATGGTCTGGTCATGAGGGGACATTCAGGATTCTTATCCAAGCTATATGGAAAGTCACTGGTTCTTTCCAGTAGGGTGTTTTCTGGAACAAAGGAGTGGAGGGATTCCTTAATCTTCACTATTTCTAGGAGCAAAGGGCTAAGGTGCAACTCAATACTGTCAATAGTTAGGATTGAAATGGCTAGGTCATATGGTAGGAGTATGTTTAACTCTCTTCATACACTGCCAAATGATTTTCAATTGTAGTGATACTATTTTATAATCCCATAAGCAGTGTACAAGAATCCCAGGTCCTCCACATTCTTTCGAATACTTGGTATAATCAGTCTTCTTTGTCCATTCTAGTAGGTGTGAGACGGTGTCACACTGTGCTTGTAATTTGCATATCCTTAATTATTAATGATGTTGAGCATCTTTTCATGTCTTTCAATTTTCTATCTGTATATCTTCTTTGGTGAAGTGTCTGTTTAAATATTTTGTCCATTTAAAAAATTGAATTGTTTGATTTTATCTATTGATTTTAAGTGCTCTTTCTATATTCTGGATACAAGTCTTTTATCAAATATAGCCTCTGAAGATCTTTTCTTTCAGGCTGTAACTTAGCTTTTCAGAAAGTCTTTGGGAGCTATGGCTTAATGAAACACTTACGCCAGGTTCTCCTCAGCACATCCCCCTGATCACAGCCACCCCCATAGGCTCCATTTCTTTTTTTTTTTTTTTTTTTTTTTGAGACAGAGTCTCGCTCTGTTCCCCAGTGGTGTGATCTGGGCTCACTGCAAGCTCTGCCTCCCGGGTTCAGGCCATTCTCCTGCCTCAGCCTCCCGAATAGCTGGGACTACAGGCGCCCGCCAACACGCCCGGCTAATTTTTTGTATATTTAGTGGAGACGGCGTTTCATAATGTTGGCCGGGATGGTCTCGATCTCCTGATCTGATTCGCCCACCTTGGCCTCCCAAAGTGCTGGGATTACAGGTGTGAGCCACCGCACCCGGCCATAGGTTCCATTTCTATATCAGTGGTGACTTTCTGCAAGCTAGGCTGAAGTCCCAAGCTCCAGACCCACGTCTCCAACTGCCCACCGTTCAATGCCCTTTGGATGTCCCATGCAAATTGGAGCTCACTATCATCTCCCCAGACCCGCTGCTCCTCCAGAAGCCCTGTCTCCATGAACGGCCCTGCACCTACCGGGCTAGAGACCCAGGAGCCGGCCTTGTACCTGCTTCCTTCTCACTTCCACCTCCTGTCATCCAGAGCTGTCAGTTCTTCTTCCTGAACATCTCTGGACACTCACCTTCTCCGCCAAGCACCGCACCACCATTGTTCTCACCCGCACCACCCACCCAGATACCTTTCCTTAGACGGGTGGCCAGAGAAAAACTTCTCAAATAGAAGTCGGGCCATGGCACGCCACTGAGGACCTTCCAGCGGTCTCCTGTGCACTTAAACGAGGTCCAGACTCCTTTGTGGGACAAGTAAAGCTCTTGATGATCTGGTCCTTGAGTAATGTGGGGGCCTCTTGCCCAGAGCCCCTCACACTCTTCAAAGCCGGCAGCTGAAGAGCTGAGCAGTAGCTGTCTGTGGAGTTCAGCCACCGCTCCCCGCACGCCTGCCCTCTGCAGGGGATGGAGCACCGTTTCCCCACTTCCCCACCTGCGCCCAGCAGTGCAGGTGAAGGCCTGGCTGCGGAGAGTGGCTGGGAAACGCTGAGCTTTGGGGTCAGGAATGCCAGCTCCACTACTCACCGCCTGTGTCACCCTGGGAAAACAGCTCTGGCCCCAGGTTCTCCATAAGTAAAACAGGGTCACTCATCCCTCCCCTCCTTAACGACATATGTCAGAATCAGAAGCCACAAATCATTCTCTCCCACCCAGCACGCTGCCTTGGTCTCCTAGACCACTTTCCCCAACAATGGGAAAGGCGCCAGGCCCAGAACAAGGCCGAGACCGGATGAGGCCAGCGAAGCGCCCAGGGACAAACTTTCAGGCAGCGCCCACTCTCGGTCTCGGGCAATTGCAGGGTCCCTCCGAGAGCGACCGTCTCCAGAAAACGCGGCCGCCGCCTGCCTATGCCCTGAGCCTGAAGAGCCCCCGGCGCCGCCCGCCCCGCACTGGGCCCGCCCTCCGGGATTGGTGCCCTGCTAGGGGTGGTTGCCTGTGACGTCACAGGACGCGCCCGCTTCTCGCTGGAGTGCGCACCGAGCGGCAGTGACTTCGCCGCTGCTGTAGTTCCCCGGCTGGATGCGGTGACTGGTGCCAGTGCTCAGGCGCCCGCTGCCCTTGACCTCCCGCCCCGCGAGCCCTAACTCAGCGCAGGAGGACCGGCTGCCGCCGCCGCCGCCGCCAGGTAGACCAGGCCTGGCTGGGTTAGGCCAGAAGGGTGTCCCTGGCGCAGGTCTCCCGCGGAGGGCAGAACTAGAACCAGGTTCCCGGCCGTTTCCGACCACACGGATGGGGCGGACCCATGTGAGCCCTCACTAATTGCAGGGGACGAAGCTGGGCATATGGGGAAACTGGGGGTTTCCAGGCGAGTGGACGGTGGGATGGGATCCGACGTGCACACCCACGTTTCAGGCTACTGTTTCCACCTCACGTCGCCGCCCCTTTGCTTATGGACTCTTGCAGAGTTGGATTGAGCTCGGACTGTGTGACATAGTGGTTGTTGCAGAAGCCCCAGGGCCACTTTCTGACTAGTACCTTGGGCACCTGACGTCATCCCTTTGAGTCTCAGTGTCCTCTTCTGTAAAGTGAGGGCGCTTTACCTGAGGGGATTGCTGTAAGGTTGGAATGAACCTGCATGTGTGTGTCATGTGGGAAGGGAACAGTCAATGGGGCCTGGAGTTCTCTTGGAGAGCTGGTAACCAGCCTCGTCCCTGAGGCAATAGCCAGAGAGCGCCTGTAGTTTCCCCACGCATGGCTGTTTGCAGGGCCTCTGGAGGATCTCCTGTGGGAGGTCCCTACTTCTCACTACAATCTTTAGGGCCTTTGGAGGATTTCCTATGGAAGGTCCCCACTTCTCACCACAACATTCTGGGTTAAAATGTCCTTGGTAGGAAGATGGGGCTGAAGCTAGATTTTCTTGCTTGCATTACAGGCTTCTGAACCAAGGACTTCAATGTCACCTGGACTTGGATTCACATCCCAGCTCCCTCCCCTCCTAGCTTTAAGACTGTGTAACCTTGGGCAAATCCCTTAACCGCTTTAAGCCTTAACTGTTTCATCTGTAAAATGGGACTAACAGTACCTACCTTCCACAAGCGTCAAGAATTAAATCAGGCCGGGCGCCGTGGCTCACTCCTGTAATACCAACAATTTGGGAGGCCGAGGTGGGCGGATCACAAGGTCAGGAGATCGAGACCATCCTGGCTAACTCAGTGAAACACCGTCTCTACTAAAAATACAAAAATTAGCCGGGCGTGGCGGCATGCGCCTGTAGTCCCAGCTGCTGGGGAGGCTGAGGCAGGAGAATGGCATGAACCCGGGAGGCAGAGCTTGCAGTGAGCCAAGATTGCGCCACTGCACTCCAGCCTGGGCGACAGAGCGAGACTCCATCTCAAAAAAAAAAAAAAAAAAAAAGAATTAAATCAGACATTGTAGGTAGAGCACTTAATAGTTGGCATTCAGCGGCAGCAGTTACTGTTATGTTAGCATGTGGAGTGTCTGAGTGTGTGCACTTTGGCTCGAACAGCCTTTTGACAGTGGCACAGTTGGTGCTTGTGTAAGATAGCAGGGCAGAGAAGTCAAAACTCTGTTTTCTAGTCAAACTGGCGGGCCACAACAGTGGTGACCTAAGTCTAATGAGTCTTTAACTGAACAAGGCAGATTGAATCTCCAAGTGAGGACCAAGAGTCTGGGGCTCAGCTGCCTCAACATTTTTGGGCATAGAAGGCTGTACAATACAAACTGCCTTTGTTGGAAGAGCAAGGAACCATTCAGGGAAGGCACCATGTGGTAAGGAATAGTGGCCAGACTTGGATTCAGAACAAAACAAGAGAATAGTGTTTGTCTTTAAGTGGAGCCTTGGACTCAAAACAGGACCTGAGCTCTGTGGATAATTTCTTTTTTTTTTTTTTTTTTTTTTTGGAGTCGCTCTGTTGCCTGGGCTGGAGGGATGTGGCATGTTCTTGGCTCACTACAACCTCTGCCTCCTGTGTTCAAGTGATTCTCTTGTCTCAGCTTCCCTAGTAGCTGGGATTACAGGTGCCCGCCACCAGTCCTGGCTAATTTTTTTGCATTTTTAGGGGATACAGGGTTTCACCATGTTGGCCAGGCTGGTCTTGAACTCCTGACCTCAAGTGATCCACCCACCTCGACCTCCCAAAGTGCTAGGGATTTCAGGTGTGAGCCACTGCGTCTGGCCCTTGTGGATACTTTCTAGGTGATTTGAGGAGGAAAGGCACAGCCATGTCTCCTGAAGTTAACAAGCATTAAGCTTTCCCAAGTAGTGAAATGTCAAGCCCCTGCTTCTGTCACTTATTTGTTCATTTAGCAGAAAGTCACTGAGAGCCTTCTGTGCACCAGGCACAGTGCTGGGCAGTGAAAGAGACAGACATGTGCCCTGGATCCAGGGAGGAGATGACCAAGTGATGGCTGTCAGGCCTAGACCTTGCTGTTTGTCTGCAGCCTCTTCCCTCAGGCAACTTGTTCTCTATCAGGAGAAATGAAATAATTATTATCTGGGGAGGCAGGTGGGGGTGTTGCTCCTAGAAGACAAGGACAGCCTGGTAGAGGTTCTAGCTTGATCATGTGAGCAGTGGAAACCATTTTAAACAGGACCAAAATAGCATTTAAAAAATTGCTTATGGCCACTGTGAAGCCAGTTTCACCAGCGTCACTTGCCCATGCTAGGCTGCCACCCAGCTAATTCCTGGTCCTGCTCATTTAGCCCAGCTCAGCTCACATCACTTCCTCCAGAAACTAGACAAGGGTAGAGCCCCTGACCATCTTCACAGCATTAGTCCTGATAGCTGAATCTTACGTCAGTTGTTAACATCTGTGACCTGTGCAGGGAGAATGGCAGGGCTGAGTTTGACCTACATTGTTTCCCCAATACCTACAGCAGAGCCAAGCACAGTGGGAACTTTCAGAAAGCACTGGTTGAAGGAACGCTGGAATCCCTGGGACTTACTGCGTAGCATGTAGTAGTTGCTCCTCTACAAAAGTTTCACCTTATGAAGTATAGCAGGTAAAATACAAGCCTGGACCGCTTCCCGTGTGGTATGCAGGGAACGGTTGATGGGGCAAAGGGCCTTGGGCTATAGCCCTAGGAATATCAGGGATGCTGATGATGGCTCTGAGATCCTCCATCTCCTGGATCCTGTGTTTTTCTCTGCAGGCTCTGATGCTGGTGTCTGGTAGAAGAAGATTACTCACAGCTCTGCTGCAGGCTCAGAAGTGGCCCTTTCAACCCTCCAGAGACATGAGACTAGTGCAGTTCCGGGCACCCCACCTGGTGGGGCCTCACTTGGGCCTGGAGACAGGGAATGGTGGAGGGGTTATCAACCTCAATGCCTTTGACCCCACACTCCCAAAGACGATGACGCAGTTCCTAGAGCAGGGAGAGGCCACCCTCTCAGTGGCAAGAAGGTAAGTAAGTGGGCAGCATCGCCCTGAAGCAGCTGCCCTGGTCCCCCTGCACCCTCCCCGCTCTGGGAAACAGCACCAGCAGGTAGCTCTTTTGCAAGGGAGCAGAGTAACCCCACCTTTCCTTTTCTCCCGTTCTCTTAAAAGATCCTTAGAAATCTTACATAATAACATCTTCAGTTTTCAGAGGAGAAAACAGAGAGCTAGGGGAGGTGATTAACAATTTCAAGGCCATACATGTGGTGCTGGAACCAGGACTCTATACTTCATCACACTGCCTCCTCTGGGAATGAAGTCCTGGACTGACTGACGGGTCTGGGCCCGGGGGTCCTAAAAGGCATCTTATGCAGCTGGGGGAGTGATATAGACTCCCAGCTCCTACAAGGAGAGAGGACTGCAAGGAGGTTTTCTATAAGACACTTGGTTCCTGGGTTTGGACTAGATTAGGTGAGAGTGTCCCTGAAGCCTGGACCCCTATAGAATCTGGTCTAAGGAGCTGATGAACAATAAATTAAAAATACTTTAAGATGTCATTTTCATCTATTAAAATGGAAAAAAATACAAATGTTTCACAGCTCACAGTATTAACAGTATGTTCCCATATTGCCATATTCTGCAAAGACTGGAAATCTCCATGCCCCTCATTAGGGACTTGGGTATATCTCTATAGAGCAGTAATATGCAGCCACAAGAAATAAAGAGGACACTCTCTATGTATTGTTACATATTGTTAAGCAGAGATCTCCAAAGTCAGTTGTTTTTTTAAAAGATGTAAATAGTATGCTATCATTACATACAAAAGGGTGGGAGAAGAATATCCATAGAGTAGCTGCGAAGAGCCAGGGGAACGGGGTAACCAGAAGGGGAAAGGGAGACCTTTCCATGTATTCCAGTTTGTATCTTTTACATGGACATGAGTTACCTAAGGGGGAGAGGAAATCAATACTGGATAAATAAAAGCCCTGCTCTGACAGCAAAGGACAATAGTCAGTGGTTTTCACACTGACTCTGATGGTTGATAGAGCTAGGAAATAGATTTCAAAAAGCAAAACCTGTAGCTGCTGCAGGATCTGCCCAGCCTGCCCGGGATTGCCCACCTGTTCCCAGCCAGACCCTCTCACCTGCTCTGGTCTCTACAGAGCCTTGGCTGCCCAGTTGCCAGTCCTACCATGGTCGGAGGTAACCTTCCTGGCTCCAGTCACATGGCCAGATAAGGTGGTGTGTGTGGGCATGAATTATGTGGACCACTGCAAAGAACAGAACGTGCCCGTGCCCAAGGAGCCCATCATCTTCAGCAAGTTTGCCAGCTCCATCGTGGGGCCCTATGATGAGGTGGTCCTCCCACCACAGAGCCAGGTCAGTGCCTCCCCACTGCCCTCCCTAGTCACTGGGCCCATCACAAGGGCATTCTGAGCTCAGTATTGAGCCTACTGGAGCCACCTCTCGCTCAGTAGTGCATTCAACAGAAACTCTACAGGATTATACACACAGTAGTAACACTGGCCTTGGAAAAAAAAAGTTAATGTACGTGTTTTCCTGGTTACAAAAGCAATACACCTTCACTGTAGATAAAACAGAGATAAACATTTAAAAATTACGTCACCCATAATCCCACTGCCCATGGCTCGGAATATTAATGTTTTTCTGTCTACCTTCCCAGTGTTTCTCCACTCCTGTATATGTTTATACTGTACATATACTTACCTTTTACTTAAGACTCCATCAGGAGCATTTTTTCATGCCATTAAATATTCTCCCTGACATATTTAGGTTACCTTGGAGTTTTGTGATGTACAGGGTAGTTTATATTCCTGAGTACCTTACTGCTGGATACTTGTTTCCAGTTTTTGGTTTCTATAAATAAATGTCGCAATGAACATCCTTATGTAGAAAAGACTTTGCATGTCCATTAATATATTATTATTTCCTTTTTTTTTTTTTTTTTTTGAGACAGAGTCTTTCTCTGTTGCCAGGCTGGAGTGCAGTGGTACAATCTTGGTTCACTGCAACCTCCGCCTCCTGGGTTCAAGTGATTCTCCTGCCTCAGCCTCCCGAGTAGCTGGGACTACAGGCGCATGCCACCACGCCCACCTAATTTTTGTATTTTTAGTAGAGATGGGGTTTTACCATGTTGGCCAGGATGGTCTCAGTCTCTTGGCCTTGTGATCTGCCTGCCTCAGCCTCCCAAAGTGCTGGGATTACAGGTGTGAGTCACCACACCCGGCCTTATTATTTCCTTTGAATGAACTCTTAGGATTTGAATATTATCAAACTACAGGCAGTATTTCAAAACCCTTGAGAAAATCTCCCAATTGTCCTTTAAGCAAATTGTAAGAGCAACTTACACATCCATCGTTAGTGTATATACCCTTACTAACACTGGTTACTTTTCCTCGCAAATTTTTATTTTAGAAATGTCTTGGGAATTATAGAAAAGCTGAAATAATACAGTGAATGCTCATATACTTTTCACCTGGTTTCACTGTAGACATTTGCTGTATTTGCTTTCTCTCCCTTGCCCTCTCCCTGCCCTTCACATGGCAAACACACATTTTTTTTTTGGCAGGGGTTGGGGTGACACATTGCAAATATTGTCATAAAACTGAAATAGACACTTTATAAGGACAATGGCTTGCATGACCATACCATTATCACAGCCAAGAAAATTAACTTGAATGATATTTAATATGAAATCCAGTTGCCCCAAAGATGACTTTTAATTTGGTTACTTTGTTGCTCTGTGATCAACCAAGGGCACACACTGTATTCAGTTATATCTCTTTAGTAGTTTTAACCTAGAACAGGGTTCCATAGACTTTTTCTTAAAGGGCTGTATTAGTCTGTTTTCTTGCTGCTAATAAAGACATATCCGAGACTGGGCAATTTACAAAAGAAAAAGGTTTAATTGGACTTACAGTTCCACGTGGCTAGAGAAGCCTCACAATCATGGCAGAAGGCAAGGAGGAGCAAGTCACATCTTAGGTGGATAGCAGCAGGCAGAAAAGAGCTTGTGCAGAGAAACTCCCGTTTTTAAAACTATCAGATCTCGTGAGACCCATTCACTATCATGAGAACAGCACGGGAAAGACCTGCCCCCATGATTCAGTCATCTCCCACCGGGTCCCTCCCATAGCACATTAGAATTATGGGTGCTACAAGTTGAGATTTGGGTGGGGACACAGAGCTAAACCATATCAAGAGCCAATTAGTAAATATTACGCTTTGAGTGTCATATGGTCTGTTTTGCAACAATTCAACTCTGCTGTTATAGTGTGAAAACCACCAGGGACGATACAGAAATGAATGATGGGTTTCCAATCAAAGTTGATTATAGCAGACAGTGAGCTGGCCATAGTTTGCCAACTCCTGACCTCAAACAATCCCCCCTGCCCTTTCCTTGAAGAATCCAGTTGTCTCATAGCATGTTTCACATCCTGGGTTTGTCTGGTTGTTTCTTCATGATTAGTGTCAGGGTAAGCATTTTTATCAAGAGATCTACAAAGATGTTATACATTTCCCATTGCATCTGACTGGGAGGCTCATGTCAGTGGTCCCAGAATTTGACCACTTGGTTTAGCTGACGTTCACTAGGTCCCTCCATTGTGAAGACGCATTTCCATTTTTGTAATTAACAAGCAATCTATGTGGTAGTTTGAGATCACATAACTATCTTATTGCCCCATAGATTCTCATCCAAGGATCCTGTAGTCATCCTTACTGGACCCATTATTGCATTGGGGGATGAAGAGCAATGACTTTTCTTTTCTTTTGTGATGGAGTCTCTGTCACCCAGGCTGGAATGTAGTGGCACCATCTTAGCTCACTGCAACCACTGCCTCCCAGGTTCAAGCAATTTTCCTGCTTCAGCCTCCCTAGTAGCTGGGATTACAGGGATGCACCACCACACCTGGCTAATTTTTTGTATTTCTAGTAGAGACAGGGTTTCACCATGTTGGCCAGGCTGGTCTTGAACTCCTCACCTCAGGTGATCCACCTGCCTCAGCCTCCCAAAGTGCTGGGATTATGGGCATGAGCCACTGCACCCGGCCAAGAACAATGATTTTTCTAAATCATGCAGTTTTTGTTAGCTGGCATTCTTCTATGAAAAAAGCCTGGCCAGACACATTGGCTCACACCTGAAATCTCAGCACTTTGGGAGGCCAAAGCGGGCAGATCACGAGTTCAGGAGATCAAGACCATCCTGGCTAACACAGTGAAACCCCATCTCTACTAAAAATACAAAAAATTAGCCAGGCGTGGTGGCAGGTGCCTGTAGTCCCAGCTACTCGGGAGGCTGAGGCGAGAGAATGGTGTGAACCCAGGAGGCGGAGCTTGCAGTGAGCTGAGATTGCACCACTGCACTCCAGCCTGGGCAACAGAGTGAGACTCCGTCTCAAAAAAAAAGAAAAAAAGCTGCCTCCCTCTTTATTCCTGTGTCTTCAATATCACTGTGAATTCCTTTTTGTTTTTATTCAATTGGTTGTAATCCATCATTTACATTCTTCAGGTGACCTCAATTTGGCCAATGAGGGACCTTCAAGTTTGTTCCATCCCCAAGCTTTTAGCATATATTTGCTTTCTGGCCAAGACGTTCCAGGCTCATCATGTACTGTCTGTCTTGGACCAAGGAACCCAGTGCTCCTTAGTGGGGAGTGGTATTAGAGACCAACATCTGGATGTCAGGTGTACTTATACCAACTCTGGTTATTATTAGAAAGAGCCACCAATTTTGAAGGCCAAATTATATCTATTTTATAGTGTATTTTATGGATTATGGGAGAGGCTGAGCATTTTTTCATGTTTTGTGGCCATGTCCGTTACCTTTTTGTGAATTGCTTACTCAAGTCCTTTGTGGCATGTCAATCTTTCTCTTACTAAAGTGAGTTAATAGATTAAAACACTTAGAACAGTGCCTGACACACAGTAAGGTTACATATTGCTAGGGGATATTACTTCGTATTTATCCTTTGTTAAAAGTATCCAGAGTGACTTTTAAACTCAGTGCCCTGGACACGTGTTGCTCTTCTGCAGTCACAGTGGTGTGGGGACCTGTGCCTGTATTCCATGATGCTGTCTGCCACTGCCCAAAATGTATGGGTCTACAAGTCACACCTCCCTTGTCATTCACTGGGCTCTGGTTCAGGGTGATGGCAAACGTGGGATGGCAGCCAAGCCATACTGACAGAGATCCATGGCGTACAGCCTCTGAGCATAGATAATGGGCCCCGAAGCCACTGCGGCTCACTATTCCTCTCCCACCCTACAGGAGGTAGATTGGGAAGTGGAGCTGGCCGTGGTCATTGGAAAGAAAGGCAAGCACATCAAGGTGAGGTGGAAAGGGTGGGCTCCCAGGCCAGAGTGCAGCAGAGGCCCCAGCTCCTGCCTCTCCTAGTTCTGACCTCACTCACCGACACACGGCACCAGCTGTCCCTGACACTAGGAAGCAGTCAGCCTCCTTGCTCCCTGACACTGCCTTTCCCTTCACCCACCTTTGGCTGGCTCTGGCTACTAACATGGGATAACAGCTTTGAGATCCCTTGCCACAGGTGTTGGTGTCACCCGTGATCTAACCTCCTGTATGGCCAAATCCCCTGCCCCCATAGGCCACAGATGCCATGGCCCACGTGGCCGGCTTCACTGTGGCTCATGACGTGAGTGCTCGTGACTGGCTAACAAGACGCAATGGGAAACAGTGGCTGCTGGGAAAAACCTTCGACACCTTCTGCCCTCTGGGCCCTGCCTTGGTGACCAAGGACAGTGTAGCAGGTAGGTCCCTGGTCCCTGCCCCCTGGTACCTACCATTGCACAGATGAACAGCCCTCCAGGGAGGAGCATGGGTTCAGGTACATGTGGCACCTGCCCTCCCTGGCTGCCCTTTGACTGCTGACTCCATACAGGGAAAGTCTTTTATCCTCAGCCACCAGTTCTCCCATGGGCTTCCTTCCCAAGCCCCCTAGAGGGAACACAACTGCAGAGGATGTGAAACTGCATGCGTGAAGTAAATTACAAAGAACACTGAGCTGATGGGTGGATCGGGCTTCCTGCGGCTGCCACCATCTGAAATAATCTAAGTTGAGCATCATGGAGCATAGCTATCGCAAGGCCCAGGCATTTTCCACACTACAGATGAAAGCCAGTGTGACTCACCCAGCCACTGTGGAAACAACAGCATTGACCACACACAGTGAGGGGACAGCGCCAGGTTGGAGGCAGTGTGCCAGAGGGCAGAGCGCAGCCTCTTAACACACAGCCACCCACAACTGTGGTGGAGGTGGGGGGTGTCCACATGGGCCAGCCATGCCAGGATACCAAAGACCCCAGTGCCTCACAGCACCCACACAGAGTCCTCGGCAAAGTTAAATTGTGTTTCAGCTGCTCTACTTAAGGGTGGTAGAACACTAAGACCAACACCAACAGTTAAAAGTGCTGGTTAGCCAGGATGTTCTTACAGTAATCCATCCCCTGCCAGCGGCTGATACACGAGGCTTCTCTGTCCCGGCTAGAACCACTGCCTCACTGCTTTATAGATTCTGAGTCTTTTTTTTTTTTTTTTTGGCATGGTCTTACTGTGTCACCCAGGCTAGAGTGCAGTGGCCCAATCCCAGCTCACTGAAGCCTCAACCTCCTGGGTTCAAGCGGTTCTCCCACCTCAGCCTCCTGAGTAGCTGGGACTACAGGCACGCACCACCACGCCTGACTAATGTTTTTATTATTTTGCATAGAGACAAGCACTCACTGTGTTACCCAGGCTGGTTTTGAACTCCTGAGCTTAATCAGTTCTCACCTGTTTTGCCCTCCCAAAGTGCTATGATTACAGGTGTGAGCCACCACGCTTGGCCCTGCCCGGGAGTCATTTTTGTATCTACAGGTATCTTCCTATGCTGTAGACAGATGCCCTTTCTTGAGGCAAAAACCCTAGCCATTTTTCTCTTCTCCTTCAGAGTCTGGAACATCCTCTCAACTCATTCAAGTGACTACTGCCTGGTGCTCTTGGTGGGGATGCAGGGAGGCCTGAGAAGGCCAGTGTCTATACAGAAAGTTCTAACATAGTGCACTGAGTCAATGTGGGCACTTTAAAGCCCTTTCACCTGCCAAGTCACGAAGCGCCCCTACAGTTGTGTTTGTAAAACACTGGGGGGTTTGAGGGGGAAAAGGGATAACTCCAAGGTTCCATCTTTGCATTTCAGATCCACACAACTTAAAGATCTGCTGCCGAGTGAATGGGGAAGTCGTCCAGAGCAGCAACACCAACCAGATGGTATTCAAGACAGAGGACCTGATAGCCTGGGTCTCCCAGTGAGTGACAAGGGCTGTCCTGCCAGCCCCGCTCCACCTGCCACACATGTGGAGGCTGACCTGAGCCCTCCACCTTTGGCTGTGGCCACTCAGCCAGCCCCTGGTCTCACTGGGTCCTTTTGCTTTGCTCCAGGTTTGTTACCTTTTACCCAGGGGATGTCATCCTAACTGGGACCCCCCCAGGTGTCGGTGTATTCAGGAAACCTCCTGTCTTTCTCAAGGTAGGTTAGCGAAAAGCAAAGAGAGCAAGGGCCCCAAAGGCCTGGCAGGCTTGGCTCAGACTTGAGAAGTACAGGCTTGTGTATGTGTCTGACGGAAGGGCTGACACCGTCATGGCCTGCTCTGTTGCAGAAGGGGGATGAAGTCCAGTGTGAGATTGAAGAACTAGGTGTCATCATCAACAAGGTGGTGTGATGGCTCCTGCACAGGCCCGACATAGGATGAGGGCATCTGCTCCCACTCAGCCTAGCCCAGGGAAAGGCCCAGTGGCAGGTGTGGGCAGGTGCCAGCCCTGCAAGCCGCCTCTTCTCGGTAGAAGGGAGAAGGACAGAGCTCTCTTCAATAAATGCGTCGGGTCAAAGCAGCAGCTTGGCTTGTGCTGTTTGTCTTCTTTTGGGCTTTGTTTCATGGAACAAGTTGGGGCATTTTGTGGGACTGGGAAGAAGAGAGCAAATACACACACATACGCCAAAAAGATGCTGCTGGGCTGGGGAAAAGACAACTCGTCTCGTCCCCTTGTTTATCACATCAAAGGAGGGAAAAAGCAAGAGATGGCAAGGGACAATCAAGCCTCAATGATTATATTTATAGAGCAGCTAAGGGTTTGCAGCCTCCTCTCCATCTTCTGGCTCTAGGACACAGCTGTGTTCTGGGGCTGAGAAGTCTCAGCACAGGCTCCTCCTCACAGTTCTAGCTACAAATGAACTGCCGGATGAACTGTTCTAGTTTTTCCTGATTGTCCTGGCTGGCAAAAGTAGGGGATAGGTGGAGCCTGGGGCCTGCAGGGCTCGGCGTCTGCTGCAGAACCTGGGCCATGGAAGATGCGCCATGAGTGCGCTCACCACAGGGACTGTGTCTGCATGGCTCAGGGGCCAGGCCTGTCCCCCAGAAACCTGCCTTGAGACCTCTGGCCCCTTAGACCTCAGTGTTTGCATGCAAATGCTGCCGCAAAGCAGCCCCACCTAGAAAGATGAGCCAGTGATTTGGGAGACCAAGAGGCAGGAAACCATCCCACCTTCTCCAACCCATCACCACATCTGTTGCTGGAAGACACCAAGTAAATCCCAGGGTCTTAATGAGGCACCATCAGGCCAGCCCTGTGGAGTGATGGGGACATAGCTGGGTTTCCCTGAGCCACTCTATTGGGGTGGGAGCAGGGGGACAGAAGATGGTGACACTGGCTCCTCTCACCCCTAGGTCTCTGAAGGTCCAGATAGCACTGATGGCAAGCTTTGGGTCCGCACACTCTGGAAAGAAGAGAGAAGTGAAGGCTCTAGGTAGGGAGGACAGGGAGCCACTGGGCACAGGCTTCTCTCCTCTTGTTTAAAGAAGCCCCGGGAGGGATAGAACTCAGACTGGACAGAAGACTGTCTGTACTCTGCAGCCCACCTTCCTAGACTTGGGTTGTCACTGTCTGGCAGGGGGCAGCAGCCACCAGCAAACACCACTGCCTGCAGGAGCCTGGGCTGACTGGTTGAGACTCACCGAAGATCCCTTCTTCCTGGGCGGTGGCCTGCAGGAACTGGAACAGCTGGTCTGTGTAGCCCGACTCTGCAGAAGAGAGAAGACCTAGACCTGGCACCCAGCACAGACACAGCCTGCCTCGAGGACTGCAAGGGAACAAGGGCCTCACCAGTATCGGGCAGCTGGCCCTGGCGGAGGAAGGCGGCAGCCTGTGCAAAGGCCTTGAGCAGCGGGCTGAGCAGGCGGCAGAGGAAAAGAAAGAAATCTGGGCAGTGTGACTGCTGGCTGAGCTGGAGGGGACAGGCCGGGGTGAGTGCAGCTCCCCACCACCTCCCTACCACCTCCCTCCAGGGGCAGCTTTTTGAAACACACCCTGGAGTACTGGCCCTCGGTCTCTTTGAAGTCATCACTGTCACTATCAGTAAAATCCCCACTCGGTTTCCACAGCAGCTTTCTGCTCAGTCGCCGTTGCCCTGTGTCACAGGCTGGCCGGACCCGGAGCCATTGTTCTCTGACAAGCTGGCCAGGGATCAACCCTACACCCCCAGACCAGGTACATGCAGGTGAAACCAGTAAAAGCAGACCTAGAGACCCAAGAGGATGGCCAGAGCCATGCCCCAGCACCTGCTGGGCCAACTTGCAGAGTGAGAGGAAGTGAATTCCCACCCTCAAGGGCAGTAGCCCTGTGGCCAAGAAATGTGGGGAGCAGGAGGTGTGCAGAGAACCTCAGAGGCACACATGTCCAGTGCTATCCAGAGAGACACACACAGAACCGGGGCATAGGTGGCCATATCCCAAGGCACAGGGAGCAGAGGTGCGAGCTAGGCTTCCCCGCTGCAAGGCCAGGGGCTGCCCACCCCCACAGCACACACAGGGCAGAGGAGGAGCCTGGGGCAGCTGGCACTCAGGGTGGGAGGCTGGAGGAGGCCAGGCTCCAGGCAAGGATCTTGTCTCCAACTGCCCTGCCTACCTCCTCAGCAACCAGGAGCCCGCATTGGATGAGCCTGTCCAGCACCTCCTGACAGTAGCAGTAGGAAGACTGGCAGGGCTGGGAGAAAAAGGCACCCATGTGGCCTCAGGAGAGCCAGGCACATGGGCAGGGGCCTAGCCAAAGACCGGGCAAGGCCAGACCTACCACCCAGGAGGTTTCAGAGGTAGAGCATGGGCAGGGATGGGCCATTCCTACCACCAAGAGGGGAAGGCCTAGGACCAAGTGGGCCGTAGGGGAGGCCTGACCTTTAGCAGCAGCAGGTCTTGCGGCAGCAGGTGCATCAGCAGCAGGATCTGGCGGTACAGCTCATTCTGGCTCAGCAGCAATATGCCCTGCAGCTCCCAGGGCCCCTGGGGCGGCACTCTGCCTGCCAGCAGCCCCCGCACTGCACAGGCTGGGGGCGGAGGGTCCATTATGAGGAAGGAGCCGTTCCCTTCACCACTGCACACACATCCCACCTCGGCCTCCAGAAGTGCTGGGATCACAGGCATGAGGCACCGCGCCCAGCCCCCAAAGCTTCTTAAGCTGATAAGCAACTTCAGCAAAGTCTCAAGTTACAAAATTAATGTGCAAAAATTGTTATAGCATTTCTATACACCAACAACAATCGAGCTGAGAGCCAGATCATGAGTGAGCTCCCACTCACAATTGCTACAAGAAGAATAAGGTACCTGGCAATTCAGGTAACAAGGGAAGTGAAGGACCTTTACAAAGAGAACAACAAACCACTGCTCAAAGAAATCAGAGAGGATACAAATGGAAAAACATTCCATGCTCATGTATAGGGAGAATCAATATTATGAAAATGGCCATACTGCCCAAAGTAATTTATTGATCCAATGCTATTCCCATTAAACTACCATGGAAGTTCTTCACAGAAATAGAAAAAAAAATATTTTAAAATTCATGTGGAACCCAAAGAGAGCCTGAAGAGCCAAGGCAATTCTCAGCAAAAAGAAAAATCTGGAGGCATCATGCTCTTCAACTTCAAACTATACTACAGGTCTACAGTAACCAAAGCAGCATGGCACTGGTGCAAGAAAAGACACATAGACCAATGGAACAGAATAGAGAACCCAGAAATAAGACTACACCCCCACAGCAATCCGATATTTGACAAACCTGACAAAAACAAGCAATGGAGAAAGGATTCTCTAATAAATGGTGCTGGGAAAGCTGGCTAGCCATATGTGCAAATTGAAACTGGACTCCAGCCTCACACCTAATAAAAAAATCAGCTGAAGATGAATTAAAGACTTAAATGTAAAACCCCAAACTATAAAAATCCTAGAAGAAAGCCTAGGCAATACCATTCGGAACATAGACATGGGCAAAGATTTCATGACAAAGATGCCAAAAGCAATCGCAACAAAAGCCAAAATTGACAAATGGGATCTAATTAAACTAAAGAGTTTCCACACAGCAAAAGAAACTAACAGCAGAGTAAACAGACAACCTAAAGAATGAGAGAAAAGTTTTGCAAACTATGCATCTAACAAAGGTCTAATATCTAGCATCTGTAAGAAACTTGGCTGGGCATGGTGGCTCACACCTGTAATCACAGCACTGTGGGAGGCCAAGGCAGGAGGATCACCTGAGGTCAGAAGTTCAAGACCAGCCTGGCCAACATGATGAAACCACATCTCTAGTCAAAATATAAACATTAGCTGGGCGTGGTGGTGCATGCCTGTACTCCCAGCTACTCGGGAGGCTGAGGCAGAAGAATTGCTTGAACCCAGGAGGTGGAGGTTGCCGTGAGCCGAGATTGCACCACAGCACTCCAGCCTGGGCAAAAGAGTGAGACTCCGTCTCAAAAAAAAAAAGAAAAGAAAAGAAAAAATAAAATAAAAAAGAAATTTAAACAAATTCAAAACAACCCCACTAAAAAGTGGGCAAAGGACATGAAAAGACACTTTTCAAAAGAAGACATACATGCAGCCAACAATCATATGAAAAAAAGCTCAACATCACTGATCAGTAGAGAAATGCAAATTAAAAACCACAGTGAGATACTATCTCACACCAGTCAGAATGGTGATTATTAAAAAGTCCAAAAATAACAGGTGCTGGCAAGGTTATGGAGAAAAAGGAGCACTTTTATACTGTTGATGGGAATATAAATTAGTTCAACCATTGTGGAAAACAGTGTGATGATTCCTCAAAGACCTAGAGAAATAAATAACATTCACCCAAGCAATCTTATTACTGGGTATATAACCAAAGGAATGTAAATCATTCTATTATAAAGACACATGCATGCATGCGTCCATTGCAGCACTATTCACAATAGCACAGATGTGGAATCAATCTAAATGCCCATCAATGATAGACTGGATAAAGAAAATGTGGTATATATACACCACGAAATACTATGCAGTTATAAAAAGTAAGAATAAGATCACGACCTTTGCAGGGACATGGATGGAGCTGGAGGCCATTATCCTTAGCAAACTAATGCAGGAACAGAAATCCAAATATTATACCACATGTTCTTACTTATAAGTGGGAGCTAAATGATGAGAACATATGGACGCAAAGAAAGGAACAATGCACACTGGGGCCTACCAGAGGATGGAGGGTGAGGAGGGAGAGCATCAGGAAAAATAACTAATGGATACTAGGTTTAATACCTGGGTGATGAAATAATATGTACAACAAACTCCTATGACACATGTTTACCTATGTAACAAACCTGCACATCCTGCACATGTACCCCTGAATTTAAAATAAAAGTTTAAAAAAAAGTATTTCAAGATAAATGTGTTCTTATTGAATAAACAATAATTTTGTGAAAAAAAGAGGCTGAATTGAAGGTGGCAGAAGAGCTCCCAAATAACAGTCACCTAAACAAGTTAGTATACTTCTTGCTCACACAAAATTTGATAGAGGCTTGGCCATCCGGGTTTGGTGTGGCAGCTGTGCCTCATGAGCCACTGGGACTCCACACTCCCCCAGCTTTACTTAGGGCATGTCTCATTTACTAATAGTCACATAGAGCTGCTGGAGCTCCAGGAAATATAAGTGCATCCAAGCTGCAGTAATGAAAGAGGAGTAGAAAGGACAAAAGATACCCTCCTGTAAGGAAAGACCCTGGAAGTCACAGGCAAATAATCGTGCCTTCATCTCACTTTCCCAAATTTAGTTCCATGGTCGCAATGACCTCCAAGGGAGGCTAAGAAACGTAGTGTTTACGTAAATGATAATGTTCTCAGCTGACTGTGTGGCGTTCTAAGGGAAAATGGGATTTAATAAATATTAAATATTTATTATTTAATATTCAATAAATATTAAAAAGAAACTAGGATCCTTTGACACACATAATACTCCTTCTACAACAGTAATAATACCTTTTTAAGGTACTCTTATATTACCTAGAAAAAACTTGGGAAATGCAGACTCTGAACACAATATGAAGAGGTAATTCAAAGTAGAGAAAACTTTAATGGGTTAGAAATATGTGAACAGCAACTCAGAAATATTAGTGACCTAATAAGTGACACAAAATAACACTTTATATTTGTTTATTAACTTTAGAAATTTGGATTACGCCAAACATTAGTGACAATGTGAGGATATGGGCATGTTCATGTTTTACTTCAAGGATGCAGACTCCTTTGGAGATTATTTTCTTAGTACTTAGGGAAAATTTTTATGTGTATACTTTACGTCCTGACCATCACATCCTGGGTATATTCCCCTGAGAAGCAGCCACAGAAGTCTATCAGAGGACATTTTCAAAGATCTTATTTGCAACAGTTTATTCTACTTCTAATTGTACTGAATTTAGATGCCCTTTACTTGGAGATTTCATGCATAAGACATGGAACAGCTATTATAAATAAATTCATGATGTAATACGCATATACGAACTATATATTCCACATGAAATATATATTTGTGTACATATGTGCACAATACATACTCACAAAACACTACTGGTAGGCTTAAAATGATGTGCAAATACACTAAGCATATTCTAAGAAGCAGATGGCTATCTAGACATAAATAACTTACGTATATTTAAAAGATACGCACATGGCCGGGTGCAGCGGCTCACACTTGTAATCTCAGCACTTCGGGAGGCCGAGGAGGGTGTACCACTTGAGTCCAGGAGTGTAATATGAGCCTCGGCAGCATGGTGAAACCCCGTCTCTACTAAAAATAGAAAAATTAGCCAGGTGTAGTAGGACCCTCCAGATCCAAATGAAACCAACCAGAACAGACTTACCCAGGACCATGTAGCTGTCACCATCTGAGGCCACTTACCTGGCCCCCAAAAGGCCCTAATGGCCCTCAGTGCCATTCCACCCTGACCTGGTTCTCTCTCTGCCCCCTACCATCTGATGCCATCCACACTTGTACTGCCCTGGCACATCCTGAGGGTTCAGACCTAGCCGTTTTTCCTCTCCACCTTGGATGTTCAAAAGAAGAGTACCTGTCCTAATTGAAAAGTTTGGCTAAAGTAGACAGCTTTCACATTAGAGGGTGATGGGCCTTGGGCCAGCTCTGATTAAAGACACTGTCCTGGTGTTTGCCGTCAGGATAGGGCCTGGAAACTGGCAGGAGAAGACTCTTGTGACCATTTTGGATCCCTTCACTGACAGTAGGTGATAAAAGGACCCTCTGGCCCCCACTCTTAATGTAACTGCATTTGTGTTATGTATGTGTTTCCATTTGTGCTCTTTTAAAATTATGTCTGTACGTATATTAATATATTATGTAGTTACACACATACACACACACACACACACACACACACACACACACATATATATATTCTGCACAACTCCAGTCTCAACTCAGTTATCCCTCTTCTGTATGTCCAAGTTCTCTTGTGGGCATCTGCAAGTGATGGCATACTCTTTCTCAATTGACTCGTGGCCAGTCTCAGAACGGTGGGTCCATATGTTACGGATACCCATTTATGAATGGCCTATACCTATAGACAGCTGGCCTGCTCTTTCCAGGCCCCTTACTAAGAGTATTGTGGAAAACCTTAGAGCTTTTGAAAAGTAATTGGACTTTTAGCTAGAAGAAATGAAGAAATTGCCCAGAATTATCATCAGTTAGAGGAAGCTCTCTGTGCCTAGATTTTCTGACATGAGATAATAGCCAATATGGCTGATCCCAACCCATAATTGTATGCTCTTGACAGCTTCTGTTTTTTTTTTTTTAAATCAGTTGTTGCTCTCTGGAATTCCAATGATGAGTTCAACTTAGTTAACATCTCCTTTCTAAATGTGAGGGTTAAGGAGTTGGTGGTAATTCATATAATAATTAGTTAGAATCAAATTACTTTCTTTTGGAATAAAATAAGTCAGGCCAGCCACTCTGAAAGAAGGTGAGTTTTGGGTTGGAGTCAGAAAGTCCATGCTTTTGGGGGATGACTCCTTTGGGAAAGGGGATAGAGTAAAACCAGTCAAGAGAGATAAGGTGAAGGGTTCAAGGCAGCTCTATATGGAGGACAAGGGTAGGGACAAGAGGTAGTAAGTAAGAGGAGAAAGATGAACTTTTGGTTTTTCAAAATATTCCTAGTCACTGTCCTAATGTTGATACCAATGGTACATTCATAGCATGGGATATTCTGCAGCCGTTAAAGAAGTAAGGTAGATTTATGGGTAAAAAGAAAGTGTACCAAGACAAGGATGCCTTCTCTCACCACTCCTATTCAACATAGTATTGGAAATTATGGCCAGGACAATCAGGCAAGAGAAAGAAATAAAGAGTATTCAAATAGGAAGAGAGGAAGGCAAACTATCCCTGTTTGCAGATGACATGTCCTATATTTAGAAAACCCCATCATCTCAGCCCAAAAGCTTCTTAAGCTGATAAGCAACTTCAGCAAAGTCTCAACTTACAAAATCAATGCACAAAAATCTCTAGCATTCCTTTATACCAACAACAGGCAAGCAGAGAGCCGAACCATAAATGAAGTCCCATTCACAATTGACACAAAAAGAATAAAATACCTAGGAATACAGATAACAAGGGAAGTGAAGGACCTCCGTAAGGAGAACTACAAACCACTGCTCAAGGAAATCAGAGAGGAAACAAACAAATGGAAAAACATTTTATGCTCATAGATAAGAAGAATCAATATCATGAAAATGACCATACTGCACAAAGTAATTTATAGATTCAATGCTATTCCCATTAAACTACCATTGACATTCTTCAAAGAATTAGAAAAGACTATTTTAAAATTCATACAGAACCAAAAAAACAAAACAAAACAAAACAAAATAGCCCGAATAGCGAAGACAATCCTAACAGAAGCAACAAAGCTGGAGGCATCATGCTACCCAACTCCAAACTATACTACAGAGCCACAGTGACCAAAACAGCATGGTATTAGTATAAAAACAAACACATAGACCAATGGAACAAAATAGAGAACTCAGAAATAAGACGACACACCTACAACCATCTGATCTTCAACAATCCTGACAAAAACAAGCAATGGGGAAAGGACTCCCTATTTAATAAATGGTGCTGGGAGAACTGGCTAGCTATATGTGGAAAATTGTAACCCCCTTCCTTACACCTTATACAAAAATCAACTCAAGATGAATTAAAGACTTAAATGTAAAACCCAAAACTGTAAAAACCCTAGAAGAAAATCTAGGCAGTTCCATTTAGGACATAGGCATGGGCAAAGATTTCATGACAAAAATACCAAAAACAATTGCAACAAAAGCAAAAACTGACAAATGGGATCTAATTAAACTTAAGAGCTTCTGCACAGCAATAGAAACTATCATCAGAGTGAACAGACAACCTAAAGAATGGGGAAAAAATTTTGCAATCTTTCCACCTGACGAAGGTCTAATATCCAGGGTCTACAAGGAACCTAAACCAATTTACAAGGAAAAAAATATTAAAAATGGGCAAACGACATGAATGGATACTTCTCAAAAGAAGACATTTATGCAGCCAACAAACATATGAAGAAAAGCTCAATGTCACTGATCATTTGAGAAATGCAAATTAAAAACCACAATGAGATACCATCTCATGCCAAGTCAGAATGGCAATTATTAAAACGTCCAGAAACAACAGATGCTGGAGAAGTTGCAATGAAAAAGGAATGCTTTTATACGTGTTGGTGGGAGTGCAAATTAGTTCAACCATTGTGGAAGACAATGTGGCCATTCCTCAAAGATCTAGGAGCAGAAATATCATTTAACCCAGCAATTCCATTACTGGGTATATACCTAAAGCAGTATAAATCATTCTATTATAAAGATATATGAACACGTATGTTCATTGCAGCACTATTCCTAATAGCAAGGACATGGAATCAACCCAAATGCCCATCAATAATAGACTGGATAAAGGAAATGTGTTACATATACCCCATGGAATACTATGCAGCCATAAAAAGGAACAAGATCATGACCTTTGCAGGGACATGGTTGGAGCTGGAAGCCATTAGCCTCAGCAAACTAATTCAGGAACAGAAAACCAAATACCTCATGTTCTCATGTATAAGTGGGAGCTGAACGATGAGAACACAAGGACATATGGGCGGGAAACAACACACACTGGTGCCTTTCACGGGGGTGGGGGAAGGGAGAGCATCAGGAAAAACAGCTAATAGATGCTGGGCTTAATACCTAGGTAATGGGTTGATCTATACAGCAAACCACCATGACACACGTTTACCTATGTAACAAACCTGCACATTCCGCACGTGTACCTCTGAACTTAAAATAGTTGAAAAAAAAGTACACAACAGACTGCATGCTTCCATTTCTGCCTATAATTTGAAAGGTGATATATGCATGCATACGTTTGAGTATATGCAGAGAGTATTTCTGGAAGAAATGTAATAAACAGTGACTTTGTCTCTTTGAAAAGAGCCTGGGGATATGGGTCTGAGGTGGGATTTTTTTTTCCAGGATGTACTTTGCTTATAAATTTTAAAAAAACTAGTTAAAGGTTTTCTAGGATTACTCTTACCTCTGAGAGAGGTGGTGTAGAGCAGGGGACTTAGGGAGTCTAAGGAGAAAAGAAACAGATAATCCCTTTGTCCTTCTTTCTTCCAAGAAAACTCAGGGCTTGTGTATCCCTGGACTCCTGTGGTTTTGGCACCTCAGGTGGACTATTGTCCAGTAAGCTCTTCTGGGCTGACCTGGAACTGAACTACCATTTGTAAACTTTCTACAGGGGAAACGCAACAGTGTTGCAGAGAACATACTAAACCAAACGGCCTCCACTCATTCTTTCTCAATTTGTTGTCTATTAGCTTCCTTAAGAAAAGAAAAAACAAAAGACTTCAGATTGAACCCAGGAGGCCTGAGCCATCCATATTCTAACTTGTTTCCTCAGAAATGACAAAAACACTATGTGCATTTCTGTGCTTGGCTACTGTCTGGATTTTTTGTTTGGTTTATTTCCTTGAGAAGGTACCCACTGTTTTGCACTTTCTTTTCTGACTAACTTCTATGGTTTTATTTTGAGGAAAGTTGCTGCTTTTTCCTTGCTTGCATGCCTGGTAGAGAGCTATAGGCATTTGGTACATATCTGTTGACTTGGTAGATTAAGGTGTGGACACCAAAGCAGAGAGGTTACTATAAGTTGTCACAGGTAAGACTTTGGTCTGAGAAGACACGGTAGAAGAGATTTGAATCTAGCACAGTGCTTCTCAATTGTGGCTTTGTTGACATAATTCCTTGCTGAGATATTGAGATAATTCTCTGTTGTGGGCCACTGTCCTGTGTATTACAGGCACTTTGGCAGTATCCCTGGCCCCTACCCACTAAATGCCAATAAGAACTGCTAGTTGTGACCATTTAAAAATATGTCTCTAGGTGGTGCCAAATGTCCCCTAGGAGCAAAACCATCCTGGTTGACAATCACCAATTTAGAGTGATTTTGGATTTGCTATTCGCTGTCCAGAAACTGGTTTCTATATTGACATAATTCTTCAAATCCTGGAAGCCTGGAGGTGTGGCCCAGCTAAAGCTTCTGAAAACTTACGCAGTGTCTTTGCGAAGAATTAGAAAAGGTACCGGATGAATTAGAAAAGGGCTAGATGAGGAAGGTTAGGCTGAGTTTCATTCTCTATTTCTCCTCTCCTTTTATTCCTGCTGTGTATATGAGGCTCTCTAAGTCAAGGGTCTTGATGTGTTGATAGAGAACAGATTCTTGGAGCCAGTACCCAGGTAGAAGGATGAAATGCAGACTTGATGGCTTTACCATTAAATCAGCTGTAGTACAGTCACTTCCAAATAGTGTATCAGCAAAACATTTCTCATTCATATGGATGAGGAGATTGTCCTTCCTAAGAATGCACTCATTTAACAAATGTTTATTGAGGACCTACTATGTACTGGGAGGAAAAATGCTTCCCTCTACCTCTTCATCCCTTTCTTTCTGCCTAAAGTATTCTATTTCTGTGTGTTTGGTATTATTTCATTTTACATTCTTCGGAATCTGTCTTACTAGCACAAATTCTTCTTTCCCCTCCCCCTTAATTTACTTGATTTCTGAAGGGTCAATTGCAATTAAAAGGAAGAGGAGTGATGAGAGGGATGGCTTGAGTTTTCAGAATGTTCCTTAGCTGTATGTCAGGGCTCCACGAGTGCACACCATGCTGGGCTGCATTCTGGAGGCCCTCCTTGGCTCTGACTGTATTTATAAGTTATCCTACACTGTGCTAGCACATCAGCTGCCAAGGCTGTTTGTAGAATCTGCCTCCCCAGAGGTCTTCAGAAAGAGAAAAGGATGCCAATCTCCATGACGGTTTCAGTGCAGTCCTGCTGATTAGAAGGAACAGGCTAGATTTTTCTGTAAAGGTTTCCTTCAGTCTTGAGTGCTCTTAGATGGATGAGTTTGCTTTTTGGTGCAGGAGGGAGAGATGAAAACTGACACTCTATGAACTTCCTGGCATATCACTGCACACATCCTGTGTATTTATATTTATGTATTTACTTATTTTGAGATGGAGTCTTTCTCTGTCACCCAGGCTGGAGTGCAGTGGTGCGAACTCAGCTCACTGCAACCTCTGCCTCCCAGGTTCAAGCGATTCTCCTGCCTCAGCCTCCTGAGGAGCTGGAATTATAGGAGCCTGCCACCACATCCAGCTAATTTTTGTATTTTTAGTAGAAACAGGGTTTCGCCATATTGGCCAGGCTGGTCGTGAACTCCTGACCTCAAGTGATCTGCCTGCCTCAGCCTCCCAAACTGCTGGGATTACAGGTGTGAGCCACTGCTCCTGGCCCATCCCGGATAGAGAGTAAAACATACTGTTTTCATGCTTTTAATGTTTTCAAAGTACTTAGCTGTGCTGTGTGAGGGAGGTAGGGCCTTTCTTTAGGTCCCTATGGCACAGAGGAGTCAGCGAGGCACAGAAGCATTTAATTATCAGTTAAAGTGACAGCCTGGCTTGACACAGAGCAGAGATGGTGTTCCTGGATGTCTGCCCTCCAAGTGCATGCTCTTTTCTCTTGACCCTGTTACTTCTTTGTGTTCGTGGTTTTTGCTCTGTCTCATAGAGTTCAGACATTTGATTTGGAGCCATAATATTTTAGAGCTATAACAATTTGGGGAGCATATTTAGTATAAGTCTGTCCCATGCAACTTTTATACCAGGCATCCTATATTTTATCTGGCAATCCTGGCCCCAGGGCAACCCTGTGTGAGAAACTCGTAGGTCCATTTTACATGTGAGGGAACTGAGGCTCAAAGAGGTTAAACAACTTTCCCACGGTAACACCTGAGATGAAATGGCAGGCAGCTGACTGCAAAGCCCCCCAACATGGCCTTTGCTTGTCTGGGAGATGGAGCTCCAGGTGGAACTGGTAAAGGGAGTGAATCCATTGGCTGGGAGATGTCATGAGTTTGAGACTGTATTGGGAGCACCTGGCACATGGTGGCCATCAACCAATTTTTAGTCTCTCTCTCCCTTCCTTCCCCTGCATCAAATTGGAAATTCTCTTCAGACCCTCACACAGCGAGGCCTCTACAGACACGTTGAACCTGCCACCCTCGTAGGAAAGCAGAAGGAAGAAGGATGATGTTGGAGAAGATCCCTGCCATTTGATTTATTATGACAGCCTGAGGCCTCAGAGAGCTCAGAGCAAAGAGACCCTAGAATGTAGCCCCAGATCCCTGGAAGAGACTTTACAGGTGTCACGTGGGAGAGTGGAGGGTGACGGGGATGGTCTCAAAGAACAGGAGCAGAGATTATCAGAGACACCACAAACTTAAAGTCAGGATGGGTAGGACTTGGGGAGAAAAAAAAATCTTACCTTTACAATAGCTTCAAGGACCACAAATTTAAGGGCTCTCCAGAGGCTTTAGGACAGAGAGAGTCAAGGAAGTGCCGGTCCAGGATACGACCCTTTTAAAAGTGTGCCCGTGGTGTCACTGCTGTGGGCAGCGGTGGTGATGTCAATGTTTGCTCTTCTCGGGCTCCCTCCATGACACTGAAAAGATGGAAGTGCTTTTACCTGTCCAGAAGGAGGGGCAGCTGAAAGAAGGAGGGAAGAGGGTGGTCCAGTGCAGGTGCAGCCTGTTTGGAACCTTCTGTGCCTGCACTGGACCACCCTCTTCCCTCTCTCCTTCCTTCGGCTGCCCCTCCTTCTGGACGGGTAAAAGCTTCTCCTGTCTCCTCCTGGACTTTCTCATAGCTATAGGCTTCCATGTTCCCCACCTCTATGATTCAGAGGAGTTCAGCTCAGCCACGTCTGTGCCAGAGCTTTGATGCCCCACCTATCAGCCACACAAAGGGCCCTGCCATGAATAAGGCCTCCCTCACTGAGGATCCTTAATTTTTTAAAATAATGAAGCCTCTGCCATAAAGTCAGTGTCCTGGCTGCCAGCCACCAGGTAGAACCTACCAGACTTCTCCAAAATAGATACTGGGGCCTCCTTCCTCAACCATGGTCAAGGCCTAAGCTTCCTTCTCAAAGGCAGGCAGTCCTAGGCTTTAGGGCAAGAAGTGCTTCCTACATGCAAGGTGCTCTGGGGAAGGGCTGAGTGTGGCAGGCCGTGTGTGCAGGTCTTTAGGATTTCAGCTGAGCCACCTTTTCTTGCAGTTCAAGAAGAAAACAGCCAACCATTCCCTCCTTGTAATAAATGCCTCCGCATATTTGAAGACAGAGTTAGGTCATTCTTGAGCTTTCTCATCTCCAAACAAAACAACTGTGGCCCCTGTAACCTTACCTTGGCAAATTATAAGGCCCATATGCAGAGAAAAAGCAAAACAAAACCATCTGATGGGGAAGGCCTCCTATCTCTGACCAAGTGTCTGTTTTGAAATGCGGTCTGCACTTGAGTCTTTAATTACATGTAAATTCAGTAGCTTCAAGCGTCTGAGCCAGTGGGGGACCAGGTGCTGCTCATCAGGCCCCTTGGATGTGTTCAGGCTGCAATGCTGGGCGACAGCGCTTGGCAGAGGCTAGGATTTCTTCTCTTCAGATTCATTTTGGGGCATAAAAAGGGGCATCCGTGAGTGACCCAGGAGCAGTCAGCTGACCTTCCTGCCAGGTCCCCTGAGGGTAGGATGGGCCCCAAGAGCCTCCAGAGAGCTGGCAGCCTGCCAAGAAGGCTGCCCTTGGCCTCCACAGAAGCCAGCAGGAGTGGCGTCCAGATGTCCCTGGTGGAGGCTGGCAGCCTCATCCTGCAGCCAGTGTCTTCCAGGGGAGGCTTCCTGATGCTGCTAACTCAGAGACAGCTGCCCTGCTGAGCGCCTGCCCTCACTGGGGGTGCTGTGATCACATCAAGTTTCTTCCCATGGTTCTTTCCAAGCTCCTTCCCATATTTGTAGTGTGTTATCTTGGTGATACAGACAAGAGGCAAGGAAATACTGGGTAGAGGAGGGCAGTTCCCCGGCAAACGCCCCCACCCTCAAGTCTGGAAACCCGCAGCCCTAAATGGGAACAGGCATTTGTACTTTCATGCCCAAATGTGGGATCCTCCCCCATGACCCAAACACCTCCCACCAGGGCCCACCTCCAACACTGGGGATCCCATTTCAATATGAGATTTGGAGGGAATAAATATCTAAACTGTATCAGCCAAGGTTAGTGCATTTCTCTGTCCTCCAGTTTTGCCTGCCATGAGCAGCTTTCCTGTGAGTCAGCTGTCCTTTTGGTCTCCAGGGTCACTTTCTTTTTTTCATGCCCAAATGGGGTGGACCCAAGAACACTCTGGTCCACCACACCGCTATCCTGTGCCCATATAAGCCTCAAGCTCCACCAGCAGAGTTACAGGAGAGCAGAAGAGTGGCAGAGCAGCAGAGCAGCAGAGTGGAGTGGCAGAGAAGGAGAGAAGAGAAGGAGCATCTGAATGTTGAAAGGAGTTCAGCTGGGGACAGTCAGAGAGGAGATTGGCTGCAGGACAGCTGAACTCCAGGGGAAGATAATCTTCCCACTCCATCCCCTTTCCAGCTCCCCATTCATCCCACTGAGATATCCCATTTATCCGTCACTCAATAAAATCCCTGCCTTCACCAACCTACAAGTCTGAGTGACCTAATTCTTCCTAGATGCCAGACAAGGACCCAGGTACCAAGAAGGCAGAGTGTAAAAGACTGTCATCTTGACTCTCCACTGAGCTGGTTTAAGACTTGCCATCCACGGACAGCAGCTGCTAAAACAGCATGAATTGTAACACGCTCCTAGACACTACCATGGGGCTGGAGCCCAAAAGCGCTCACCCCAGCTCCTGCACCTACCCATCTGCATGCTCCCCTTCCCATAAGGGGTTTGAGCAGCCAGCAAACAAGCCACACCCCATCACAAGTCCTGCAAGGGGTTCAGGGTACTCTCCCGTTTCACTGGGAGACCCAATGCATTAGTCTGTTTGTGTTGCTAAGAACACCTGAGTCTGGGTATTCATAAAGAAAAGAGGTTTATTTGGCTCATGGTACTGAAGGCTGTATAAGAAACATGGCACCAGCATTTGCTTCTGGTAAGGACTCAGGAAGCTTTTACTCATGGCCAAAGGGGAGCAGGCATGTCACATGTGAGAGAGGGAGCGGGAGAGAGAAGGATGGAGGTACCAGATTAAAAATCCAATTTTGCAGGAACAAGTAGAACAAGACTTAGTACCATGGGGAGGGCACCCAGCCCTTCATGAGGGATCCTCCCCCATGACCCAAACACCTCCCACCAGGGCCCACCTCCAACACTGGGGATCCCATTTCAATATGAGATTTGGAGGGAACAAATATCTAAACTGTATCAACCAAGGTTAGTGCATTTCTCTGTCCTCCAGTTTTGCCTGCCATGAGCAGCTTTCCTGTGAGCCAGCTGTCCTTTTGGTCTCCAGGGTCACTTTCTTTTTTTCAAAGCCCAGTGTTCAGATATTCGGCTGAGCTTCAGGACTGGGGAGTCACAGGACAAGCTCATGTACATGCTTAAGCAAATGCAGTAAATTTTTTAAATAAAGAAAAAGTTAGACAGTGCCAGTCATTCTGTGTGCCACCCTAGATGTATCACAGGGTGGATGCAGAGTGGAGGGTAGAGGAGTGTGCATCCCTTGCTCTATCTGTGCCTGTCCTTCTTATAAGCTGCTCAGACCAGGAGCACCTGGATTTGCCCCAGTGGGACTCACCTTTGAGAGACATAGTTTTGGCCAAAATAGCTGTTCAGTGCAAGTCTTCCACTGGTGCCCAACCAAAGGGAAAGCAACCTTTTCCAACAATGAAGAAGAAATTGGTTGTGTCTGCTTTTCAATAGCAAGGGAGTGAATCTCAAACACGGTGCCTCCATTAAGGTGTTCAATAATTTCAACTACATGACAAATGTGCTTTGGGAATGTGAAAGGAAACTAAATCTTGGGACCTCAAAGTCACTAAGCTAAAGGGACAAGTCAAGCTTGGAACTGCTTAGGGCAAACCTACTTCCCATTCTGTTCAAAGTCATCTCTCTGAGGCTTACCTGAGACAAATGCATATCTAATTGCTTCCTCTGCCCTATTGTTGATGTAAAAATGCAGATTCACTGAGCCAGACTAAATTGTGTATTCAGTGGAAGGTTGATCGAGTATGCAAAATAATGAAACCTTTTGTCTCTTATCTGCTTCTAACCTGGAAGCCCCAACTTTGAGTTGTCCCACCCTACCAGACAAAACCAATGTACATGTGACACATATTGATTGATGGCTCGTGTCTCCCTCAAATGTGTAAAAGCAAGCTGTACCCTGACCACCTTGGGTGCATGTCGTCAGGACCTCCTGAGGCTGTGTCACAGGAGCATCCTTAACTTTGGCAAAGTAAACTTCCTAAATTGACTGAGCCCTGTCTCAGGTATTTAGAGTTCACAGGAATGATTTCAGACACCCCAGGGAGAGGTGCCTCTACTGCGTGGCTCCTGGCCTGGTCTCAGACTAAACCGTAAGCTCCCTTATTTTTGTATGCCCAGTGCCCAAAACTGTGCCTGGCACTCGAGGGTCCATGATATGTATTTTTGGCTTTGTTGAATAGTTTAATTAACTCATTAGTGATGCAAAGTTCTAACTGCATATTTACAGATATTTATGTGTGCACCACATTATGGGTGGTGAGAAGTAGGAATTCAAAGAGACAAAATCATACTTTCTCTCCTCGAAATTCTTATAAAGCTACCAAGAAGACAAGACATAGACACATTAAATATAAATAAAATACAAAAGGATGTACCCTGACATGCAAATATGTGTTCACAGAAACAAAGTTCTTCTTACCAAATTCCTGTTGTCTAAAGCAGTTTTTCCTAAAGCGCGTTCTTCAGAATACCAGTTTCTCAGGGTGCCAATGTGAGGAAAAGCTTTGGTGGTCAGATGAGTTCAGGGCTGGGTTAGGCTGATTTCTTTACCAGAGGGCTTCTTGAAGACTTAAAGAAATCTGTATTGAGATATAATTTGTATGGCATAAAGTTCACCCACTTTAAGTAAACAACTCGTTGGCTTTTACTATAGAGTTGTGTAGCCATCATCACAATGTCACTGCAGAATGTTTCCATCACCACCCAAAACACCTCATGCTGTTTGCAGCCATTTCCCATCCTCTTCCTTCCTAGCCCCTGACAACCACTAATTTACCTTCTGCCTCTATAGATTTGCCTATTCTGGACATTTCATATGGATGGGATAATTTACTGTGGGACCTTTGGCGACTGGCTTCTTTCATTTAACTTAATGTTTTCAAGGTTCATCCACATTGCTGCATGTATGCACTGATGGGCATTTGGGTTGTTTCCACTTTTTGGCTATCATAAATAACATTGTTATAAGAATTCATGTGCAAGTTTTATTTGACTATATGTTTTCAGTTCTCTTGGGTCTATAGGGAAGAGTGGAATTCCTGGGTCATACTGTGAATCTATTAAACCTCTTTTCTTTATAAATTACTCTGTGTCAGGTATTTCTTCATAGCAGCATGGAAATGAACTAATACAGTAAATTGGTATCAAGGTAGTGGGGGATTGCTATAAGATACCTGAGAATGTGGAAGCGACTTTTGAACTGGGTAATGGGCAGAGGTTGGAACAGTTTGGAGGACTCAGAAGACAGAAAGATGTGGCAAAGTTCAGAACTTCCCAGACACTTGTTGAGGGGCTGTGATCAAAATGGTGATAGTGATATGGACCATGAAGTCCAGGATGAGGTGGTCTTAGATGGAGATGAGAAACTTATTGGGAACTTGAATAAACATGATTCTTGCTATGCTTTAGCAAAGAGACTGGCAGCATTTTGCCCCTGCCCTAAATATCTGTGGAACTTTGAACTTGAGAGACCTAATTTAAGGTATCTGGCCAAAGAAATTTCAAAGCAGCAAAACCTTCAAGTGATGACTTGGGTGCCCTTTAAAGCCTTCAGTTTTATGCACTTACAAAGTTATGGTTTGGAATTGGAACTTACGTTTAAAAGGGAAGCAGAGCGTAAAAGTTCAGAAAAATTACCCGGAAGGAATTAAACCCCATGGCTGCTTCATGAAGCAGGAAAGGTGGATAAAAAAGACAGAGAAAAGATGCAAAATACACAATCTATAATTTAAAAAGGGAAAATTATTACAGAGCCCAGGATAGCAAACACATAAAAGTAGAATACAATGAAATAAATTATGGCAACTATTTTGACTAAACTAAAAGGAACTCTATAATGAAAACTTTTCTATAAGGAAAATTTCCATCTTATATTTCATTTACTGGAACCAACCTTGTGAAAATTACACAAACTTCAAGAGAATTAAAAAGAAGGAAATGCTTCCAGAATTATTATATGTGGTCACAATAAACTTCATTTCCAAAACGAATAAAAGCATTAGAAACAGAAAATTAATTCCTGCATCTGACATGAACAGAGATGTAAAATCATAAAAAGCACATATATGTGTAATGTGTAGTTCATATATATATATACATATTTGAAATATCTATCTATCTATAGCTATATAAGTATTTATAGATATCTAAATATATCTATATCTGTATACATGTAAATGTACATATATGTGTGTTAATGCACATATATGTATATATGAATGCATATCTGTATATAGCTACATATGTATGTAGCCCTATATTGAATTATGTATGCCTATAAAATTGAATGTCAGTATATATCTATCTATTTAATAAACAGATATAGCAAGCCACATTACAGCTCTTATGCTTAAAACTCAGGCAAATTTTAATAATTGCAATTTCTGAGTGATGGTCATAAAACGAAAGGTATGACAGGCTTAGTTAACTAATTTTAGAAAAAAATTTATATTGTTTTATTTAAATGTTTTATTTTCCTTTTTTCTTTTAATTTTGAGACAAGGATTTGCTGTGTTTCCCAAGCTGAAGAGTAGTGGCAATTCACAGGTGAAAACTTTTCTTCACTTTTGGAATAAGTTTTTATTTTGCTTGGAATTTTAGCTTCAATAAATAATAAGTGTACATGAAAAAGCCTGCTACTTTGATCTAATCTATGAGAATTATTTAAATTCTCATCCAATAGAAGACAAAATCAAAGTAAAAAGAAAATTGGGCTCTTGCCAGAGAGACACAGCTCTTTACTCTTAGATCTGAGGCAATCTCCCAGACATTCTTGCTCACACAGTTGCAGTCCACTGCAAGAATAGAAGATGTGAGGACAGCATTACTCAGTTGCACCTTGAGCTCCCTGACTACATATAGTTAACTATCTTTATTGAGGATAATAATAGTTAAAATAAATCACATTGATTTTTAAATGTACAGTTTTTATGAATTTTTGCAAATAAATAATCCTTCTAACCACCTCCAAAGTCAAGATATAAAGTATTTTCACAACCCCAAAAAGCTCTTCCTGAGCAAGTTACATGATCAACTTGCTCTCTAACCCATAGATTAGGCAACTTTTGGCCCATTTTGAAAGTTCCACTCATAGCTCTTCCACAATGACTTTGTCTCTAATCCTCTGTTCTGTTTTTTCTAAGGTCTGATGATTTGTTCAAACCCATAGACAATGTCATTGAATGGCTGATCTCTCTTTGCAAAATGAACAAGGATATAACACTTGCACTTTGCTCACTGTTATGATTTTTACTCTCCAGGCCATCCTTGACTGTGAGAATGATGTGACATCAGTCCAGCATCCATGGATAGAACTCTGTCCAAAATAGCATCATTGTAGACATACAAAGAATGAGGACTTACCTAGGAGACAAGGATGTAACTTTTAACATTAGGGAAAATCATCTCCATTCATACTCTTTGGCACCTCAAGTAAGTTAGAAAAATATTTTAAGGTGACACATGAATTTGGTGAGTGTTTAGAAATACATCAAATTTCAAGGACTTGCAAAGGACATTCCTATAGCCAGAGCAGGTACTATATCTGGTTCTAGAAACCAACTATTTTGATGAGGAATAAATAGAATTATCTTAAGAGATTTAATTTATTAAAACATTTTGTAAATATGCCTATGTTTCTTATATATATGTAAATGGCCTTATTTAGACATGAATATATGCATATGGAACTACACGCACCCAACTATTTATCAAATAAATATATATATGTACCTACATTAATGTTTATATATATATATGTGGAGTTTCCATAAATAAGGTAAATTTTACACTTTTTATTTATATATAATTTTTTAAATTTCTTTTTAAATTTCTCATTGGTAGCTTTATAAATACATTACCAAATATTTATACTTCTGCCACTAATCATAATAAGATACATCTTATATGGGTGAATGTGTAAGTATTACATTGGTCACATTTTTTGCACAATGATGATTGATAACCAACTACTTAAAAGTCAGTGTATTACATCAAGTTTTATCGTGTTTCTGGATGTTCATTTTAGTATTAACATGACTCTTCAAGACAGGGCTCAGCTGGGTGGTTTTGCTGCAGGGAGCAGAGCTTGTCTCTAACCTATGGATTGTGTTCATCTGAGGTCAAGGCTAAAGGGCAGTATCTACCCAGGCACCATATTCTGATGAAGGCAGCAGGAGTGGGCAACCTCCCCAAACCAAGTTGAAATGGTGAATGAAGTCTAATAATTTTGAACACAGATACACACAATTTTAAGTTATTCTTTCACCTTGGTAATTATTATGGTTCCTACAAACTTTTCCTCCATTTAAACATCAAAGCATTTTATTATTCCATGGACAGATCATTATGTTTCTCCAACTTTACAATCTTCCAATTGTTTTCAAATGTCATGTTGCATTGATTAGAAAATAAAGCTGGGTGTGGTTGCAACATGTGGCTTTCCATTGAAATTTTTAAAAATAGCCTCATTGCCATAATAGTATACAGAAGTTTGCTCTTGTCACCCAGGCTGGAGGGCAGTGACATGATCTTGGATCACTGTAACCTCCACCTCCTGGGTCCAAGTGATTCTCCTGCCTCAGCCTCCCTAGTAGCTGGGGCTAATGGTGCCCACCACCACGGTATCTCTTTAGCTGAAACAAATATCACATAGAACATAGCTTCTTAAACCTTTTATAGGTCACCTGTTATCAACTACCATGGCTAAACAAAGGTTCTCATTCAGTGAACTGAAGGTCGTTCTGCTGTTTAGCATGTGTATCATGCTCTCAGTGTGCTAATGATCCTGCTGGATTCTGGATACATGTTGAGTAGCAAAGAATTTTCATAATTTAAAAAAGGTTACACCAATGTTCAGGTTTTTCTGTTGTTTTGGTTTCTTTGTCAAGAAATATTTTTCATTTGTTTGTAAAATGATTGTTATGTATGTCATACAATTTCCTGATTTTTAAGCTGTGTCTATGACTTAATAAAGTTATGTTGCTATGTGACAAGTGCAAGTATATTCAAATGTATTCTGAGGCCATGCATAACTGGCAAAAGTTTTCACTATTTTGTGAAAATACTGACCATGTTGGGCTTTCAGCTGTCAGTTCCTCATTATCACCATCACTTCTGAAAGCGCATTCGTCAGAACCACCTTTCCCTCTATACTTTCCTGTAGAGTTGTTCACTGAGGGGTCCTTCCACAAGATTTGGAAGTCAGAAGAGAATGATTCAATGCTCATTGACACCTGCAGACAGACAAGTGGACTTAGTTGAGAACTAGAGAATCACCTAGAGACATACTGCAGGAGGCTGAGAGCATCAGCACCTGCACTCTGGGCTTCTCAGACAGAACCAAGGACCATGTGGTTAGGCAGCTCACACCTGCAGGGTAGGGTGCACCCTGGTTTCTGCAGGAGCACCAGAGAATCATGTCTCTAGTATCTGCTTCCGTGACTAACATCAACCAGGCCTTGAAAAGCTGTAGTTTAGACACTGATTTCATAAATTAAAACAATTCCTGCTTGGAAGGGCTAGAGTGGCTTCTCTTTTGCTACAAGAATTCCAATCATCCCATAACAGACTCCTCAGGTGGTTAAATCTCTTTATTAAATCAGGACTCGCATTTCATGTCTTTGCTTCTGGGGATGAGGAGGAAAGAGAGTGGGTGCAAAGGAGCCACCTCATCACAATTTACCAAAATTTCCAGATGACCTTCAAAACTTGGCTGCATCTGGAAAACAACTCAGCAGATTGAGGCACCAGGAGGAGCATCTAGGGCAACCCGGCCTCACTCATCTGCTATCCTAGCGGTTGATGTTATGACTTGTCGCACTGGGAGAGGGAAAATGCTCTCTTGTTGACATTAATAAGTTGCAAAATCTTCAGGCTGCAGGCTGCTGACAGTGAGAGTGAAATCTCTTCCATATCCGCTGCCACTGAACTGAGATGGCATCCCCCTCTGCAAACTGGATGCCCTATAGGTCAGGAACTTAGGTGCTTTCCCTGGTTTCTGCTGATACCAATTTAAATAGTTGTAAATGCTTTGACTAGCCTGGCAAGAGACGGTGACTCTGTCTCCTACAGATGCAGACAGGGAGGATGGAGGCTGGGTCATCTGGATGTCACATCTGGCATCTCAGATTGGAAATACAAAAACAAATATTTACACTTTTCACCATGTTATGCGAGCATTTCCCTGAAGAGCCAGGCTGTACTGAGCACACTGGGTGGCTAACTTCCCAGTGTTCTCCTTCTTTACCTGGGAGACAGAGCAGCAGGAAGGCCAGGAGCTGAGCGGGGATCCTCATGTTCATGCTGTGTCCTGACTGCGACTGACTCCTGCACAGGGTGTGACCAGCCTATTAAGAAGTCTTCAGGGCAGGGGGCTGCGCTCTAGGACACGCAAATCAGCAGGGGATGGGGCAGGCTGGGCACAGCCACGGGGCTGGCTCATCTCGGTAACTCAGCAAAGGGGCAGTGTCCGCAGGGTCCCAGGTCAGACCAGGCCTGACAGATTTGCCTGGAGGGAATGTATTTCTCTCTACATCCGTTGTTTCGACAAGAGATATTTTGGGAGAAAAAAGTCAAAATTTAATACAAACCTAGGGACTACATGGAGTCATATATTTTAGAGTTGTATCGGGAGTATATAGGAGAGTATGATCATTTGTAGGGAATGTCTGATAATGTCTTAGAGAATGGGGCTATCAGGTCTTCAAGTTATTTAAGTGGACATTGTGGGAGCGACAATCCCTTTGTTATACTAACAACACCTCTGTGATTGTCACGTTGCTCCCATTGTTTCATGTGGGAAAAAAGTCTTTGTCAGAAGCATATTTAAATATTCAAAGGTATTTTGTAGTGACCTGAAACATTTGTTATTACCAGTCTATTTTCAAGCCATTCCCTGCAGATGCACAATAATGATGCTGTGATTCCTCAATGCCTGTGCCACTCACAGATCTTCCATAATCCAGAGCTATAGGTCTCTGTAATAACCAGGGACTAAATGGACAGCACCTACGTCTTGCTGACCCATATGATCAATTGTCTCCACAGGAAGAAGAACAAGGTAACTTACCCTTGCTAATGCTCTGAGCTGCCTTTCCCACTGGAATGTTCCCAGGTGTTCAGGTACAGCTCCCAAAAAACTGGGCTTTCTGGAAAGCAGGGGAGGGAGAGGTCCTGGGGAAAGGCCAAGTCAGTGAACACTTTCTCTTCAGTGAGGGCAGCAGCTACTCAGTGCATGTCTCTGCCCTGCACCATCGATGCCACTTTCCTCTTTGACTCTTTAGCAGTATGTGGGGACATCATCCTTACCCAGACGCCAGCCTCCTTGCCTCACTTCCAGGAGAGAGAATCTGCATCTCCTGCCAAGCCACCGCCCATGTACGTGAAGAAATACTTTGAATCTGGATAAAACTTGGAAACAGATTTGAACCCCTCTACCTCACATGTCTGCCTCTGCCCAGGCATCCCAGCCTGGTTGTGCAGCAAGGGAAGTGGAATCAACTACATCGACATGAGAAGACTAGAACCTGGGGAGTCCAGGGAGCATTACTCACGCATCACTAAGAGTGAGCAGACCACAGTGGTATAGCCTGTACCCAGATCTCCTGCTGCTTTCCAGGGGCCTGAATTTCAAGGGAAATTACTGGCAAACTGCTTGCTAAGATTTAGGTTCAGAGAGAAGAAGCTCTGGATTGAAATACACACATTTTTTTTGTGCGGGGAGGTGAATGTAGCAGTCACTCTTGCTACCCTTTGCCTTTCCCCTTTGCTGTACTTCTGCTGACTCCCCAAGGCCATATCTGTTCCTCACTGCTCTATGTCAAACTGGAGAAGGCAGCCCTGCCTGCACACATGGCCTTTCACAGCACCTGGAATGAGCATCCTCTCAGAAAGCCCTCAATCAGTGAGGACAGGAGAGGTGTATATACCCCAGCTCCCTCTCTTTTCAGCTGGAATAATACTGAGACATTTTCCCCTGTTTCCACGTGGGCTTGAGCTCCAGCCATCCTCAGCGGTAGCTCTTTGCTGAGGAGACTTTTGGAGTCCCTCCTTTCTTTCCTCCTTCACTGCCTTGTTTCCTCCCCGTGTTTCCTGTGCATTATAAATATGCTGCCTGCATAGGCATCATTATCCCTGAAAGAGCCAACCTAAGAAAGCGGAAAAACATTCTTTCTTGGACAGTATGGTCTGAATTCTTGTCACATCTTTTTTTTTAATGCATAGGGATATTCAGAAAATTTAGGAAACACCTGAATTATCTTGGAATGGTCACCCTCAGTTCTTCAAAATGGCTCTATCTTGTCATTTTTTAGTGTCAGTTTTAACAAGACACACAGGCATTTCACTGTGAAGAGGGCTAGCAGGAGAATACTTCTTATGTGTAAAAGCTCTTGGATAAATCCTTTAAACTCTCATAGTCTCTGGGTATGTGATTAGCTCTTGTGTTCTCTGGAGATGACAAAAGTAGGGGACTATTTGTTCATTTGTTTTCACATTAGGAGAAGAAATCAGATTGATAGGACACATTTTGAGAGGGAAGAGCCGGCTCAGAGAGATGAGGATGGTAGAAAAGAAACAAAGTGTTCAGGGCAATGCGAGATGTGCTCCTGCCCTCAAATCTGAAAGAAAGACATTTAAATTTTAAAGACTTGGAGGAAGTTTTGCTATGTGGACAAAACTGCAGAAAGGCCTGAGTTTATAATTGTGGTAATCATGGCAAGGTTCAGAGGTAGCAAGGCGCTTGCTGAGAATTCCACACCACCCTTCCGGCTTTGTCTCTTCTCTGAGTTTAAAAGACATTCATTCCTCCATGGAACAAATGTGGCCATGTGGAAGCGACATATTTAAGCTGGGTTCCAAGCTCAGCCCTGATAATTGCTGGCCGTGTATCTTTGGGCAAACCACCCCTGTGCTCTGATGAACAGTTTACTCACCTGTGAAAAGTAGCACCAAGGATATCAAGGGCTGTCCTGAAGGTTTCTCTAGTTGATGCACCAGGAAATGTATCTATGCATATATATGTATGAAAAGACTACTTAGGGCCCCTTTTCTGCATCCTTGAATATCTTAGAATGAAGATTCTAGATAAGATATTACTACCCAGATGTCATGCTCTACTAAGAATTATCAACATTTATTATATAATTAACAGATGCTCCAGTATACACTGTGCGGTTTCCTGTACGCTATTTCCTCATAAAATCTTCTAATATGTGTAACATTAGAGAATGGAACGTGGAGATTCCCAATCATTATACTACCTTTAGGCTGGATTTATTCTAAGCCCCATTTGTATTAGTATTTTTGGGCTGCTATAACAAATTACCAAAACTTTGGTAGCTTAAAGAAATAGAAATATATTCTCTTATAGTTCTGGAGGCCAAAAGTCCAGCATCAGTTTCAGCAGCCAGGAGCAGGCTGTCATCAGACAAAGCTGCTACAGGGGCTCCAGGGGCAAGTCTATTTTTTTACTTCTTTGAGCTTTTGGTGGTTTAAGCTTTCATTGGCTTGAGTCCAAATCATTTCAATCTCTGTTGCTGTCTTCAGATGGTCTTCTCTTCTGCAGGATTTTTAAAAATGACATTTAACAAAGACAGGCCCCTTTAAGGCCCACCTGGTCAATACAGGATAATCTGCCCGTTTTATGATCCTTAATTTCATGTGCAAAGGCTCTTTTCCTGTGAAAGGTATCTGTATAGTTTCCATGGAATACAGCCTGATCATTTGAGCACCATACTCAGCACTAAACCATTATAGAATGACTCTTCAGTGTTGGTACTATACACACATCACACGCTCTTCTCTCTCTCTCTCCTCCTCTCGTTCTCTCTTTCTTCCTTCTGATTATAAATCTCCTCACTTCCCTAAGCGTATCTAGTGCCACCTATGTCTAGGTTAGAGCAGCACACATAGGAGGGCCTGCATAGGTATCATTGTCCCTGAAATGTTGTGGTTTTGCTTAGAGACCTGCTCTATCCCTCATTATCACTCAGAAAGAAGGACACAGCCAAAGATAGTCCTCAGCCATCTGGGGAGAAGCTGTCTTCACAGAGGACAGTCAGGGGCTATCATTCTCTGGACCTCTGCTTATCTTCAGATGCCTGTGGTCCTCAGCCCTCAGTGAGGGTCTGTGTGGCCCCTGATTTGAGTAGGATCCAACAGGATCCTTATCAGAATATCTGATTCACAGAAGGCAGCGAGTGTAAGGTAGGAGATCATCAGGACTTGTGTTCTGAGCACCGATCCCAACATTGGTCATGACAACGCTGACCGGAACAGGATCTCGACAAAAGAGGATGCGCTACAGAAACTGGCACAAACCAGCTAGAACCAAGATGGTGACAAAAACGACCTCTAGAGCACAGTGTGAGTGGATCTTCCCCCGGGGGCTCCCGTCAGACAGAGTGGCAGCCATGGCTCAGTACTGCGTGATCATAGTATGAAACCCCCCCCTACGGTCTTTTCACAGCCCCCCTCTGACTGCAGTGATGTGGGATTTCTCTGTCCAACTTTCATGGCTCAAGCAACTTCTGGGACTCTGTTCACAATGGGAAGTCATGAAGGTAGTTAGGCTGTTGATGGCCAGAGTGACATCTGTCCAGACTCACCCCCTTGACCCAGGCGGGCATCGTGTCCAGGGGGCAGTGGGAGCCAGCAGGAGACCAGTGTCAGCCCTTATTTCCCGTGGAGCTAGGCTAGGACACTGTTATTTCCATGACTGGCTCTGCTGGTGACAGTGACCCTGTCTCCTGGAACACAGGGAGGGGCCTGGAGATGAGCACCGCACAATATCCCAACAGTCACATAAGTGGGGAACAATTATGAACAGCCCCAAATGTTAATTCTAAATAACTACTTCATTCAGTTTGACTAAATTCTGATGAACAAGCAAAATGGGCGACAGACTTCATCTTGAAGGATGTTTAATGCAAAGAAACTGCATTAAATTCATGTTTAATGCACAGAAACTGAAGGTGAAGCCCGAGTTCTCCCTCTTCACCAGAGAGTTGGAAAAGCAGGAGGAAGAGGAGCAACACCAGGTCCCCACGTCCACGAGGGTCTCCTGAGGCTGATCCTGCTCAGAGAGAGTGGGAAAAGTGGATGAGTCAGCTTGCATTGCCACACCAAAAAAACTGGATTGGATGGCAGAAACCACAGAATTTAATTTTCATATTTCTGGTGCCTGGAATAGCCCAGATCGATGTCCAGCAGGGTTTGCTTTCTGGTAAAGACCTTCTTCCTGGTTTGCAGATGCCACCTTCTCACGGTGTCTTCACACAGCCTTTCCATAGAGCAGAAGGCAATTAGAGAGAGAAGGGAGAAAGGAGAGCTCTCTGCATCTTATAAAAACACGAATTTGCCAGGCACAGTGGCTCACGCCTGTAATCCCAGCACTTTGGGAGGCCAAGGCGGGCAGATCATGAGGTCAGGAGATCGAGACCATCCTGGCTAACGCGGTGAAACCCCGCCTCCACTAAAAATACAAAAAATTAGCCGGGAGTGGTGGCGGGCACCTGTAGTCCCAGCTACTCGGGAGGCTGAGGCAGGAGAATGGTGTGAACCCGGGAGACGGAGCTTGCAGTGAGCTGAGATGGCGCCACTGCACTCCAGCCTGGGCGACAGAGCGAGACTCTGCCTCAAAAACAAACAAGCAAACAAACAAAACAAAACAACAACAACAAAATACGAATTCTACTGGATCAGGGACCCCCCTTATGACCTCAATTACATCTTTAGAGGTCCTAATTTCTACAGTCATATTGAAATTAGGGTTTCAACATGAATCTGAGGGCACAATTCAGTCCATAGCAGGTGGGACACAGCCAGGGCCTTGCTTCCAGTCTCAGAGAATGGGGCAGGTTCCCACAACTCAGCACATGGGTGGCTCCTTCCCGGTGCCCAGGTCACAAGAAAGACCCGCCTCTACCTTTCGGGCTCCCTGTTGAGAATGGGACACCAGCACTCCTACTTTCCCAGTGTTCCTGAGACCATGGTGTTGTCTTTTGTTTATTGTGGAGTGTTTTTGCCATCTTCAGACAGGTCTTTGACATAGCAACTTATCGGACATTTGATTCTGTGATTGTGAAAATTAATTGATTAATTAGTCATAAGTAAAAAATTAAACAATACATTGAATCAGAAAAAAGGAGGGCCAGATGAAGAGCTTAAAAGGAATCTGAGTATCTTAAAAAGACGTATTCCTTTCAAACAAGAACAGTTAGAGTCACGGATTTTTAAACAAATGACTTTTTAGCAGCAATGATGAAATAGTAAATGACAACTTCAAATAGGCTACCACATATGGAAGTTTCTTGTCAAAGAATATCTTCAAGAATCATGTAAACACATTTTCAGATTAAAACAAACAAACAATGAACGTGGGTTTACCAGCAGACCCGCTCAATGGAAAATTTCTCAAATCTGTGACTGAGTCAAAAGTACATTTGTCCCTGATGGAAAGCTAGAGGTTTTATTTGTTTCTGTATTTATTTTTGATCCTTAGAAGAAAACAGCTTTCTCTCCATTCAGTTCCACCTCATGCTGTTGAGGATGACCATGGGGGCAGTGACTGTGAGGAAGGAGGAAGGCTGTGCTCTCAGGGTGGTCGTGCCTCCTGTCCACCTGAGTGACCTCATGGAGCAGAGCCACCCACACCACCAAGGCCACGTGCCTGCCTCTGCACTGCCATGGCACAGACACAGAAACCTTGTCACATTTAGTCCACCATATTTTGAGGTTTCTTTGTAATAAATTTAATTATGCTCTGATTCTCCTTGTGTCTCTCTCCTTTCAGATTTGGAATCATTTACTTTTCACCATTTTGACTTGAGAATATAGACCTTTGCGATATCAGCATCAGGTAGGTTGTACATTTGTTTGCTTTTCCTAAGAATATATCTAACCGCCTTGAATGGGTTTTGATTTTATCTTCTGTCTCACAGAAAAGCAGAAACTCAAGGTGACTAGGTGCTGTCAATCACAGGAGGGCTAAAGTGACAACGGAATTGCTGTATCTCCTGCTGTTGCTACTTACATCTTATTTTCTTTTACTGCGTTCTGTAATAACATTTAGGCTCAAAGAAACATTAATTAGTATTTTTGAATAACATATTAAGTGCTTATGTTTCTTAATTTGAGGGCTATGGTCTACTAAACATCTATATACATTTTGCCATGCAACTTTTCAACCCAACAGAAATGACACATGGGAATTTTAATTGCACTTCCTGTGGAATCCGTTATCTTGACATAAATCATCTCAAGTATAATTTAAGCTGTTAGCCTGCATCAGATTCAATGAGCCTTTTGTGTCTCTACACAGTGTTTTCACATGTAAAAGACATCACTCATTACTCGGGTTCATGTAAATTTATTTGGCAGAACAATCAGATCACGGAAGCAGGCAAGTGGTAACACAAGTGAAATACATGTTAGAAACGACTGGTTTGGGGATAGTTTTATACATGGTAACAGGTGGTCATATTGGGAAATTGCTGTCTTCCCACTTTCCAAACTTGCTCCTTTACCACTCACACGAAACTGCCCTCTCTAGTATTATGGTGAAGAAAGCACTATTGCTTTTTTAACGGAAAGCATTTGTTAGGTTTAAAAGTTCCATGGCAAAATGTATACAGGTATGTATCAGACCGTAGCCCTCATATTAAGAAAGCATATAAATTTAGAACATTATTGTCAATAGAATCTATTTATTTATTTATTTTAATTTTTATTTTATTATTATTATACTTTAAGTTTTAGGGTACATGTGTACAATGTGCAGGTTTGTTACATATGTATACATGTGCCATGTTGGTGTGCTGCACCCATTAAGACACATGCACACGTATGTTTATTGCGGCGCTATTCACAATAGCAAAGACTTGGAACGAACCCAAATGTCCAACAAAGATAGACTGGATAAAGAAAATGTGGCACATATACACCATGGAATACTATGCAGCCATAAAAAATGAAGAGTTCATGTCCTTTGTAGGGACATGGATGAAGCTGGAAACCATCATTCTCAGCAAACTCTGGCAAGGACAAAAAACCAAACACCGCATGCTCTCACTCATAGGTGGGAATTGAACAATGAGAACACATGGACACAGGGTGGGGCACATCACACTCCGGGGACTGTTGTGGGGTGGGGGGAGGGATGAAGGATGGCATTAGGAGACATACCTAATGCTAAATGACGAGTTAATAGAATCTATTAAGGGCATAATTTTTCTATGCATTTACAACTAAAATAGACGATTCAGATTTATTTTCAGGAAAAAAATAGGGTCATGTAAAAATAATGCATTTATTCATTCTTCGAATGATTTTCTTATGACAACATAGTACTAGATATTTCCTCTCTAAAGTACTATGTCAGTAAAATACTTTTAAAATTCTAAGAATTTGAGAAGAAAATAAAAATCTCATGCAATTCTGCATTGTTCCTGTGATACGTTATATAAACTTTATGTTTTCCTTCTGAGTTATTTTGTTTATTTTCAAATCCCACTTTTGGAATTGTAAGAACTCCATTTTCAGTCAGCAAAAGGTAATTGAGGTAAATCAAACTATTTCGGGATTAGGATTTATATTTCCCCTGGATTTTAAAAATCTATAAGAAGTAAAAAAAAAATCAAACATTATAACTAATTATTCTTAGCCATACTCCCGTGAAAATAGCTGGTGCAGAATGCTTTCTCCACCATAATACTAGGGAGGGCAGGTTCGTGTGAGTGGTAAAGGAGAGAGAAAGTTTGGAAAGTGGGAAGATAGCAATTTCTCAACATGAACAACTGTTACCATGTATAAAACTATCCCCAGACCAGTCGTTTGCAACATGCATTTCACTTGTGTTACCACTAATCTGCATCCATGATCTGATTGTTCTGCAAATAAATGGATGCAACAAATGTGGGCCAGACAAGGAGGGTGAGGATGAGCTTCATTCACTCTTCCTTCATCAGAGCTGGCTGTTCCCAGAGCAGGTGGCTACATGTGGCAGCCGATGGAGCCTTAACATGTGGGACTGAGGTGCAGCTGAGGCTTTCATGGGCCAGAGTCCTCAGCAGCAAACTCTGCCCTGAATTCTCCAACAGCCTCCTCTTCTGCAGACTGAGAGACCCTGCTGAGCTGCTCCCCAGACAAGCAGTGCATGTGAGCAGCTGGGACACCCCAGAAGGGAGGTTTCTCTATGGGGCTGTACCACTGTGGGAGGAAGCTGCAGAGCCTGCATGCAGTAATAAACCCCAACATCTTCAGCTCCACCCGGCTGATTTTCAGTGTGAAATCAGTGCCTGACCCACTGCCATTGAACCTGTCTGGGACTCCAGAGGCCCGGTTTGAAACAAAATAGATCAGGAGCTGTGGAGACTGGCCTGGCTTCTGCAGGAACCAATACGAATAGGTGTATCCATCACTGGACAAGAGGCTCTGACTAGACCTACAGGATATGTGGGTAGCTCTCCAGAGGTGACAGGCCAGGAGAGTGGAGTCTGGGCGATCACAATATCACCACTGGATCCTGAAATAATAACAGAGAAGTGCAAGGTTGTATAGACACATTATGAGCAGCTTTCATGATTTCCCTATGATACTGATTTACAGTTACATATATTTTCAAGTTTTGATTTATATCATGGAAAGTAGACTTTCTAAAATGAACCCATTATTTACCAGCCAGCAGGGAACTCTTTATTTTCAAGATCTTAATCAGAGGTCATTGTTCCTTGGAGGTGAATCCTGATTATTCTTAAGACAAAAATATGAATTCTCTTTCCTGGAGCATAGACCATGTACCTCTAACACACGGTTGAAATAAATAGGGGAAGCTATGGAGCACCCAGCACTCACCTTCCAACCCCATTTTCCCACCTCATATTTTTTCTATCTTGAGCATTAGCCGCCCCAGGAGCTGAGCAGGGAGCCTCATTGTGAGATGAACTGAGGAGTCCTGATCTGTCGAGGCAAGGTTAGAGCTGAGCTTTTACCTCAGACTCACAAGGGAAGGTCCTCCCCTAGGGTGCAATATGCAAATCACCTGGTGGGTGCAGCAGTGTGGAAAGGGTCAATGGTGGAGGGGTTATGTCTCTACTGTGAACAATGTGACATAAAATGTTCAATGGAGCAAAACAAACATAGTTCAAGTCAAGTATGCCTGTAGCAGTTGAGGATGGGACACACTAGGGTCTCCTCCCAGTGATGTGACTGAGCATCCCTGCAGCCATGACGACAGCAGGAAACCTTAGCGGCTGGTCCAGTGAGGATGTGGCAGCCAACACTGGAGGGTCTGTAGGGCTTGAGCACCCCAAGGAGTTAGGAAGGAAGAGGCTCTGGAAGGTGCCCTGGAGAGACCTGGCCCCTGTTCACACAGAAGAGGAGCATGTACCTGTGACTGAGGCCTCATGTCCTCTTCCTCAAAGACTCTCCAGGCAACTGCCTGAGCCCACCTGACTCGACTCTCTGTGGACACATCCCCTGGCACCGCAGCCTCTCCTTCCACGCTGAGAGGCGGAGCTTCCTTGAGAGCTTTATGTTTGGGGCCATCACACTGTGCAGGGTCCCAGTGAGTGTTCTGCTCACAGGAGGATGTGCAGCATCTCCAGGCTCCAAAGTAGTGTTTGTGATGGTGAAATCCCTAGAATTTTGGTTAGATGTGAGTCCCTGCTTGTGAATACCTTCTACAGACATGTCATTCTTTGTTTTGCAAGATATTTTCTATGAAGCATCCTTTCTTTGTTTTTGAACCTTTTTTTTGGTTAGGAATGTGATTTAAATTGCACTACCTTTAGTCTCCACACTGGTGATTATGGGAGTGAGACCAATAGATTTTGGGTTGGATGTGTGTTCTCACTCATGAATGGAAAACTACTCTAAAGACTTGTCATTCTTTGTACGTGTGACAAATTACTTGCTAAATTTCATGATTTCCTTTTTTTTGACATTTCTGCTTGGAAATACAATTTTAAATTCATTCACAATGGGATCCATCATCTTAGAATAGACAATAATTTCTGATGTGATTCATTTTTTTAACCAGAAAAAAAGATATTTTGTCCTTTTGATACGAATATTACTTTAATCATATCACCTCATGGCAGTGACAGACATGCTCATGAATAATTCATAAATATTTTTGGAGCATTATTTTAAGTGACTATATGCAAATCATACATTTTTCTATACCATTACTGTTAGAATATGGAAATCAGATTTATTTTTAGGCAATGACCACATTGTGTAAAAATAATACATTTACTTATTTCAAAACCTTTTATTGTTTTTTATGACAACTTAATATCAAAATTGTCATTTATCAAAACCTGCTGGATTACGTTTTGCTGGGCCTTCTGCTCAGCATGTCAGTGCTTCTGACATCTCCCAGATGCAGACAGTGGTCTCTGCTAGACCTCCTCCAAGGATAGAATAAGTTTCAGAAGCTCTGCTTGGCTGCTGTGATTTCACTAAGACTGAGTGACATGACCTCAGGTCTCCTTGTACAGGGACTTCACTAACCCTTTGGTGATTACAGACCTAAAGCCCTACTCGCGACATTACTTTCCTGTGAGACTCCCAGTGGCACAGGCTCCGCCCAGGAAGCCACGCAGCAGTGCCTTCAACTCTGTGGTTCTTCGCAAGAAACATATTTGGCTCTTGGTGGGTCCACATCAACTGCCATCACCACCACCATCCACATCCCACCCACCGTAAACCAAGGGCAGTTTAATTGAACAATAGCCGACCTCTCCTGTATCCCCTCAGGCCCCTATTCCTGCAGTCTGTCCAATCTTGAATTCTGAACTTTGGGAAATAAAAAAGTTTCCATCATCCTTTATTTTCCCAGTAATCCATGGAAAATACTACATCTTTAGTATACTACATCTTCCAGGATTTGCTTTTTATTTCCAAAACCAGCTCTTGGAGTTTCAAGAACTCCCTTTTTCTATCCGTGAGAGATAATTGTAATTAAAAAAAGGTTCAGTATTAGTATCTTGTATCTGCTATGAAATTACAAAATCTATTTGACGCTCACTACCAAGATTTCACTGACTGTCCTCAGCCAGCTCCCTCTGAGGAGAACTAGTGGAGAATGCTGTCTCTCCTGTCTTATGGAGTGGGCAATGAGTGCTAAATAGAAGAAGCGGAAGTTAAAACAAACTAGGAAAATGCCAATTTTAAATATAACCAAATATTTTCTTAAAAATATGGCCGGGTGTGCTGGCTAATGCCGTAATGCCAGCACTCTGGTAGGCTAAGCCCAGTGGATCACTTGAGGTCAGGAGTTGGAGACCAGCCTGGCCAACATGGTGAAACCCCGTCTCTACTAATAATACAAAAATTAGCTGGGCATGTTGGCGAGAGCCTGTAATCTCAGCTACTTGAGAGACGAGGCAGGAGAATCGTTTGAAACTGGGAGGCAGAGGTTGCAGTGAGCTACGATCATTGTTCCACTGCACTCCAGCCTGGGCGATAGAGGGAGACTCTGTCTCAAAAAAAATCTATATCTATCCATATCTATGTCTATATCTATATTTATATCTATATCTATATCTATATCTATCTATCTATCTATCTATCTATCTATCTATCTATCTATCATCTATCCCAAACTGTTAAACCCTAAGATGTATTCAGTGTGTCTTGCCAGAAATGATCAATTGTCTGGCTGTTTTGCTGAATAAATTTAATAAACAACTGTAGGCAAGGAGGGAGGATGAAGATGAGCTTCCATTCTCCTTTCCCTTTCATCCTGATTTTTAACTCACAGGGCCCTAGAACCTCCTCATAACCCTGTTACTTATGACTGTCAAGGCTGTGTCAGGTGACAGGTACATCAGCAAGAGCAGGAATTGGGCCCGATGGCTCATGCCTCTAATCTCAGCACTTTGGGAGTCCGAATTGAGTGGATGACTCGAGCCCAGGATCTCAAGAGCAGCCTGGGCAACATGGCGAAACCCCGTGACTACCAAAAATATATACAAAAATTAATCAGGTTTGGTGGCACGCCCCCTGTGATTCCAGCTACTCCGTAGGCTGAGGTAGGAAAATCACTTGAGCTTGAGATTTCAAGGTTGCAATGAGCCATAATCACACCGCTGCACTTTATGCTGGGTAACAGAGTGAGACCCTGTCTTGAAAACATAAAGAAGTAAATAAACAGGTAGTGCTTGAGGTACAGCTGAGGATTCATGGCCCAGAGTCCTCAACAGCAAACCTGCCCCTGAGTTCTCCAACAGCCTCCCCTTTTGCAGACTCAGAAACCCTGCTGAGCTGCTCCCCAGACAAGCAGCACATGTGGGCAGCTGGGCAATCCCAGCAGAGAGGTTTCTGTTCCAGGATGTAGCACTGTGGGGGGCCAGTGTGTAGCTTGCATGCAGTAATATAAACCCCAACATCCTCAGCCTCCACCGGGCTGATTTTCAGTGTGAAATCAATGCCTGACCCACTGCCACTGAACCTGTCTGGGACCCCAGAAAACCGGTTGGAAACCGTGTAGATTAGACACTGTGGAGGCTGGCCTAGCTTCTGCAGCTATCAATGTAAATAGGTGTTTCCATTACTATGCAGGAGGCTCCGACTAGACCTGCAGGAGATGGAGGCCGGCTCTCCGGGGGTGATGGACAGGGACAGTGGAGTCTGGGTCAACAGAATGTCCCCACTAGATCCTGGAATGATGACAGAAAAGGGCAAAGTTATGTACAAATATTATGCGTTATGCTCATAATTTTCCATTTATTATTTCAGCCTGTATAATTTCTTTGCAATTTCAAGAATATCCAATTTCAAAAAGAACTCAACAGATGCAAGGCACAAAGTGGTCTCCCATACCATCATCCTCTTTCTAAGACTTGCGTTTCTTCAGGGCACATATCCTTCCTTCTAAAATCTTCCTCCCTCTCAGAGATCAGTACATCATATGCCTCATGCTGCAGAACAAGACCTGCACATCTAACACGTGGACTGAACACACATGGGAGGCATTGGGCCCCCAGAGCTCACCCTCCCACCCCATTCTCCTCCCTCATCTCCCTGCTGTCCTTACCAGGGACCCAGAGCATTAGCAGCCCCAGGAGCTGAGCAGGGAGCCTCATTGCGAGAAGGTGCACTGAGGAGTCCTGATCAGTCAAGGCAAGGTTAGAGCTGAGCTTTTATCTCAGACTCACAATGGAAGGTCCTCCCTAGGGGACAATATGCAAATCCCCTGATGGGTGCAGTGGGGTGGAAAGAGCCAAGGGGATGCTGGGAGCCTCTCTTGAGGGCAAAATGACTTAAAGATTGTCTCTGTTTAGAGAGAAACCAATAGAGATAAAATCTGTGCTGCATGAGTAGGATAAATTCCCTTTTCTCTTTGTCTTCTCTCTTAGATTTCTTGTTTCTTAGAATTTCCCAGGTGCATTTCTCACTTCTCCTTAGCAAGGTTAAGATTCCGTAAACATATGATGATTCTTATTTTTTAATACATATTGGATTAAGCATGCAGGATTGGCTTCTTACGTTTTTTAATTGATATAAAACACTCACAAAGGATGGAAATGTTAAATATGCAACTAAGTTTTACGTATGTTCGCCATCCAGATGAATCTCTAGAATATTTCAAATTCTCCAGATTCATCCCTTGTGCACCTTCCCAGGCATCAACTGCTCCCCCATCCCAATCAAGGTAACTGGTATTCAGATATTCATTATAATAATTTGGTTTTCCCTGTGCTACAATCTCATATAAATAGAAGTGAACACTTTTGTTAGGCTGTTTCTTGCTTCTTTCTTGTTTCTTTATTATTTTTGAAGTCTTCTTTTCTCGCTGTGCGTTCAAGCTACGATCTGCTGTGATTTCCTGTGATTTTGAAGAATTTCCTCTTGAATGTTTTATAGAACATATCTCTGCAAGTAATCATTTCTCTTCATTTTTTAGTAAAGAAATGTTTTTACTTTACCTTTATTTTTGAAACATGTTTTAACTGGATATTGAACCCTTTGCTGAGTCCCCCGAACCCAGCATTTAAATATGTAATCCCGCTGTCTTCTAGCCTCTATCAGTCTTGTGAACAGTTAGCCAATTATTCTATTATTGTTTTTCTGGTATAATGAGCCCATTTTTTCTTGATACAATTGAGATTTTCTCTTTGTCTGGTTCAGCGTTTTAACTATAATATGTATAGTTGTAGTTTATCCTGAGTGGTTACACTATCTGTTATATAATATAATAATTATAAAATATGTATAGTTATATAATATGTATAGTTGTAGTTTATCCTGAATGGTTACACCAGCATTTAGGATAATGCATGGCATTTATCCTGAATAAGTTTCATTATTTTTTCAGTGATTTTTGTCTTGATCTTATAGACCAACATCTTTTATTACTCTTGATGTATTTGCCATTATTTCTCAGCACTCTCAAGTATGCCATCTCCCAGTGATCATTTCTGTGTGGTTTTTCTCTGCATTTCACTCCACTGTGTGGCTGTATATTGTTTTATGTCTTAGGCAATTTCCACAGCAGCCACAGGGCAGGCTGCTGGTGCACTTGGAGTGACAGTGAAGTTGGGAGTGTCAGCAAATCTGGGCATGGGCCTGGGCTGGTCCACATGGAGGTGGCTCGGTGTCTGAGTTGCCAGCCGTGGATGAGGCCCTGGAGCCTGGGTTTAGGGCAATGAAGCCCCATCCTAGGCAGCACAGGAGGGGTTGCTTCTTGAGAGAGTGTGGGAGGAGGGTTTCACAGCATCTTCCTCTCTGGGGTGATATGATTATAGCTGCAGGTTACCTTAATGCCAAAAGCACCAGTGTCCTCTGGAGCAGGCTGCTGTAATCCTCAACAATGAATCCTAATGGGCATCCACTGGGAATGTTGTAGGGTCGGGGCTGCCTGGGGGTTTACTTAGGTCATTAGCTGCAAAGGCTGCAGCGTCCTCCACAGAGCAGGCCATAGGGAGTGCAGTGACCCTGCCTCCTGGCTGATAACAATTGCCTCCTGCTTCTTTCATTTTAGAGGTCTCAGGACTCTCAGGCATGCCGTCTTCTGGCGATGCTTTCTGTATGGTTATTCTGGGCGTTTTTTCTAATTGTGTTCCTGCACATTCTTAACTGGGCTCTTGAACACTCCAAGGGCTATTTTCCATCTTGGATAGCTGTCCCATTGTTGGTCTTGCTTTTGTTTTTGTGTTTGTATTTTTTGGGGTAGGCAGGCGAAGGCTGGTGTCTCCTAGTCAGTCATTTTGCTGATATCACTCCCCGAGGACATCATTTTGATGATGCGGTAACACTATCATGGGATAATACTTGGGCATGTTCAGGTAAGAATTAGAGTGTTTAGCATGTGGGAGGAATGTGAATTGCTTTGGTCACAGGGTGGACTGATGCCTGTTGTATTCTCCAACAAGGCTGTGACAAGATCTCCTATCCTACATTTTTTTCTAACAGGGTAATCTTGACTCTCCTCCCATTGAACCTACTGCCTTATGCTTCCTTCTGTTGAATTTTGGTAGGCATGCAACTGTGTAGAAGCAATGCTGTTTGTCTTCTGAGGCTATAAGAGGTCATCGAGGCTGCATAACTTCTGCCTGCTCCTCCTCTGGAAGTTTCAAGTAAACCAAGCAGCCACATGAATTGGCAAACAACTCCAGCTGAGAACCTTACGTCTAATGTCATCCACCTTTGAGATGATGCCTACCCTAGCCACTCACTGACTGCATCCTTAGGAAAGCCTGGCAGGAACCTTGTGGAGCCCAGGAAACATCCAGAACCATAGAGATGATAGGCAGTTGATTGCAGTTTTCATGTGTTATTAAGTTGGTGGGTAGTTTGTTTCCTGTGCATTAATAGTACCCAGAATACCAACTTACAGAAGGAATATGGAAGTAGAAAGTCAACTATTGACAGTAGATGAATCTGGGTCCAATTTATATTTCTTACAGTGTTTTTCCAACTTGTCACTGTTTGATATTATGGTAAAATAAAAAGTTATAAAGAGTATGTGCAAATGTACAAAAGGTTACTGAGAGAGAATCAAGGAGACTCAATAAGCGAAAGGTTTTACCATGTTCTTGTATTAGGAAACTTAATATTGTGAATATAATAACTCTCTCCAAATTAATGGAATACTGTGACAATCAAAATCCCTGTGAATTTTGTTGAAATTTAAAAGCTGTTTCTAACTTAGATGGACATGCGAAGAGGCAGAAAACAAACAAACAAAAACAACCATGGTAATCTTACATAATAAGAACAAGATTGGAAGATTAACACTTCCCAATATTGAAGCTTATATTAAGCAACAGGAATCAAAACAGTATGGTATCGGTGAAGGCTGAGACAGATAACCCTGTGCAATGAGTCAGAGAAACTAAAACCAGATCTGCATGTACATATAGTCACTCAATTTACAATAAAAGTGCTACAGCAATTGTCTCAAACCATTTGTACAAAAAATAACACTTTAGATTGGATAATTAACAAACAACATAAATTTATTTTTTTCATGGTTATAAAGGCTGTGAATTCCAAGGTCAAGATGCTGGCAATCTCGGTGTCTGGTGAGGACTGTTCCTGCTTCCAAGATTGCACCTTGTGGCTGTGTTGTCACATGTTGGAGGTGGAAAGGCAAAAGTGGCAAGTCTGTGTAAAGCCACCTTATTAGGCAGGAATCTCATTCACCAGTGCTGAGCCCTCATGACCTAATCACCTCCCAAAGGGTCTACTTTCTAATATTGTTGCCTTGAGATTCAGTTTTAACAGGAACTTTGGAGGTGACGCAGACATTCAGGCCATAGCAGTGATGTAGTAGAAAAAAATTCTAATAACTGAATTATATTGGATCAATTAGATATCCATATTACATCAAAATGAATCTTAACCTCTTCATTTTACTTCTACACTGATACAAATATCAACTCTAAATTAGAAACTGAAATGTGAAAGGCAAAAGAAAAAAGCTTTTAGAAAATAGTGTAAAAAGATATTTCATGAATATGCATGTAGGAAAGATTTCTTAAAGAGAATATGCAAAGCACTAAGCATGAAAGAAAAGACTAATAAATTAGTTTGCATTAACATATTTTTGTAGCTTTAAAGAAATAAATGACAAAATGTTAACTGATACATACATATAAAAGAAATAAACTGCATTAGGAGATAGGAATGTGCGATTGTGGATAACCTCAAATGAGATATAAGTTATTGCCCCAACTTGCATTTTGTGAGTTAGAGTCACAGGAGCTTATCACATTGCTACTAATCACCAAATGAATGACTGAGTTTCGAATAAATAAACAACAAATAGCCATAGATGAAACTGCGTCATGATCAAGACATTATAATTAACAGATTATCATTGTTGAGTATTATTATTTGAAATAAACAAATGTAATTGCTTGATTTTTAAAAGATTAGAGAGAAAAAAACAAAATTAAATACCCTGCCAATTTTCAAAGAAAATTTCTACAAAATATTTTACGTAATCAATAGAATGAAGAAAAAATATCAGGACCCGGATGAAAATGGAACGAACATATTTATTCATACTCATTTCACTCAGATGTAACGAGTGAAAAGGTAATCTATCAACACTGCTGATACATGAGAAAATAAAAATCTAAATGTACTTGTTTAAAAAAGCAACTAAGGGGCGGGACCATAGCAACCAGAACCGGCCCTGCCAATGAGCAAAGAAGTAATATAAAAGTTGGAAGAACAGTCTCAGTTCATGAAGTAGAGGTATATGAGATTAAATAAAGAAAAGAAAGAGTGAAACAGACAGAAAAACAGGATTGAAAGTCAAACCCAATAAGGAAATATTTCCCTATATACTAGTCATTAGAACAGGGGTGATAAAGAGAAACATAATTTAAAATATTTATGCCTCTGTTATATATTCATGAGTGCAAATTTAACAGACTCGGAAATCTAGGCAAAATTAGGTAGCAAACATACAGGTGATTTTTACATGTTAAAAAATCAGGATCCAATAAAAAACCAAAATCTAAGGGAGGTTCTTTTTTCAGAGATAAAAATCAGGCTTGCTTCAGCAATGTAGTTTACAAACTCTGTTCCCAGAGAACAATGTAGTGATAGCTACATAACCACAAAAAGTCATTATGCCCATGCTTGTGAACTAAGGAAATGATCAAATATGAAGGAAACGTGCGATTTTGAAAATACACACCAACATAAATTTCATGACCATGTAAAAAAATAGAAAATCTTGAAAGATTTATTTTGATTCATCAAGAGTTTAAGCAGCATGCTCCAGTAAAGGAAGCTGTGCCTTGTGATTTTAAAAGGCTGTTGGTGGCTGGGAGCAGTGGCTCACGCCTGTAATCCCAGCACTTTGGGAGGCCGAGGCAGGTGCATCACTTGAGGCCAGGAGTTTGAGACCAGCCTGGCCAACATGGTGAAATCCCGTCTCTACTAAAAATTCAAAAATTAGCCGGTCTTGGTGGTGGGTGCCTGTAGTCCCAGCTACTTAGGAGGCTGAGGCAGGAGAATCGTTTGAACCCAGGAGGTCAAGGTTGCATTTACAAGGTTGCAGTTACATTTTTTGACACTTTACAAATATTAGTCCACTGTCTTATACTTACATTTATGATTTATGATTGTGGAGCAGTCTGTTGTCACTCTATTAAGTGTTCCCTCACAATGAAACAGTTTATTTTGGTTGCTTTTAAGAGATTCTTCATCTTTGGTGGTGGTTTCAAACTTAAAATATCATAATGAATCGGCCACCAAAGACAGAGAAATACTAAAAATCAGCCAAAATATATTGTTTTGCACATTCAAAACAAAGTAAATTTATGTTTTACACATCCAAAATGGGGATTGTTTGGCTTCCTGAATTCAATAATGTATTTGTTTACTCTGAAAAAACTATCAAATCAAACATTATATCCTTGAATATGTACTCTCCTCATCTTCTCTACTTAGTTCCCCTTTGTGCTACAGTCAATCACACATGATGCTGTTTATAAAGGACATACGTGATACTCCCATCCTCCATATGTCACTATTACTCCCTAGTTTACCTCTAATTGTCCATCTGTGAAGCCCTCATGACATTTTTTTACATCTATTATCCAAGTCACATTTTCTGCAGCTTCATTTAAGTTGCTAAGCAAAGTTTTCACTAAACAGCAAATTTTACTTATTTCACTTTTTATTAATATAAATTATAATTTTTATTCTTCAATGACTGGAAAATGTGAAAAAATTCGTGTATATATTAAATGTATTTACATATGTATGTGTTATATAGACATACACAAAATTGCTATTGTAACGGTGGTTTTCATAGCAGTCTATAGCTACTGGAGATTTCATTTTTCCTTAAAGATATTATATTTCCTTAAAAATATTTTCTTAAAGATATTCTATTTCTTAATTTATAATAAGGATAATTCTTATGCTTTTATTAAAAACATAAATTAATAGGCCGGGTGCAGCGGCTCACGTCGGTAATTTCAGCTCTTTGAGATAATGAGGCAAAACGATCACTTGAGCCCAGCAGTTTAAGGCTGCAGTGAGCTGTGATTCCACCACCACACTCCAGCCTGGGCTACAGAGCCAGAAAATATATATATAATATATGAATTGACAGTAATACATTAATACATTAAAACCAGAGATCAAGTCTTAAAAGCAACAGCAAAGTGCATTTCCAGTCTAGCTCAGTGACTATTAGAATTAAAGCCAACTTCAGGCAAAACATTTCCAAAAACATAAGAAAAAAAAAGAAAAATGAGAAAAAAATTCCAGACTTTTGAAGACATTTATTAAAATCATAAATTGATGGTATCCTCTTTCCCATCTTTTGATGAGTAAAATATTAAAATACTCCAAAAATTATCCACAAATTTGGTATTTGAGGGTTCATTTGTTATAAACTCAGAGGTTCTTGATGAGAGGAAGTTTAAAGTGTGTTTATGGAGATTAGCCAAGGTGTTGAATCAATCATTTCCTCTCTTGTGGTGAAATCTAATCAAGAACCCTAAGGGCTATCCTAAACTCCAAGAAATGTACAGCCTTTTCAAAATGAGTGTGATTTTTCAGAGAGTCAAGATAAAGAGGTACAAGGAGCCAAGCTCATTCTTCTCTGGGACACACAGAGTGGCTTTGGAACTGGCTGTGAAGATGTCTGAAAGCTACTGCCACTATATGGCGAGGCCCTGATCCCTGATCAGACTTTATATTATTACTTCTACAGCAAGTATCAGTGAGACTATAAGTATATTTCTAGGGTGAGAACACAGCTAACGGAGGAGGAGTTCCTGCTAGTTTTCCAGTCCAAAACAGACTGCCCTACGTTGAATTTTTCAACAAACTGAGCTTGTTTCTATGAAATGATGTCATTTGCTTAATTAGTAAAAATGTTTTTACTCTTATTTTGTTATCCTGTCTTCCTACATACTTGTGAACTACAGTGAAGATTAATTTTACTTGTATCATTTATGTATTCATTAGTTGTTCCTATGTATTCTAAGAACTCAGAAAATAGTTTTCAGATATCTTGCAATTTTATACTTGTTGTATATCTTAAATTTTATTGAGAATATTTTATTCCATATGTTGTGTATAAATGTATTACCTTCAATTCTAAAGGTGGCACATAAATATATGCACAAGACAAAATATTCTATAATATACAACTTAGGTAATATGTTGAATAATTTGAGGGTAATATTGTGTTTTAGAGTATACCAAATGCCTCTTTAGCATTTTTGGGTGAAATCTGATCAAATTTTGGGTGAAACCTGATCTGATGAAATTTCAACAAATGTTCAGTAAATAAATATTGCTTATTTATTTAGAAATTATTTTGCAGTGGTGGCTTGTGATTGAGATTTTTCTAAGTACTTTAAAGGAGAAAATTATGACATCAAAATGAAATAATGAGAGTAAAATCTCAGTGAAATACAGTTTCCTAAACCAATCACTTTTTTTTCTTTTGTACTAAATCGATCTTTCCTAAACCAATCACAATAAGCATTAAGAATGGTTTTCAGAGTATTCAGGACCCATCGTCTAATGGTATAAATTGGTCCTAATTTCATACTCTTAAACCTCAAGCTTTTTGGAGTAAAGTCAAAACTCAACAAAATTGAGGTTTCTTTTCTTCTTTTCTTTCTTTTCTTTTCTCCTTCCTTCCTTCCTTCTTTTCCTCTCTTTTTGTGACAGGTATTGTTTTATTGCCCAGGCTGAAGAGCAGTGGCTCAATCTCAGTTGACTGCAACCTCAGGGTTCAAGCGATTCTTCTGCCCAGTCCCCTGAGTGACTGGGATTACAGGCATGTGCCACTACTCCTGGCTGGTTTTTGTATTTTTAGTAGAGATGGGGTTTCCCCATATTGGCTGGGCTGGTCTCCAACCTGATCTACCAGCCTTGGCATCCCAAAGTGCTGGGATTACAGGTGTGAGCCACTATATCTGGCCTCTCTGAGGTTCATTTTTCTATGCAAAAGAAAAGGGTAGGATGTAGTGCCCTGTGAGTTATGCATGCATCTGACAATTTTACCTACAGATCTGAGAGCTCTCTTTGTGCCTCAGGTTCTATTTTTGTCTTATGCAAAATAACGCCTATTCTACTCTAGACAGAAGTTTATCATTGAGTCACAACCTGAGTCAAATTTTGCTTTGGTCTTTGTTTCTCAGGGCATAAGATGAAGAAGTTTGTATCATACCTTTCCTAATTTCCTTCCTTCAGGAAAGTGGTCTGAGACATCACACAAGCCTTCCGGAAAGAACCCATCTGCCTCTTCTGTCTGAACTAATGTGTAGACCCCATCGCCACAGGCTGCAGCCCCAGCTTCTGTAGGCCCTGTCTCTGCCTTTCCTAGGAAGAAACCAAAATTCCTACCTGCTGCCCACATGCTGGGAACTGTCACAGCAGGAGGACTTCAAAACCAATATTCTTCTGAAGAATCTAGTGTCCATTGCCAGAAAAGCCAGTCTCTGGCAATTCCTGAGTCCTAATGAGCAAATGTATGGAACCCATGGGGAGACAAAGAAGATATTTGGAGAGGTGGAAAAACAGCCTGATTCATTTGCTGTGCTGGAACTCTCAGGAGCATGGGGCTCACACACACTGTGAGGGGCAGCTAAGGAACACTGGGTAAGTGATGGCTCTGAGAGCACTTTGAAAGCTGGAGGATGGCACAGGTAAAGAGATTAGGGGAAGATGAAGAGCATGACGAGTAATCTGTTCTGTACTGGATGTCATGTAGTGCCTAGGTATCAATGATAAAATAATAAATATAATCTGAGTGTACTTTCCCTCCTGGAGCTTACATTTCACTGAGGGAGTGATGAAGTTAATAATCATTGTAATAATTTGACTACTTGATGCAGTGTTCAAGGCACTGTAAAGAGCTCAATATCAGAAGAGTTTCTGGCTATCCAAACTACAAGTTAAAAAGTCTTTTCTATAAGAAACCTATTTACCAACACTGGAAATAATAGAATAAAACACGCTAGAATTAGCAAGGCACGGTGTCAGTAGATTCCAATTCTGATGCAAGGTGCCACATTATCTGTAAATTAGCCCTGCCTATGATTTTCCTATTAAACTTGCTGCGTTACACGTTGTGGTTCTACAGTCCGAGATCTTCCCAAATCTCTCTCATATCTCATCCCTTGATTTCTTTATCACTGAGGGTCTGAAACCTAAAATGATTTGCTTCTCTGATGTTCACATTCATAGTTCTTTTACAGGAGAAGATTATGAAGCAAATGAGACGTTTGTGGGCAAAAATTCAAGAAAACCAAAGAAATTTAAATGAGGAAAGCAGGAAAACCAACCAGTGGATTGTAAGTATTAGGCCTTTTCCCTCAGATTTAGCCTCAGACAGACATGCTAGAAATGTATCCACTTATCACTTGAATGGAAATCATCTTGGTAGGATTTGAGGAAGATTTTTCTCATGGCTTCCAATCCTGAGGGTACAATGCAGCATTGATTACTGCTCAGAGAGAGTGGTCAGGCTATGGAGTAGGAAGACCTGGTACTAAAAACTAATTTAAAAACACAGAGATCATAATACTGCAAAAAATTATTTGTGAATCAACCATAAATTCCAATGGCTCTCATGTAGGCTTTCAGATATCAATGGATATATATTGAAGAAACGATCAATAATAACCTTTCTTCAGGTGTTTTAGGAAGTCATATAATGAATGAAAGTGGTTTGAGGAAAGAATGAATTTGGCTGTCAGTATTATTAAGAAACAATACAAATAAATGAAAGGAAGACAGGAATGATTTATTTCATGGTTCTGTCAAGTGGGAAGACACGAGTTTATGTACTTAGCTTATTGGTAGAATACATGAGTCAGGATAGGCTCGGTGGTTCATGTCTGTAATCCCAATAATTTGGGAAGACCACTTGAGACCAGGAGTTTCCAACCAGCCTGGCCATCAACATAGTGAGACCCTGATCTTTATTATAAAGAAAGGATGAAAGAGATAAAGAAAAGAAAATGAGTCAAAGTGAATAGAAGAGGTATAAGTGGAGGAGGATGAATTCAGAGTAAATATGTCATCTAGGAAATCCAGGTCCCCGCAGTGCTATGTGTAGCTACGGGCAGAGATGACTAGAGCTGAGTAGAGGAAGCTGCATTCAGTTCCCCATGAGAAGTAAAACAACATTTAGAGAAACTTACAGATGATGACAGAAAGATTTTACAGCAACTTAAGAAAAGCAAAAAGACAAAATGGTTCAGAAAAAAAAAAAAAACACCTAAGAAAAATCTATAAGGAGCTGATAAAAATGTGCCATAAACTAGATGTGGAGCTGCTCCAGGAAAGAACCAATAATATGCCTTAAAAATTTTTGTAGTATTTGAAGTTCATACCTTACAACAAGCTTGCCCAACCCACGGTCCGTGGGCCACATACGGCCAAGGACGGCTTTGAATGTGGCCCAACACAAATTCCTAACCTTTCTTGAAACATGATGAGATTTTTGTTTGTCATTTTATTAAAGCTCACCAGCTATAGTTAATCTTAGTGTATTTCATGTGTGGCCCAAGACAATGCTTTTTCTAATGAGGCCCAGGGAAGCCAAAAGATTGCACACCCCTGGCTTAGGTGATATTATTTATTCAACACCATAGATATGTGTGTGTGGGGGGGTGTATATATATGTATGTGTGTATACATATATATGTACCATATATATATATATATATATATATATATATATATATATATAATATATATCATATATGTATCTCCTGCTTCTAAGAGGGAGGAACTTTTCCAAATAGAAATAACATAGGTGAAATGTAATTCTTATCCTAACCATGAACAAGCAAGCTTTTTTGGAATCTTTGAGTGGATGTAATTTTATATTCCCCTTTATCAAACACTGACCACAGGGAATATTCCCCTCTAATAAGCTTCTTTTGTAGCTTTTTTCTGAAAAACTGGACAAATGTAATGTGGGAGTCAGACAGCATGTGTCACTAAGCTGAGAGCAGTGACATATGCAGGTGACATTCGCATGTCCTGGCAGCATTGTCCAGCAAAGGCTTCCTTTCTTTGGGGATGGACCCTCCCTCCTCACCTGGAGCAGCTCCACGTCAGGCATGTGGCACGTCTCCCACAGCTCTCTGTACATGTCTTTCATCCTTTCTAAATGTTGGGTCATTCTCACTTGACTGTCTTGTAGTTGTTGGAAAAGCCCTTTTGCTTCTCTGTCCAGTGCCTGCAGATGCAGTTGCTTCTCCTCATCGAGAAATAGACGCATCTTTTGATATTGAATATTGATTATCACCTTACTTAATGACACATAGTTCTGCGGAGACATTTGGTTAAAAGGATTACATACTCTCACTCTCAACAGAAAACTTCAAATAATTATATGCTGGGTGTAATCAAGCAATCTATAAACTTTCTGCCTCACTCTTGCAAGGAGTCTTGAATATTTGTTATTTCTTTCTGTCCATCTTTTTCAATGTTCCTATTCTCTCTCCCTCTTTAAATCAAAACCTATATAAAGACTTCTAGTTTCTCTTCCTGAGATGCTTCTTCACAGTTCTTACTGAGTCAATTATCTCCTCTATTAATCTCCCTTTTAGGATTTTTCCATGTCTGATTCGCCTAAATGTTAAAAACCATTTAGCCATACACCATATTATGCAGATTGATTTTTCCTTTTACTATATTTTTACTCTATATACTATTTTATATACTATTCTATTTCTTTCCTCTTCCTCACACCCAATTTTGGTGAAATGTCTCATCTCCAGTGTCTGAAAAGATTTATACCCACCTTCAAATTTGAACTAGAATACATATCATGCCATTTATCCAATAAACTAGAATTAATTTGGTTAGCTTGTGTGGGCTTCTCTATTTGCAATTCCTATTATATCAATTATATCAAACCCCCCTCTACTAAAAATGCAAGAAAAAAACTAGCCAGCGACAGAGCCAGACTCCTTTCAAAAAATAAATAAATAAATAAACGTAAAACTTCTGTTTTGAAGAAACTTAATCATCTATGTTAACACCCACCTACGCCCTGTGAAATGCAATCAATTGGAAGAAAGGGGTGTGGTCTTCAGAGATTTATAAACCGACACTTCAGGAGCCAAGCTCATTCTTCTCCAGAGCCCACAGAGTAGCTTTGCAACTGGCTTTGGGGACTTCCGAAAGCTACCAGCACTGCACTGTGAGACTCTCATCCCTGAGCTGAATTCATCTGATTCGACAGCAAGCTTTGGTGAGAACATAGATATATTTCTGAGGTAAGTACACAATTTCCAGAGTAGGAGCTACTATTAGGTTACAAACCAAAACAAAATTTGGGGACTTTAATTTATCTGCAAGCTTAGATTATTTTTAGATGAAATGATCTCATTTTCTGAGTTTTAAAAACGGCTCCATTTCTTTTTTAAAATTATTTTAAACATAATCCATAGGTTTATGGATTAAACATGGGCCACCATGTTCAGCTATTTATTTATTTGTTTGTTTATTTATTTTGAGATGGAATCACGCTCTATTGCCAGGCTGGAGTGCAGCGGCGCTCTTGGCTCACTGCAACCTCCGCCTTCCAGGTTCAAACGATTCTTCAGCCTCGGCCTCCAGAGTAGCTGGAAATATAGGTGCCCACCACCACGCCCAGCTAATTTTTGTATTTTTTTTAGTAGAGACGGGATTTCATTATGTTGGCCAGGATGGTCTCCATCTCTTGATCTTGTGATCCGTTCACCTCGGCCTCTGAAAGTGTTGGGATTACAGGCCTGAGCCACCGCGCCCGGCCTTTTTTTTTTAAATTTATATAAGTATTTTTAGAGACAGGATGATCTAGACACTTTGCCGTGTCACCAGTCTAGAGTTCCTGAGCTCAAAAAACCTGCCTGACTTGGCCTCCCAAAATGCTGGGATTACAGGCTTGAATCACCTTCCCTGGCTTGGTTTTTATTTTTATTTGTATTTTAGCAAAACATACATTTAAAACGCTGACTTACTGTCTAGTGCCTAGTTTTTGTTTTTGTTTTTGTTTTTGGGGGGAGACAGAGTCTTGCTCTGTTACCCAGACTGGAGTGCTGTGGCACTATCTCGGCTCACTGCAAGCTCCGCCTGCCGGGTTCACGCCATTCTCCAGCCTCCGCCTCCAGAGTAGCTGGGACTACAGGCGTCTGCCACCACAGTCGGCTAATTTTTTGTATTTTTTAGTAGAGATAGGGATTCACCATGTTAGCCAGGATGGTCTTGATCTCGTGACATCGTGATCTGCCCGCCTCAGCCACCTCGGCCTCCCAAAGTGCTCGGATTACAGGCGTGAGCCACCGTGCCCGGCCTCTATTGCATGATACTTACTCTTTTCCTGATTGTGTGAAAGAGTAATGATAATGCTTCAATTATCATTATCTTTTTGTAAATTTAATTAATTGTCTGTCTTTTAAGGATGTTGTAATATTAACCAGTATATCCCCAAATTAACAGACTGTCCAGGAACAGTAAACATGCCAGAAAGTTTTTGTTGATTAAATTAACATAGCAGCCTAGAAAAACAATGATTCTTAGCTTTACCTTGGAGAGGTACCTTACCTTGATTTGACTGTTTTTCCTTGGAGAGTAAAGGCTAGCTTTTTCTGATTTGGGTCAAAGTATGAGTTCTGCTCTAACAATTTCAAGCAATGTCCTTCTGGAAAAGTCATTATGGATGGTTGTTATAGTTAAATAAAATAATGAGAGTAGAAGAGCTTAGTTAGCTTTCCTTCTCTAAACCAATCACTGGCAATTAAGAGTGTTACTGACTTTCAGACCATTCAAGACTCAAACCTTGAGTTTACAGGTTGATGAAACCCTTGAAGCCCAAGCAATTTGGTGGATACTAACACCTCAAAAAATCCAACATTCTTCCATGCAAGAAAGTAGAGTTTGGAAAGCTGGTCATGTGTTAATTGGAGAACAGTCACTTTTTCTAGAGGTTGATGTCTCTTTGTGCCTTAGTTTTCTATTTTTCCTATTTCTGTCATTGCAAATTAAAGCCTATACTTCTCTAGAAAGAAAGGATATTATTCTATCACAATCCGATTCAAACTTTGTTTGGATCTTTGTCTCTCCAGGGTAGAAGATTAAATTCTTGTGGTTTTCTTTCCTTAGGAAAATGGACTCAGACTTCTCACATGCCTTCCAGAAGGAACTCGCCTGTGTCATCTGTTTGAACTACCTGGTAGACCCTGTCACCATCTGCTGTGGGCACAGCTTCTGCAGGCCCTCTCTGCCTTTCCTGGGAGGAAGCCCAAAGTCCTGCCAACTGCCGTGCATGCAGGGAACCATCACAGAAAAAGGACTTCAAAACCAATATTCTTCTGAAGAATTTAGTGACCATTGCCAGAAAAGCCAGTCTCTGGCAATTCCTGAGCTCTGAGAAACAAATATGTGGGACCCATAGGCAAACAAAGAAGATGTTCTGTGACATGGACAAGAGTCTCCTCTGCTTGCTGTGCTCCAACTCTCAGGAGCACGGGGCTCACAAACACTATCCCATCGAAGAGGCAGCTGAGGAACACCGGGTAAGAGATAGCTCTGTGATCACCTGAAAGCTGGAGGGTGGCAGAGTTAAAGAGATTAGAAGGATGATGAGAATCACGGTGATTACTCCATTCTTTACTGAGTGCCAGGTGCTGTTCTAGGTACCAATGATGACATTTTGAATAAAATGTGCAACTCTACCTTCCTTCATGGAGCTTGCACCCAAAAAGAGACTGATTAAGTAAATGTCATTATTATTGACTCTACAGTTCAATGCTAATGACATTGAAAAGCTACCAAAGCTACCAGTGCAAAGAAATGTATTTTGGAAATATATTTAATATTACTGGACAAATGAGTATGGGAGTAGCACGCTACAAAATCAGGGGCTAGCATAGTGGATTCTGAAGCAGGATGTTTCCCTGAACTAATTTAGCTGGGTTACAGGAAATCTTCATTCTTCAGTTCCCTAAACTGTTCTACATTCTGAAACCTCAAACTGAAAAATATCAATTAAGGATGAGCAATGAAAAATTTTGGTTTTTTCTCCTCTCACTAATGTATTTATATATTAGATCCCTTGCCTGTGTATACCACTCAGATTGTGGAATCTTTGGTATTTGACTTTCTGTTGTTCAACCTTGTAATTCTTTTGCAGGAGAAACTCTTAAAGCAAATGAGGATTTTATGGAAAAAGATTCAAGAAAATCAGAGAAATCTATATGAGGAGAGAAGAACAGCCTTCCTCTGGAGGGTGAGTATGAGACCGTGAGTCCTCCTGACCAGCTTGAGACAGGCATGCTGACAACATTTATATTAGCAACTTGAGTTGAAATTCTCATATGCCAGATTTTGTCATGTGTTTATTCATAGGCTGGAAAACAACCAGACTGTTCAATATAATGATTGTTCAGGTTTTCTGTAAATGCTTTTCAGATAAGTAAAAAATAAATATAAATTCTGAAGGGCAAGTATGTGCTTAAAATTAATAAGTATTTCAGACAGAGTTTTCTGTATAAAATTAATTATGAAATGTTGATTAAATAGTATATAATTGAGAAATAAAGGCATTTATTGGTGAATATGATATTGTCCAGGGGGAAGAAATCGGGTGGGAACAGTAATTTAAGAAATGTGCCTGTGCTGGTGAAATCTGATAGCAAAGGACCCACATGATGCCAGTCCAAGTAGGAGAAAATGCAACGTGAGGAAAAGCTGAGGAGAAGGGATAAAAAATGACTGGGGCAGTGAGAGGATAAATATGTCATTATTGAGAGGAGAAACACAATGGAATGGGGATTAATGTTCTTAGAATGGCAGTGCAATACAGAGTCTATGGATTTGACAGAAGAAAGACAGGAGACAGAAAAGAGGTAGTCGGTTTGAGAGATGGGGGTTAAATTTTTTACTAAGATCTTTTTTGTGTGATGGCTTCTGATCCTGATTATAATATACTAAAAACATTTCTACTAAGAGTGATTGTTCAGGCTGTGAAGTACAGAGATTTGAAACAACAACCTAATTGAGTAACAAAGATTATGTGTATTATCCATGACAACTGAACAATCAATCATAAATTTTAGTTGTTTTCTAATGGTATTTCCGATTTGAGAGGACATAGATTTAAACATTTAAATCCAAAGGGCTTTTTTGCAGATGTTTGGGAATTGATGAATTACACAAATTTTGAAGGAAGGTCTTGCTTAACTCATCATCCTGTTTGTAAAGGATGGAAAATAAAAGAAGGAATGAGGAGGATGAAGTTGTGGGTTCTGTGATGTGGAAGTAGGCCTGGGTATATAACCTACAAAATTCATATCCCTACAGGGCGATGTGGTTTTACGGGCACAGATGATCAGGAATGAGTATAGGAAGCTGCATCCGGTTCTCCATAAGGAAGAAAAACAACATTTAGAGAGACTGAACAAGGAATACCAAGAGATTTTTCAGCAACTCCAGAGAAGCTGGGTCAAAATGGATCAAAAGAGTAAACACTTAAAAGAAATGTATCAGGAACTAATGGAAATGTGTCATAAACCAGATGTGGAGCTGCTCCAGGTAAGAACGGAGGATGCCCCTTGAGACACTTTGTGTTAGCTGACCTTTACATCTTTGCCTTCCATTGGGTACCAAAGACATTATTTCTTCGTTTCCTGCACTGACGATGAGAGTCATTCCCACCGGTTATAGAGATAAACTATAACTCCTACCCTATATAATGGAAATAAAGCTTTATGGAATTGTGCAACTAGCTTTCCATACAACATTTTCTACCACAAGCTTCCTCCTCCAGCGCATTTCATTAAAACTCTGGAAGAAAAAATTTCATGTGAAAATTCTATTTTTAACTCCAATGGATAATACATAGAAATTATGGAAAAACTGACATTTCCTTCTTCCTCCTTTTGGGAAGTCCTAGGTTTGAAATGCTCTTGATTTGAGCCACATTACACTTTGGGGACTAGCCCTGAAAAAGACCACGTTGTAGACAGCTGCAGCAATGCGCAGTCACTACTCACACCTTTCTCTCTCACTCAAATTTAGGGTCCTTAATTTATCAGAAATCCATATTGTCAATAGGTCTTACTGGTATAATTGTTAGAGATAAGAATACATTTTAAAATAGTTGCAGTGATAGTATGTGGTAATTCTAAAGTTTTCAAAACCTGAAGACCAGATAGGCAGAATAACAACTTTTTTGTGTGTTTATTTTGAGACAGAGTCTTCTTCTGTCACCCAGACAGAAGTCCAGTGGCCCAATCTCAGCTCACTGCAACTTCTGCCTCCTTGGTTCAAGCAATTCTCCTGCCTCAGCCTCCCTAGTAGCTGGGACTAAAGGCATGCACCACCACACCCCACTATTTGTGTGTGTGTGTGTATTTTTAGTAGAAATGGGATTTGCCATGTTGTCCAGGCTAGTCTGGAACTCCTGACCTCAGGTGTTCCACCCACCTTGGCCTCCCAAAGTGCTGGGATTACAGGTGTGAACCACCTCACCCAACAAGAATAACAACTTTCTAAAGAAGTCATTTTTTTTTTCTCTCTCTCTCTCTACAGGATTTGGGAGACATCGTGGCAAGGTATGTTTTTGGCCACCAGTGCAAACTGGAGCACAAGGCATGCTATGAAAAACATCAAGCTGTTTCCAACAAAGTGAAAACATAATTTACTAACACCATAATGTGTCAGTGTGATTGTGTGTGTATGTGTGTGTACTCATGTGTTTATGTGGTATGATGAATGTCACCTATGCCTTTTATCAGATATTAATCTTTTCTTACTTTCCCAGGTGACTCAGGGGTTTATGTTTTGAAGAGTGCAATGCAGAGGTTGCTAGAATACAGTTGCCTCTTTTTGCGATTCAGAATCATAATTAGAGATAAACTATTTGGTGGCAGATAGGGAGAGAGGCATTTATCTTTCAGTGGCAGTAGGTTAGAAATGGAGTGAATAGTTAGAAAGATTCCCTAAGAGCCACAAACCCAACCTAGCGTTGTGGAGGTACATTACGGTATCAGAAGTGAGCTTGAATGAAGCATTTTCTATTGTAATCTGTTTCTTAAACACAGACATCAGAAAGTTAACCAACTCAACCTACTTCCTTGCAGGAGTGAGCCCGTGCTGCTGCACATGCCCCAGCCTGTGAATCCAGAGCTCACAGCAGGGCCCATCACTGGACTGGTGTACAGGCTCAACCGCTTCCGAGGTGAGTGTGGCCCTGTTGGTGGGATCCCCATGCAATGCCTTCAATTATGGTTTTCTATGGGCAGCTTTCCCAGTGTAATGATCTTTCATCTAGAAGAAGAGAATAGCCTGTGAATAGGTATTTATAGTTTCACTATCATCAAACAGACAAAACAAAATAAAAGCTGGTGAAATGTAATAGGAATCAGCCATATAACAAATTTCTTAGAAAAATAAAACATGCAGAAGGGCTCTTTAGGACTTTAGGAACCATTCTCTGATACAATTTCATGTATACAATTATTACATGAAGTATACAGAACTGAATTCAGGACATTTCAATTTCAAATTCAGTGCAGTTAACGACTGATTTGAGTGACAGTGTTTTTTTTAAATACATTTTTAGGTGAAGTTTCATAGCATTTATAATTTTAATCATGTTTTTAATCAACTAAAGCATACATGAGTAACTTATATAACAATGCAAAAACTGAGAATCTGTCAACAATAGGAACAGGATTTGGTGGTTGACGAGGTCTTAGATAGAACTCCAGGATAGATCATGACAAATCCAGCAGAATAAAAGAAGTCTGTGCCTGAATCTGGCATGAAAGTCAGATAATTCTTGCAAGGAATCTGCACTTTTCAGAAGGCAGATTCAGATTTTCTCTTTAAGTATGAATTTGCTAGGTTAAGTGGCAGATCATAATATTTCTGGAAAGTGATAACTTTTTTATTTGGGACTAAGAATGGCTGCCCACCTCATCTCCTGTCCAAAGCCTCCTGCTCTGCCCTGACAGAGAAGAGACAATGAAGGTTAATTTTATTGCTATGGACTTGGCTGCAGTGCAGGAGCTTCCAGTTTTTCAGTTGTTATGAAAGGTCGCTAACGAGACATAGACATGACCTTCCTCCCCTTTATACTTTTTGAGTTTATGGAAATTGTGATCATCCTAGTTTAGCCATTTACTTGTGCAGATCTCCTAACACCCTTTGATTCCAACATTTTTCCAGACAGAAGTTTCTTTCTAATCTTGACCTGTGTTTTCTAGTGAGAATCTCTTTCTTATCTGAACATAAGAATTTGTAAACTGCTTTTCACTGGAATATTCTCTTTTTTCTACAGTGGAAATTTCCTTCCATTGTGAAGTAACCAATCACAATATCAGGCTCTTTGAGGATGTGAGAAGTTGGATGTTTAGACGTGGACCTTTGAATTCTGACAGATCTGACTATTTTGCTGCATGGGGAGCCAGGGTCTTCTCCTTTGGGAAACACTACTGGGAGCTGGATGTGGACAACTCTTGTGACTGGGCTCTGGGAGTCTGTAACGACTCCTGGATAAGGAAGAATAGCACAATGGTTAACTCTGAGGACATATTTCTTCTTTTGTGTCTGAAGGTGGATAATCATTTCAGTCTCTTGACCACCTCCCCAGAGTTTCCTCACTATATAGAGAAACCTCTGGGCCGGGTTGGTGTGTTTCTTGATTTTGAAAGTGGAAGTGTGAGTTTTTTGAATGTCACCAAGAGTTCCCTCATATGGAGTTACCCAGCTGGCTCCTTAACTTTTCCTGTCAGGCCTTTCTTTTACACTGGCCACAGATGATCAGGATTAAGAAAACTTACTGTTTGGGAACTCCATATACAAGGGAGCCCTTCACTGTTGATACAAAGAAATCATACTGTTCAGGCTTTTTTGTACTTTAGTGTCACTTCATTTTATTGCTATTAAATAGAAAATTTGTAAAAAGCAAATTTTTTGTACATTTTCTTACAATTAAAATAATCCCTTATGGCCCATTACCTAAAATACGTATTGTGATTTTCAAGTGTTTGTGAATTTATTGGATGGAATTCTGGAAATATGTGGGTGTGTGATTCCAACTTAATGATCTCATTCAGGAACAACTTTTGTACATCATGGGCAGACGGGGTTTTGTACAATGCACTTGTAAGTGTGAGAGTTCCCTCCTATTAATACAGTAAATTCTACACCTCATCACTTTGGGGGGAAAAATTTATTTTACACAGAAGTTTTCACAGAATCTTTGGGCTAGAACAGGAATTTAACAGTCATGCATCCTATGGCAACAAAATACATTCTGAGAAATGCATTGTTAGGCGATTTCATCATTGTGTGAACATCAGAACACACTACAAAAACCTAGATAGTATATTCATCTACAGACATAGGCTAATGGTACAGCCTATTGCTTTTCTGAGAATTTGCTAGCGATGTCTGAGCAAGAACCAAAAGGGTTTAACCCACATTGAATTC